>NC_000007.14:72203748-72506779 GCF_000001405.40 Homo sapiens
TTAAAAGGTGTCTTTGTTGCCAAGTAATTTGAGGTCTGAATTTTCTGTTTATTGTTTAATAACATTTTTTTTTCTAAGTGCAAAAGTCATACTAGCCCAATGCAGAAGATATACAAAAGCCAGGGGGTAAAATATACCCATTATCCCAATTACTAAAGAAAAACATTGTTACCTTTCATAATGTTCTTGCAGCATTTCCCATGCATAGCCTTCATATAAGAGGCCTCTCTCTTTTTTTTTTTTTTTTTTTTTTTTTTTTTTGAGACAGAGTCTCACTCTGTCGCCCAGGCTGGAGTGCAGTGGCGCAATCTCAGCTCACTGCAAGCTCCACCTCCCGGGTCTACGCCGTTCTGCCTTAGCCTCCCCAGTAGCTGGGACTACAGGCACCTGTCACCACACCTGGCTAATTTTTTTTTTTTTGTATTTTTATTAGAGACGGGGTTTCACCGTGTTAGCCAGGATGGTCTCCATCTCCTGACCTCGTGATTCTCCCGCCTCAGCCTCCCAAAGTGCTGGGATTACAGGTGTGAGCCACCGCACCCAGCCAAAGCCAAGAGGACTCTTTTTTAATGTTAATTGTATTCAACTATACACAGTTCGTTGTTGCCTTTGTTCATAATGTATCAAATTTCCATGTGAAAAAAAATCTCCAACAATATTATTTTCAATGACCATATTGCATTCCAGTCCATGAATAATTGACTCATGATTAACACAACCAACCCGATCATTGAATTTTTTAACATTATAAAAACTATACTACACATTATACAATATACTATGTAATGTGGCAATTAAAAACTTAGTTCACGAGGTAAAATTTCCTGAGATCAAATCACTTTTCCACCATTTATTAGTCATGCAATGTTGGGCAAATTAAACAATCTGTGCCTGTTTCCTCATGAGCATAATGGGAATCACAACAGTACTTAACTCACAGAGCTGTGTGGATTAAATGAATTATACATGTAAAGACTTTAGAACAATCCCTGCAACATGGTAAACAGCATATATTTAGCTTGTTTCCAGTTCTTTGCTACAGTGTAGAATGAGCATCCTTCTACATGTAGTTTTTTAAACTAATACAGTTATTTTAAATATAAAATTCTTAAAAATGAAATTGCTGGGTCCCAAGGCAATTCACGTTTTTAAACTGCTGTACACATATTGTCTAAATTCCATACCAAAAAATTCTACAATTTTATAATCCCAACAATAAAGAATGAAAATGTCCATTTTCACACAGCATTGCCAACAATGGATATCTACTTTTTCTGTCCAACCCTGCTAAAATAGTGGATAGAAATTGACATTTTGTTGCTTTATTTTCAATTTCTATTACTAAAAGTTGGGGATTCTTCTCTGTAGGCTTATTGATCAATTTGATTTTTTTTTCATTTTGTGCAAAACCTGTTCACATTCTTTCCTCAGTTTTTTTGTTTTTATTTTTGCTTTTCTTTTGTTTTGTTTTTGAGATAGAGTCTTGCTCTGTCACCCAGGTTGGAGTGCAGTAGTGTGATCTCAGCTCACCGCAACCTCCGCCTCCCAGGCTCAAGCATCTTCTGCCTCAGCCTCCCTAGTAGCTGGGATTACAGGCATGTACCACCACACCTGGCTAATTTTTTGTATTTTTAGTAGAGACAGGGTTTCACCATGTTAACCAGGCTGGTCTCTAACTCCTGACCTCAAGTTGATCCACCCACCTTGGCCTTTCAAACTGCTGGGATTACAGGCATGAGCCACCACACCCAGCCTTTCCCCAATTTTTGTCAGAAGTATTTTTCTCCTGATTGCAAAAAAAAAATATATATATATATATGTATATATATATATATATATTCAGGAGAAACATTTATAATATATATTGGAAATATCTTATCTCAATTTGTCAGGCTGGTTTATAACGTTTTCCTTTTTTAATGCTTTAAGTTTTGTAACATCAAATTTATCAATTTTTCCTTTATACCTTATGACTTTGGGGTTAAACTTGAAAAAGCATTCCCAAATTCAAGTTTATATGTATTTAACCTACAGTGCAATCTCTAACAGCTGTGATTTCATATTTTATATTTAACTCTTTAATCCAAATTCAATTAATTGTATGCTTTAGCATAAGGAAAGAACCCAACAATTATCTTCCCAAATATTAATACACTTCCCCAATCATGTTTACTGAATCCTTTTCTCGCTGATTTTGGACTTTTGCCATATACTAGCCAAATAAACTCAAATATATCACCAGCTTCTCCACTGTGCTTTACTGGTCTCCCTGCTTTCATAGCAGCACCACTTTTCATTATTAGAGTTTTTAAAGTGAATCCTCAATATCTGGAAGATCAAGGGCTCACTCACCATTTTGTTTTTGTTTTTTGAATAACGTAATGGGCTCTTCACAGCCATTTATTCTTCAGACGAATTTTAGAAACATTTTGTCACATTCCCCAAAAAATGTTCAGTAGGAATTTTGTTATTGTTATATTTGAAATGCAGCATCTGTCATTGGATTTGTTTTGGCCTCTTCTTCGAAAATATAAATGGTCCCTCTGTTGGATCTTTGCTGTCTGTTCTCTGTACTTATGACGTCTCAAATAACTTTTAGTTTCTTGTCCTCATCCTATACATTCTAGAGCTTCTCTCAAACTCCTCTTCTTTTGACTGCATAGATTCGCTGTAATATTACTTCTGCCTCTTACTGCTTCTAATACTATATGTGACTTGCAATTGCATGATTTGCTTCTACTCTTTGAAATTTTGCCAAATTAATTTTCATCTTAGTCAGTGCCTTATCCTACAAGCTTATCTTTTTTTGTATTTTGCTCTTGTTTTAGAGTCTGTTTCCCTTTATTGTGTTTATTCTTTTATTTATTTCTTTTCTTGTTTCATTGCCTAAAATCCCTTAAGACTAGAACAGATGCAGGCTAAAATTTGTTTTTGTTTTCAAAGAAAAAAAAATCTGTTTTTAACTATGCCCTTTCTTTACTTCTTGAAGAATATGTTTATCTCCTTTCACATTGCAGATTTGTTTATATATCCCATATTGAAGATATGGTTTTTCCTGCTTATTCAGCCTTTAATAAGAATGGATTTATCCTTTGATGAGATTCATCCCACCTGGCCACCTGGAAGCTGGGACAGCTGCAACATGGGAATCTCATTGAATGAGGTAGGTCCCTGTATTTTTATAAGAACCAAAGACTAGTAATCTTCCCAAATATAGACATTATCTGTCACTGAGCTCCTCTATCTTTGCTGTAAAGCTGTTGAAACAGTCTCTATATCATCTCTAACATCAATATCAATGATAAAATATCAACTATTACAATTTGCCAGAAAGAAAAAGATGCTAATGAACTACTCAAAATGTTGGTAAAATCTGCATTTCATGACATGACTAGCAAGGGCTCATTTGAGCTGGTCTTTCTACATTTACGCATCCTCCCACTCTCTCCCCGATTCACTAGGCTCCAACCACTCCGGCCCTCTGTCTCTTTGTCGGCGGGAGGGAAGAACTTATTCTTATCTTGAGTTTTGGGTTGAAGGGAGTGCTCTGCCCCTGGATCTTCCCATGGCAAATGACTTCTTGTTTTTCAAGTCTCCCTTCAAATGTCCCTCCCTTGAACACCCTCATTGGCCAACTCCTATGCGGTTCCCAACCTGCCAGCCTGTTTTATTTTCTTGAGAGCACTTACAAGTAGCTAAATTCAGCCAGTTTGTTTATTTAGTAGTAGTAGTAGTAGTAGTAGTAATATTTGAGACAGAGTCTCGCTCTGTCACCGAGGCTGGAGTGCAGTGGTGCAATCTCGGCTCACTGCAAGATCCGCCTCCTGGTAGTGCTGGGATTACAGGCATGAGCCACTGCACCCATCCCGCTTACTTTCTTATATGTCTCCCCTGCCAAAAATATAAGCCTTGTAAGAAGGACATTCTCTGTCTTTACATTGCTATAACCCCATAATTGAGAACAGTTTCATATAATTAACAGACACACAATGCATGTTTGTTAAGTGGATAATGGTTATATATGACAGGTGGAACTCTGGGCGACTTTTATTTTTCTCTTATTATTCTTTATTCTTCATACTTTGCAATGCATATATATTACTTTTATAGTAAAAAAGTGCATTTTAAGACAAAAAATCTATACAAATTTATCTATGGTATTGGTTTTCAAAGTTTTTAACAGCAAAACTTTTTTACAAAATCTCTGTGAAACTCCAGTATAACAGACATAAAGGCAGTATTTTCTTATCAATGTATTGTTAAACTCAGAAGATCATGACAGTTGCCTCTTATACAATCAACCAATAAAACAGAGAGGCTTTTTAAATGAAAAATTCACATTTTAAATTGAGAAATAGGGAGGAAAGTTTTTATTTAATAAAAGCCTCAGATGGCATTCACTTATTTTAATTTAGCTATTTAATATTGAGGAAAATCCTGATTCACATAGATGGGTAGCTGCAAATGTAGTTTTAATAAGTCACCTGGTTTTATGATATTCTTACGTTGAATAGGACTTACAAGAGAAAAGTTATTTTTAAGTTTACACAATCACAAGTTAACCAAGATACACAAATTTTCACACTGGTGGTTTCTAATAAGTTTGGTTTCTAATACATTTGGGTATCATTTTTATCACAGCTCTAAATAGAGCAGAATGTATTTAAAATGCTAAATATGAATAAAACACTTGCACAGCCACTCAGGCATGTCCATGGAAGACTGCAGTTGCATGGATGATATTTTGAAAACCACATGGATATGCCTGCTACAACAACAGTTTAACACTTCATAGGCAGAGAAAAAAAGAGTAAAAAAATACATCAATATGTCAACAGTGGTTCCACCTGGGTGGCAGAATGCCTGGAGACTTTTATTCCTTCTTCTTGCTTTTCCGTATTTTCCAGGGACTTTTTTTTAATGGATGTATATTAATTTGTAATGGGAAAACAACTATTTTTAAAAAAGCCAGAAGCCATGCTCGATACACAGGAATGTCACAAATGTAATGTTGAGCTAAGAGGCCAGACACAATAGACCATTTTGTTCCTTTTACCTAAAATGCAAAAGCAGGAGAAGTGAATACACAGTGTTAGAAGTAAAGGTAGTGGCTGCTCTCCAGGAAGGCTGGGGATTTGAAAGGCATCACACATCACCATTTCCAGGACTCAGAAATTCCAGTCATGTTCTGTTTCTTTCTTTCTTCCTCCCTCCCTCCCTTTCCTTCCTTTTCCTACTTCCTTCCTTCCTTCCCTCCTTCCCTCTTTCCTTCCTTCCCTCCTTCCTTCTCTCTCTCCTTTTTCTCCTTCCCTCCATCCTGTCCTCTCTCCTTCCCTTCCCTCCTTTCTTGTGTCATTTCTCTCTTTTTTACTCCTTCCTTCTCTCCCTCTTTCATTCCTTCCCCCCTTCTCCCTTGACTTCTTCCTTCCCTCCTTCCCTCTTTCCTTCCCTCCTTCCCTCCTTCCTTCCCTCCTTCCCTCTTTCCTTCCCTCTTTCCTTCCCTCCTTCCCTCTTTCCTTCCCTCCTTCCCTCTTTCCTTCCCTCCTTCCCTCTTTCCTTCCCTCCTTCCCTCCTTCCCTCTTTCCTTCCCTCTTTCCTTCCCTCCTTCCCTCTTTCCTTCCCTCCTTCCCTCCTTCCCTCTTTCCTTCCCTCTTTCCTTCCCTCCTTCCCTCTTTCCTTCCCTCCTTCCCTCCTTCCTTCCTTACATCCTTTCTTCCTCCCTTCCCTTCTCCCTTCCTTCCCTGCTTCCTTGCTTTTTTCCCTTCCCTTTCTTCCTTCCCTCCCTCTCTCCGCCCTCCGTTCCTCCCTCTCTCCCTCTCTTTCTCTTTGCAAACAATCAATGGTTTTTAGTATATTCACAGACATGTGTATCACTGCAGTCAATATTAGAACATTTTCATCACCTCAGAAAAAAAGAAAACAAAAAACCCTCTCTACACTTTGGCTATCGGGCTCTTTATTCCCCAGCCCTAAGCATCCATTACTCTACCAGCTGTCTCTATAGACTTGTCTATTCGGGGCATTTCAGAGAAATGGAATCCTACATGGCCCTTTGTCTCTGGATTCTCTCTCAAGCAAGCATGTTTTCAAGGCTTAGGTTCTGTTTCTTGACCTAGGGGCTGGTTATCCCACTTGGTGAAAATTGTCTGAGCTGTACAATATCCTTGGTACACTTTTCTGTACCTATGGGATACTTCAATCAAAAGTTCTAGATAATAAAAATTAAAACAAAGTCATAAGAGGGTGTTCCAGCAGCATCCCCCGAAGCCCTCGTTTCTGACGGTGGTCTCCCTTCTCCACCCTTCCAGGCCCTTCCCAGGCTTCCCATCACCTATCCCCTTTTGTCCTATGAAGAAGGACAACTGCAGGGACACAGTTTGCTTTTCTCATCTTCTTCCGTCTCCCCCTTCCAGCCATCCACCTCCTGCCTCCTACCAGGCTGCTGGGGCTTCTCCAGAACGGCCTCCCCTTGAGGCATGCCTGCAGTTCCATTTTTCCTGTTCTTCCCCACCCCACCCTAATCAAGCTTCTCTATGGTGTACTCCATCCCTCGGGAGTGTTGGTGAATGTGAAGAATAAATTATTTTGTGCTAAGATTTTGTGCTGTCAGAGTAATCTTTCTAAAGTGAACATTTAGGCTGGGTGTGGTGGCTCAAACCTGTAACCCCAGCACTTTGGGAGGCTGCATTGTTTCGTTTTCATACTGCTACAAAGAACTGCCCAAGACTGGTAATTTATAAAGGAAAGAGGTTTCATTGCCTCACGGTTCAGCATGGCTGGGGAGGCCTCAGGAAACTTACAATCATGGGGGAAGGCGAAGGGGGAGCAGGCACCTTATTCACAAGGAGGTAGGAAAAAGACTGAACTCAGGAGGAACTACCAAACACTTAAAAAAACAGCAGATCTCATAAGAACTCACTATCACAAGAAAAGTATGGAGGAAACCACCCCCATGTTTCAATTATTTAATACCTCCACCTGGTCTCTCCCTTGACACGTCATGATTATGGGGATTACAATGCAAGATGAGATTTGGGATAGGGACAGAGCCAAACCATATCAGATGCTGAGGTGGGAGGATCCCTTGAGCCCAGGAGTTCAAGACCAGCCTGGGAAAGATGATGAGCCCCGGTCTCCAGAAAAAAATTAAAAAAAAAATTAGCTGGGATGGTGGTACAAGCTTGTGGTCCCAGCTACTTGGGAGGCTGAGGCAGGGGGATCCTTTAACCCAGGAGTTCAAGGCTGTAGTGAGCTATGATTGTACCACTGCACTCTAGCCTGGATGACAGAGCAAGACCCTATCTCTAAAAAAATAAGTAAAATGAACTGAAATGAAAATTTGATTGTGACACTCCTAATGAAATCATTCAAAGGGTTCGTATTGCCAACAAAACTAACTTAGGCTCCCTATAGCCTAATTCTCCAGGCTGGCCCCAACCTGACCCTTTCCCACCTCTCCAGACCTCAGTCTCTGCACCTCTTTTCCCTTCCTTTCCAGGCTCCAGAGAAGCTGGGCCAGGTAGAGTTCCTCAAACCCATTACTCTGTTGCACACACCACTGCTTTTGCTGTAACTCTTCCTTCTGCCTAAAACACTTTTCCCGCCCATTCCCTTCCTATTAACAATGTGTGACTCAGCTAAAATACATACTGCTGACTCTCAGATGGAGCTCCATTTTGCCTTTTATTTCAGCAAGAAAGGAGAGATCACATGCAAAGCATCTCTCCTGTGTCTCCTGACTTTGGGCAAATGAACTTACTCCTATCATAGTTCAGGGTACCCATCTGCAAAATGATGATGATCCAAGAAACGACTCGATAGGTCTGTAGCAAGAATTAAATTAGATAACACACCTAGAGCACGAAAAACAAGGCCTGGTACATCACGAATGTTCTATGAATGTTAGCTATCGCTGCAAAATATCATTGCATGTGCTTGTTCCTATTGACGGTCCCTGCTGCTAAAATAGGAGTCCTTGAGTTATGGCTTATTCATCTAACTTGCCGGCAGATGAGGTGACAGCCGGTGATGGGGTCAGGCCTGGGTTTGAATTAACTTTCTTCCACGTATTAGCTGAGCCAGTTTCTACATCTCTCAAATGGAAATATGATAGTGTTGTGCAGAGAATTAAAGAAGATGATGATAGAGAGCTCTTGGCACGTTTTCTGGCCCACATTAAAAGCACAATAAACTGTTTCATGTAAGACTTAAGACCCGACTCGTAATAGATGCTTGATGAATAACCGTTTTTTATGGCTCCTAGATATCTGATTATTTTCCAATTCAAATCCATGTTTCCTTTGCTGTTAAATACCAGAGAGGGGCCGGGCACGGTGACTCATGCCTGTAATCCCAGCACTTTGGGAGGCCAAGGCGGGCAGATAAGGAGGTCAGGAGATGGAGACCATCCTGGCTAACAGTGAAACCCATCGCTACTAAAAATACAAAAAATTAACCAGGCGTGGTGGCAGGCACCTGTAATCCCAGCTACTCGGGAGGCTGAGGCAGGGGAATTGCCTGAACCCACGAGGTGGAGGACTGCAGTGAGCGGAGACTGTGGCACTGCACTCCAGCCTGGGCAACAGAGCAACACACCGTCTCAAAAAAAAAAAAAAAAAATACCAGAGGGGGGAAGAATCTACCCAATAGATATGACATGGAAGAACTGAAGGACTATGACTAAGGAGAGTCCCAGCCCCCATTGAAACTATTCCAAAATATCTTCATCTTCAATCAATGCATTGGGGGTACCATAGAAGACGACCTATCTTAATATTCAGATATTTCTAGGCCTGGCATAGTAGCTCACGCCTGCAATCCCAGTGCTTTAGGAGGCTGACAGGATTGCTTGAGGCCAGGAACTCAAGACCAGCAGGGGCAGCAAAGCGAGACTCCATCACTACAAAGAATAAAAAATGAGCCAGGCCTGGTGGCACACACCTATAGTCCCAGCTACTCAGGAAGCTGAGGCTGGAGGATCACTTGAACCCAAGAGTTGGAGGCCTCAATGAGTTATGATTATACCACTGCACTCCAGCCTGGGCAACACAGCAAGACTCTGACTCCTAAGAAAACATAAAAATAAAGAAAAGGTATTTCTAAATAACCAGTCTATCAACCAGTCAGTAGTGATGATGCAAAATACCTTAACACAAAACTGCTTGTGGGCCACCTTCCACATGGAGAAAATCCTTGAGAGAAACTTTTGATTGTGGAGTCCACAAAACAGAAACGCTCAAGAAAGCCTCACTCTCAGGACCCTCCTTGCTGTGGGCTCTGCCCTCATTTCACAGGGCTTGTGATCAACCTGCTGACGAATTTCTGCTCAGAATGAAAATCACTCTGAAGACGTGGGTCCGTTCTGGCAGTAACCCTGCTACCACTAAGACACATTCCATCCTGCCTCTTATAATTGCTAATGCATTGCGTGTCCTAATTAAAAACAACTAAACATTTGTTCAGACGTTATCTTTGTTCTCCGCTCTAGCAAGTTGTCCGGGACAGTCCACTCTGGCCTCAAAGCTGGAGACAGGAAGTGGCAGTTCTTGGACATCAAGGAATTTTCTGAATTATTTGCTGTGTGTCTTAACCTGGGTTCCCTAAACAAAGAAGCCTCAGGCAAAACTTTATGGGTCAGAGAAGGCACATCTACAGAAGCAGAAAATAGATTAGTGGTTGCCTGGGGCTGGGAGTGAGAACGGGAAATGACTGCAAATGGGCTTGAGGATGTGTTTTTGGGGTGATGGAAATCTACTCAAATTGGATTTCGGTGAGGGATGCGCATTGCTGTAGATTTTATGGTATGTAAATGATACTTAATAAATTACACTTCAATAAAGCTGTTGGGGGAAAAAAAGAAAAGTGTATGAGCTAATGTTTATTTGGGGAATAGCATTGCAGAAAGGCAAGAGTGATGGTATAGGGTTGAGTTGGGGACAGAGGGGATGGCAGCTCTGAGAAGTGTTGCCACAAGGCTCTGTGACCAGCTGTGTCTACTCAGCAATGCACTCCACTCCAGTGCTGTGTGCTCCAAACAGGGAGGGAGAAGGATGCACCCACCACGCTCAGGTCCCCCTGCATTATTGGGTTATGCATGAGCCCAGAGAGAGCTCCGTAGCTTCTTGCATTTCAGGGGCAACCTTAAAGTGAGAGACCAGGGCTACGAGGCAAAGGCGCTGTTGTGGCATTTGCTCAGCAAGCTGAGGGTGGAGTAGAGACCCCTGCAGTGAGCCCTTGGTCTAGGCAGGGGGTACCCAACAAGACAGCCACAGGAGGAGCACAGGCCTCGCTAGCTCCACCCCAGCAAGTGCACCAATCTGGGCAGATTCCCCAGCTCAACCCTGTCTACTATGCAATGAATGATGCACAAACAGTTTGGTGACAAGGTGTTTACCACCATAACTATTGACTAGTTAATGTGCTACCTTCTTTATAAATATTTGTATATTAGGCTGGGTGCAGTGGCTCACGCCTGTAATCCCAGCACTTTGGGAGGCCTAGGCAGACGGATTGCCTGAGGTCAGGAGTTTGACACCAGCCTGGCCAACATGATGAAACCCTGTCTCTACTAAAAATATAAGAATTAGCTGGGTGTGGTGGCACACGCCTGTAGTCCTAGCTACTCAGGAGGCTGAGGCAGGAGAATCACTTCAACCAGGAGGTGGAGGCTGCAGTGAGCCAAGATCGCTCCACTGCACTCCAGCCTGGGAGACAGAGCAGGACTCCATCTCAGAAAAAAAAAGAAAAAGAAGAGAAAGAAAAAAGAAATATCTGCATATTAAGATAGGTCTTTTGAGGACTTTGAGGCTGCAGTGAGCTATGATTGCACCACTGCACTCCAGCCTGGGTGACAGAGCGAGATCTTGTCTCAAGAAAAGAAAAAAAAATAGGTCTTCTACAATCAGGGGTCCCCAACCACCAGGCAGTGACCTATTAGGAGCCGAGCCGCACAGCAGGAGGTGAGTGAGGGGTGCAGAAGTGAAGCTTCATATCTGTATTTACAGCCACTCCCCGCCGCTCGCATTCCCGCCTGAGCTCCACCTCCTGTCAAATCACTGCAGCATTAGATTCTCATAGGAGCACAAAACCTACTGTGAACTGTGCATGCAAGGGATCTAGGTTGCACACTCCTTATGAGGATCTAATGCCTAATGATCTGTCACCGTCTCCCATCACTCCCAGATAGGACTATCTAGTTGCAGGAAAACAAGCTCAGGGCTCCCACTGATTCTACATGATGATGAGTTGTATGATTATTTCATTATATTAACAATGTAATCATAATAGAAATAAAGTGCACAATAAATGGAATGCACATGAATCATCCCAAAACCATCCGACATCCCCCACTGCTCCATGGGAAAAAGCATCTTCCATGAAACCAGTCCCTGGTGGCAAAAGGGCTGCGGACCACTGGTCTACATGCTAACATCAATGCATGACTGAAGATGAGGATTGCAGATGTGGCTACATCACCACACCATGTCACCTCTCCAGAAGCCTGACCCAGGCAGAAATGCAAACTTGCCTCACCACCTCTGTTGAACATTAAAGACAAAGGAGAGGCCAGAGGCAGTGGCTCACGCCTGTAATCCCAGCACTTTGGGAGGCCGAGGTGGGCAGATCACCTGAGGTCAGGAGTTCGAGACCAGCCTGGTCAACATGGTGAAACCCCGTCTCTACCAAAAATACAAAAATTAGCCAGGTATGGTGGCGCATGCCTGTAATCCCAGCTACTCTGGAGGCTAAGGCAGGAGAATCACTTGAACCCAAGAAGCAGAGGTTGCAGTGAGCTGAGATCACGCCACTGCACTCTAGCTGGGTGACAAGAGCGAAACTCCTGCTCAAAAAAAAAAAAAAAAAAGGCAAAGGAGAAAAAAGGCAGTGAAGTCCCAATTTTAATCATTTCAATCCCGTAATACTGCAAAAGACTTGAAATAAAGACAGCTCCACACGGAGCTACTGCCTTCGTACAGCAGCTGTGGATGGACCCAGCTAGGATCTCCCTGCAAAAAAGAATTCCCTGCTGCACGAGGCCTTTGGGATTCACTCAGTGTTGAGCCACAGCCACGTCCTCCCCAGGCAGCCCCCAGCCAGTGACTGGGCTGGCCATGGGACTTGGTCCCGGCCACTTCTACCCAACACAGGATTCCTCTAATGGGCAATCTTTGCTGCAGAGGTAAGCATGGGTCGGACCAAGGCTTTGTCAGATCTGCATGGGAATCTGAGACTCCTCCTGTTCAGTTCTACTTCCAGGCCATTCAATTTCACAGCCATTATTATAATACTTCCTCCCTCCCCACCAATAAACCTTGCACACTTGATCTCAACATCTGCCTCCAGAAAGACCCAACTAACAAACTTGTTGACCTTAAATATCACTGGGGCTGGGCGGGGTAGCTCACATCTATAATCTTAATGCATTAGGAGGCTGATGGGGGAGGACTGCTTGAGGCCAGGAGTTCGAGACCAGCTTGGGCAATACAGTGAGACTCTGACTCTACAAAAAATAATAATAATAAATTTAACATAACTGAGCGTGGTGGTGTGCACCTGTAGTCCCAGATACTCGGGAGGCCTAAGCAGGAGGATCACTGGAGCCCAGAAGTCTGAGCTATGATTGTACCACTGCACTCCAGCCTGGATGACACAAGACCCTATGTCTTTAAAAAAAAACATTAAAGATAAATAAATACATATATCTTTCATAGGTCTGGGGATTAGGAGGTGGCATCTTTGGAGAAGCCATAATTCTGTGTATCATAGGGTGCATCCCAAGCGTAAGGTACCCTGACCCTAGGGAGGTGGAGAAGAGTCAGCGTGGGGCCAGTGGCTCTCTAAGCTCTTGTCACCTTCTGTCCCCTTCACCTGCCTTCTCACTCCTGAGTTCTAGACATAGAGAACAGTTATTGAACCAGATACACCTCTGATCCCAAAATAAAGCAGGGGACAGTGAAGCTGAGTGGTCCCCTGAGCTCTTTCTCCAAAAGAGACAACTTCACAGCATTGTTTTTTGGTGGGGGAGACAGGGTCTTGCTCTGTCACCCAGGCTGGAGTTCAGTAGCACAATCACGGCTTACAGCAGACTCAACTTCTCCACCTGAAGTGATCCTCCTGCCTCAGCCTCCTGAGTAGCTGGGAGTACAGGCACATGCCACCACACCCACTGATTTTTTTTAAGAGATGGGGTCTTGCTATGTTGCCCAGACTGGTCTCAAACTCCTGGGCTCAAGTGATCCTCTCACCTCCCAAAGTGCTGGGATTACAGGTGTGAGCCATCACATCCGGCCTTCAGCATTTTTAAACCCATGTGTGAATGTGACAAGATGTTAAGAGGCAATAGAGAAAATACAAGAAAGGATTAAGAAAAGTACCTTTTTGGGGGTCTGCTTCCCCACGGACCAAGGTGCAGGCATTGTCCCACACCCAAACTCCCCCTAAGGGCTCTAGTCTCTGCTGTAGGACGTGGCTAAATGGACAAGAGGGTTCCTGGAGACCAAGCACACCCCAGCCACTCCCCTGTCCTAGGTAGCACAGCACTGTACCCCAGTGAGTAACAGGACTCAGGAGCCTCGGGGTGGAGGCAGGTCTGGGCCTGGGCATCTTGCCTCTTGGAGTATGACTAACACCAGCCCCAAACATGATTATAGAAAACAACTCTATAAAGCCCTGGTCCATGCCAATAAAGCGCTCTCCCTGGCCCTGACATCACCGCTTCTATAGCAACCAGTTACTCTTCAAAGAGCAAAGTGTGGGAGAGTGCAAAACAGAGTCAAAACTGAAGACACTAAGTCGTGCCAGATGAAGAAATGGGCCAGAAAGCTACATCAGAGTTCAGAGATTGTCATCAGAGAAGGTCTAGGGGAAGAAGGACGATTTCACAGGCATCTCTAGGGTCCAAACCAGAAAGACCCAACTGACAAACTTGGTGACCTTAAATATCACTGGGGCTGGGTGTGGTGGCTCACACCTATAATCCTAATGCTATGGGAGGCTTAGGTGGGAGGATTGCTTGAGGCCAGAAGTTCGAGATCAGCTTGGGCAATATAGCGAGATCCCCCAACTCTACAAAAAAATTAAATAAATTTTTTTTTTTTTTTTTTTTTTTTTTTTGAGATGGAGTCCCGCTGTTTCATGCGGGCTGGACTGCAGTGGCACTATCTCGGCTCACTGCAAGCTCCACCTCCCAGCTTCACGCCATTCTCCTGCCTCAGCCTCCCGAGTAGCTGGGACTACAGGTGCCTGCCACTGCGCCCAGATAGTTTTTTGTACTTTTAGTAGAGACGGGGTTTCAACATGTTAGCCAGGATGGTCTTGATCTCCTGACCTCGTGATCCGCCCTCCTCGGCCTCCCAAAGTGCTGGGATTACAGGCGTGAGCCACCCCGCTCCGCCAAAATTTTTTTTAAATAACTGTGCAGGCCAGGCGCAGTGGCTCATGCTTGCAATGCCAGCACTTTGAGAGGACGAGGCAGGCGGATCACCAGGTCAGGAGATCGAACCCATCCTGGCTAACATGGTGAAACCCCATCTCTACTAAAAATACAAAAAATTATCCGGGCATGGTGGCATGCACCTGTAGTCCTAGCTACTCAGGAAGCTAAGGCAGGAGAATCACTTGAACCCAGCAGGAGGAGGTTGCAGTGAACTGAGATCGTGCCACTGCACTCCAGCCTGGGCAACAGAGCGAGACTCCATCTCAAAAAATAAAATAAAATAAAATAACTGTGCTTTGGGTAACCAAAGCAACAATGAAGTGCCCAGCTCAGTAGCCTGTTATTGTGATTTGTTGCTTTTTCTGTTGTGTGGGGTGAGGAATTGAGTGAGAATCTCTAACCTGACCATGTAGAGGACGCCATGCTTGAAGAAGTTTCCAAAACCGAAACATCACTTTGCTTTAGTATACAATGTCTAAGTAAACATAATTGTCCTTCAAAGAAGAGAAAACCATTAATCCACTCAATGGGAACCCTGGGAGAGTAGGGACTAGGTGGTCATTAAGACCTTCTTATGGACGTTAATGAATGTGACCCTATAAAACAATGACTGGTAAAGCACTATGTCCAAAGCACGGTTTTCCTCTGAAGGAGAAGTGCCTCATTATCCATTCTGTAGCACCTAGGCTATCTTCATCTAATCTGATCTGGCCGGCAGGTAAAAAGTCATGGAGTTCAGGAAGGGGCTGGGTAGGAGAGATGCAAATTGTGTACTCCCAAGAGCGACAGAGTGCAGGGAACTGCAGATGCCATGAGAAGCACACCCCTGAAACAGGAAACTGCACCCTACCTGAATTACCCCACTCTTGACTCTGACAACTAACAACATGCATTTTTTGGGAATATGTATTCATTAAATAAGCACTCAGCCATTCTATTTCTCAATTACCTCTAGTGACCCTAAGATCTGACCACGGGCATAGAAGAGGAAAAATTCTTCCCTAGTGACAGCCAGCTGTAACTGAGTCAAATGCCCGTCATTTTTTCTTCATTTTCTTAAGAGACAAGGTCTTGCTCTGTTGCCCAAGGCTGGAGTGCAGTGGCATGATCATATCTCACTGTAACCTTAAAATCCTGGGCTAAAGTGATCCTCCAACTTCAGCCTAATGAGCAGCTAGGACTACAGGTGCATTCCACCACAACTGGCTAATTTTTCTTTTTATTTTTTGTAGAGATGGGGTCTTGCTGTGTTGCCCAGGCTGATCTCAAACTCCTGGCCTCAAGTGATCCTCCTGCCCCAGCCTCTCAAAGTGCTGGCATTACAGGCATGAGCCACTGTACCTGTTAAGATGCTCTTCATTTAAGAGTCAACTGAATTTCAGAATCAATCAGAGGTGCAACATGTAGTACTCCTTGATACAATTTCCCATTAAAATCCATGAAGATACACATGCGCGCACACACACACACGCACACACACCCTTGCACACACATGCATACACATGCACACATGCAATGCACACACACGCACGTGCACACATACACACAAGCATGCACGCACACACACACACAGAGGCAGCAGAATAGGAAACTGCATATAATAGAATTTCCTATGCAAATAGGAGACATTTCAATGGCTGAACTGTCAATAGGGTCAGTTCAAGAGACAAAATCCTGGAATGAACAAGAGCTACC
Source organism: Homo sapiens (assembly GCF_000001405.40). Taxonomy (NCBI): domain Eukaryota; kingdom Metazoa; phylum Chordata; class Mammalia; order Primates; family Hominidae; genus Homo; species Homo sapiens. The sequence goes on from NC_000007.14 coordinate 72,219,878, forward strand.
TTCTAAACCAGAACTGCATCGATGATATCAAAGGATGCAGAAAAACACATTGATTAGCCTCCTATAAAAAAAAATTCAACCTCACTAGTAGTCAAAGTAAAACAAAACTCCAGTCTTATTTGAAGCAACCAAATTGGCAACAATTTTTTTTTTATAATTTTTTTTGTTTTATTATTATTATACTTTAAGTTTTAGGGTACACGTGCACAATGTGCAGGTTTGTTACATATGTATACATGTGCCATGCTGGTGTGCTGCACCCATTAACTCGTCATTTAGCATTAGGTATATCTCCAAATGCTATCCCTCCCCCCTCCCCCCACCCCACAACAGTCCCTGGAGTGTGATGTTCCCCTTCCTGTGTCCATGTGTTCTCATTGTTCAATTCCCACCTATGAGTGAGAACATGTGGTGTTTGGTTTTTTGTCCTTGCGATAGTTTGCTGAGAATGATGGTTTCCAGTTTCACCCATGTCCCTACAAAGGACACGAACTCATCATTTTTTTATGGCTGCATAGTATTCCATGGTGTATATGTGCCACATTTTCTTAATCCAGTCTATTGTTGTTGGACATTTGGGTTGGTTCCAAGTCTTTGCTATTGTGAATAGTGCTGCAATAAACATACGTGTGCATGTGTCTTTATAGCAGCATGATTTATAATCCTTTGGGTATATACCCAGTAATGGGATGGCTGGGTCAAATGGGATTTCTAGTTCTAGATCCCTGAGGAATTGCCACACTGACTTCCACAATGGTTGAACCAGTTTACAGTCCCACCAACAGTGTAAAAGTGTTCCTATTTCTCCACATCCTCTCCAGCACCTGTTGTTTCCTGACTTTTTAATGATTGCCATTCTAACTGGTGTGAGATGGCATCTCATTGTGGTTTTGATTTGCATTTCTCTGATGGCCAGTGATGATGAGCATTTTTTCATGTGTTTTTTGGCTGCATAAATGTCTTCTTCTGAGAAGTGTCTGTTCATGTCCTTCGCCCACTTTTTGATGGGGTTGTTTGTTTTTTTCTTGTAAATTTGTTTGAGTTCATTGTAGATTCTGGGTATTAGCCCTTTGTCAGATGAGTAGGTTGCAAAAATTTTCTCCCATTTTGTAGGTTGCCTGTTCACTCTGATGGTAGTTTCTTTTGCTGTGCAGAAGCTCTTTAGTTCAATTAGATCCCATTTGTCAATTTTGGCTTTTGTTGCCATTGCTTTTGGTGTTTTAGACATGAAATCCTTGCAAATTTGCAACAATTTCTAAAACCATAAACATGATGTTGGCGAAAGGGTGGTGAAAGGGGAGTATTTTTCACACGGTTAGTAGGAGTGGAAACAGAACTGACCTATCAGGGAAGCAACTGGACAATCTGTTATAAGAGCCCCGAAAACGTGGAGACGCGATGCCCCAGTGTTTTCACTTACACAAGTCTTGGCTTCTTTTTTTTTTTTTTTTTTTTTTTGAGACGGGGTATCTATCTGTTGCCCAGGCTGGAGTGCAGTGGCGTGATTTTGGCTCACTGCAAGCTCCGCCTCCTGGATTCAAGCAACTCTCCTGCCTCAGCCTCCCGAGTAGTTGGGATTACAGGCACCCGCCATCGTGCCTGGCTAATTTTTTTGTGTTAGGTCACAGCTTTAAAAAACAATCACAAAGACAAGCAAAGATTTGTTTTTCCATAGTTCACTACATAACTACTTAGGACCAGGAAAAACTGGAAATAAAGCTGAGTGGCTGAGGCTGGACGCAGTGGCTCATGCCTGTAATCGCAGTACTCTGGAAGGCGAGGAGAGCGGATCACCTGAGGTCAGGAGTTCGAGACCAGCCTGGCCAACATGGTGAAACCCAGTCTCTACTAAAACTACAAAAATTAGCTGGGCATGGTGGCATGTGCCTGTAATCCCAGCAACTCAGGAGGTTGAGGCAGAGAATTGCTTAAACCCGGGAGGCGGAGGTTGCAGTGAGCTGAGATCGTGCCACTGCACTCCAGCCTGGGTGACAGAGAGAGACTCCATCTCAAAAAAAAAAGAAGAAATACCTGAGACTGGGTAACCTATAAAGAAAAGAGTTTTAGGCCAGGTGCAGTGGCTCACGCCTGTAATCCCAGCACTTTGGGAGGCCAAGGCGGGCGGATCATTTGGGCTCAGGTGTTTGAGACCAGCCTGGCCAACATGGTGAAACCCTGTCTCTACTAAAAGTGCAAAAATTAGCCAAGTATGGGGGCACAAGCCTGTAGTCCCAGCTACTTGGGAGGCTGAGGCAGGAGCATCGCTTAAACCTGAGAGGCAGAGATTGCAGTGAGCTTAGACTGTGCCCCTGCGCTCCAGTCTGGGTAACAGAGCGAGACTCCGTCTCAAAAAAAGAAAAAAAAAAAGAAAGAAAGAAAAAAGGAAAGAAGGTTTAATTGGCTGGCAATTCTGGAGCCTATACTGGAAGTGTGATGCTGGCATCTGCTTGGCTTCTGGCCAGGCCTCAGGAAACTTGCAATCATGGCAGAAGGCAAGGGGGAAAGCTGGTATGTCACATGGCAAAAGCAGGAGCAAGAGAGAGGGGAGATACCACACACTTTTAAACTATCAGATCTCACGAGAACTCACTCACTGTCATAAGGACAGTACCAAGGAGGATGGTGCTAAACCATTCACAAGAAGTTTGCCCCCATGATCCAATCACATCCTACCAGGCCCCCCTCCAACACTGGGGATTACAATTGAACATGAGATTTGGGTGGGGGACACAGATCCAAACCATATCAGGTGCCTCATTTGGAGGAGTCAGTGCTGGTTTTTCACCCACCTCTCAGGATCTTGCTTGACACAATCAGAGACCCCCGTGGCCAGAAATCACAAGCTAAAAAGAAAGGGAGAAGGCCAGGCGTGGTGGCTCATACCTGTAATCCCAGTGCTTTAGGAGACCAAAGGGCAAGGACTGCTTAAGCCCAGGAGTTCAAGACAAGCCTGAGCAACATAGTGAGATCCTATCTTGATCAAAACCATACAAATTATTCAGGCACGGTGGTGTGCACCTGTAGTCCCAGCTACTCGGGAGGTTGAGGCAGGAGGATCGCTTCAGCCCAGGAGTTAGAGGCTGCAGTGAGCTATGATTGCACCACTGCAATCCAGTCTGGGTGACAAAGCAAGACCTTGTCTCTAAAAATCAATGAAAAAAGAAAAGGAGAGGGTAGCCCCTGCTTAGGGTGAGCTACAGGCTCCTGTTAAAGCAGTTGGCACTGGGACACAGGCAAGGGAGTGGTGGCAACAAAACATAATCAGAATGATGGGCTTTCCTTGCTATTTATTTAACGGGCCGCGGTCAGGCAGAGGAGAAGAGGGGTTCCCATTCTTCTGACAACAGAGCTGAGCTTAATCTGAAATTGAGGTGGAGCTGGGCACATGGGAGAAATAAAATCTCCCAGGAGAATTAAAGTCTGAAGGAATGACTTCCAAGTCACTGGAGGAGGGAAAATACAAAGGAAACATCATTTCTAAACCAAAAACAGGGCCCAACCAGCATGAGGAAATCGTGCTCCTTCAGCTTCTAACTAGTATGGAAGGTGATTCATTTTTTGATGGATATGGCTTACAGGGTAAAAAAGGAACCAAGTGGCTTCTCTCAATGCTAGTGAACTGGAGGATGACCCAGCAGCCACTGCTTAAAAAGAGCAGGACATTCCCTGCACTTTCCCTGAACTTGGTCTCTCATAGGCCTGATGTGGTCCCTCACAGGCCCCCACAAAAGGAAGTCATTACCAAAAGCAGAACTACCATTTGACCCAGCAAAAAAATAAATTGTTCTACCCAATTGTTCTATTGAAAAGCCACCCGCACTAGCATGTTTATTGCAGCATTATTCACAGTAGCAAAGACATGAAATCCAGACAGATGAAATCAACAGTGGATTGGGTAAAGAAAATGTGGTGCATAGACACCATGGAATACTATGCAGCCATAAAAAAGAAGGAAATCGTGTCCTCGGCAGCAACATGGAAGCAGCTGGAGGCTATCATCCTAAGCAAGTTGATGCATAAACAGAAAACCAAATACTGCATGTTCTGATGTATACATGGAGCTCAAGTATTGGGTACACGCAGACATGAAGATGGGAACAACAGACAGTGGGGACTACTAGAGGGAGGATGTAGGGAGGAAGGCAAGGGTTAAAAAGCTACCTATTGGGTGCTATGCTCATTACCTGGGTGACAGGATCAATCGTACCCCAATATCACACAATATACCCTTGTAATATATACTCATTATCACACAATATACCCTTGTAACAAACTGGCATATGTACCCCCTTGAATCTAAAATAAAAGTTGAAATTATTTTTTAAATTAAAAAATAAAATCTTCTAGGAGAATTAAAATTGGAAGAAATGACTTTTTCATTCACTAGAGGAGGTAAAATGCAAAGGAAACATCATCTATATACCAAAGACAGGGCAACGCCAGCACAAGGAAATAGCATTCCTTCAGTTCCTAAGTCATATGGAAGGCAAAATTTTTTTTGGATGGATATCACAGGGTCAAAAAGGAAACAAGTGACTTCTTTTAATGCTGTTACTCATGTTCAGAATTAAAACCCGTGAACTAAAGGAAGACCCAGCCGTGCTGTTTAAAAAGAGCAGGATATGGCCAGACATGGTGGCTCACGTCTGTAATCTCAGCACTTTGGGAGGCCAAGGCAGGTGAATTACTTTAGATCAGGAGTTTGAGACCAGCCTTGCAACATGGTGTAACCTGTCTTTACTAAAAATACAAAATTAGCTGGGAGTGGTGGCCAGTGCCTGTAATCCCAGCTACTCGGGAGGCTGAGACACGAGAATCGCTTGAACCCCGGAGGCAGAGGTTGCAATAAGCCAAGATTGCGCCACTGCACTCCAGCCTAGGCAACACCGTGAGACCCTGTCAAAAAATTAAAAAAAAAGAGCAGGATAAGGCCGGGCACGGTGGCTCACGCCTGTAATCCCAGCACTTTGGGAAGTCGAGGCAGGTGAATCACGAGGTCAGGAGATTGAGGCCATCCTGGCTAACATGGTGAAACCCGGTCTCTACTAAATACACACACACAAAAAAAAAATTAGCTGGGTGTGGTGGCGGGCACCTGTAGTCCCAGCTACTTGGGAGGCTGAGGCAGGAGAACGGCATGCATGAACCCAGGAGGTGGAGCTTGCAGTGAGCAGAGATCACGCCACTGCACTCTAGCCTGGGTGACACAGCGAGACTCCATCTCAAAAAAAAAAAAGCACGATATTCCAGCATTTTCCCTGCACTTGGTCTCTCATAGGCCCAATGTGGTGCTTCACAGGCCCACAGGAAGGAAGTCATTTTACCAAAAGAGGCCGGGCTCGGCTTTCACGTCTCTTCCTCAGGGAAGCTTCCTTCACTGAGCACCAGGTTCCTGTCTGAGACAGCAGGACACACCTTAGCAGGGTGTCCTCCTGTGTGTCCCCAATTCTGTAAGCACCCTGCTTCGGTTCTTTTTCCAACTGACTCGATACTTAAGTGCCAATTACCATTCCCTGGCACGGGGGAGGGGCAACGATACCCCAAAAAGGGCCACTTACAAAGAAGTGAGCAGGGCTTTCCGCCGTGTTGGTCAAGCTTCAAAAGGAGTGGCCAATGGGGAAAAGAGGTCATTTTCAGTTTTCTGTGCCAAAGACAAGCAGCTAGACGGAAAGATCACACACAGCTCGGTCTCTGAAGACTGATAATTCCACGTGTATTCTATTTTAAAGCGAAGCCCTCGGCGCTACCTTGATGATTTTGTAGAATTTACACTGAAAGGGCATAAAATGTCACGCCATCTTGTGTGTTCCTCACTTCCATGTGCTCTTTGCGAGAAAATCAAACTCAGCTGTTTCTGAGCTCCTAGCGAGTACCCACAATGTCTAAGGCTTACAATTTCAACTGTGCATATCTTCTGCAAGGCAAAAGGGTGCAGGGAAAGAAATAGCAGTGGATCAGGCCTGTAATCCCAGCACTTTGGGAGGCCGAGGCAGGCAGATCATGAGGTCAAGAGATCAAAACCATCCTGGCCAACATGGTGAAACTCCGTCTCTACTAAAAATACAAAAATTAGCCGGGTGTGGTGGCACACACCTGTAGTCCCAGCTACTCGGGAGGCTGAGGCAGGAGAATCACTTGAACCCGGGAGGCAGGGGTTGCAGTGAGCCGAGATTGCGCCACTGCACTCCAGCCTGGTGACAGAGCGAGACTCCACCCAAAAAAAAAAAAAAAAAATTAGCCGGGCATGGTGGTGCACGCTAAGAAGGCTGAGGCAGGAGAATCGCTTGAATCCGGGAGATGGAGGTTGCAGTGAGCTAAGATCACAGCATTGCACTCCAACCTGGGTGACAAGAGTGAAAATCTGTCTCAAAATAATAATTAAAAAAAGAAAGAAAGAATTAGCAATGGAAAACTGTTCATGCCACCGAGATGCTTCTCTGAACCATGATTTCCCCAACTGCAAAATGAGGCTAACTCTGCCTACCTGGCAGGGGTGACATAATGACCCAATGCATAGTCTAGCCCATAGGAGTCCTTGCTCTTCCCCTCTTTGGGCCTCAGTTTCCTCACCTAGAAAGCAGCAGGGAAGGGTCAAGAAAGTAGGCAACTTCATAAGATGACCCAGCTTCAACACCCCACATTGTTAGGACTTCCTCTAAGACATATCACTGAAGGTCAGCTTTCGCTATCCCAGTGCTTTCAAGGGTTACATGGACAGGATAAAAGTTATGATCCCCAAACACATCTTCCTACACTGTAGAGATAAGAAAGAGGGCTGACATTATCCTAGGCAAACTGATGCAGAAACAAAATCAAATACCGCACGTTCTCATTTACAGATGGGAGCATTGGGTTCACATGGACAGGAAAATGGGAACCATAAGTCTGGCCACAGTGGCTCACACCTGTAATTCCAGCACTTTGGGAGGCCAAGGTGAGCAGATGCCTTGAGGTCAGGAGTTCGAGACCAGCCTGGCCAACATGGTGACACCCATCTCTACAAAAAACAATTAGCCACGCATGATGGCGCATGTCTATAGTTCCAGCTACCTGGGAGGTAAGGCAGGAGAATCACTTGAACCCGGAAGACAGAGACTGCAGTGAGCTGAGATTACACCACTGCACTCCAGCCTGGGCCACAGAGCAAGACTCCATCTCAAAAACAAGACAGAAAAGTAAAGATGGGAACAATAGACATTGGGGAAACAGGGATGGACGGCAAGGGTTGAAAGACTACTTATTGGGTACTGTGCTCGCTACCTGGGCGACAGTTTCAATCGTATCTCAAACTTCAGCATCATGCAATATACCTTTGTAACAAATCTGCACAGTACCCTCTGAATCTAAAATTAAAAGCTTAAAAAAAAAAAAAAAGAGGGCAGCCGGGAGTGGTGGCCTACGTCTGTAATCTCAGAACTTTGAGAGGCCAAGGTAAGCAGATAACTAAAGGTCAGGAGTTCAAGACCGGCCTGGCCAACATGGCAAAACCCTGTCTCTATTAAAAATACAAAAATTAGCTGGGAGTGGTGACGGGCGCCTGTAATCCCAGCTACTTGGGAGGCTGAGGCAGGAGAACTGCTTGAACCTGGGAGGTAAAGATTGCAGTGAGCCGAGATGGCACCACCGCACTCCAGCCTGGGTGACAGAGAAAGACTCCGTCTCAAAAAAAAAAGAAAAAAAAGAAAAAAGAAAAAAGGTGGTAACAATAGACATTGGGTTGTGGGGGGTGGGCAAAGGTTAAAAAACTATCTGTTGGGTACTATGCTCACTACCTGAGTGAGAGGTCCAATCACATCCCAAGCTTCAGCATCATGCAATATACCCTTGCAACAAATCTGCACAAGTACCCTCTGAATCTAAAATAAAAAGTTACAAAAAAGGAGAATCACTCGAACCTGGGAGGCGGGGGTTGCAGTGAGCCGAGACTGCACCACTGCACTCTGAATCATTATGAAGATGAGAAGTAGAGGCACCAGAAACCCAGGAGAGCGTTCCCCAAGCTACACTGTAGACACCATCCCGAAGGTCTTCCACCAGCTAGCAAGTACTCTGTCCCAGGACCTATGCCTTCTCCAAGCAACTTCCAGCTCCACAATCCCTACTCTCATTTCTGCTAAGCTCCTCCAATGTCGGATTTCAGGTTCACGGCAAAGCAGAACGGTTCTGAACAGGTTTGGGAATACTGAACCAAGTGCTGCTGTCTGTGCCTATCAATGTAGCTCTTCTTTCTTTGTCGTGGGAACTTCCATCCACACACAGCTGCTTAACGGGGACTGGGCTTGTCAATGAGATGCCTGTGATCCCAATGTGTTTCTCTCATCTAATTAGTTTGGTCAAAGAGAGAATGTAGTGTTTCCAGGGACTAGAAGACTTACCTTAATCTTCCCTTCACTCAACATTCTGTCCTCTGCTTGCCTAGAATGCATGTAACTCCACTCCTGAGCTTAGCATATCACATAACAATTAGTTTAAATGTCTGGCTTCCCCACTGGGTTGAGAGCTCCTCACCGGGTTTCTCTGGGGTGATAAAATGTGTTCTAAAACTGAATCACAGTGATGTGTGCACAGCTCCGTAAGATTATGAAAAATCATTGAACTGTACACTTAATGCAGGTAATTTGATGGTATATAAACTATTCCTCAATAAAGTTATTTTTAAAAATACTCCAGCATTCATTGGTGCATGGCTGTGGGCAAATTACTCTCTGAGCCTCAGTTTCCTTATCTGTAAACTGGAACAACAATAACTGATGTTGTACAATAGTCGCAAGGTTTAAGTAAAGGTGACGATGGAAAGAAGGTGCTTAATGCAGGGCCTGGAATACAGCAAGCACTCCACAAGTGTTGGCTACCTTATTTATATATTTATTTATTTATTTATTTATTTATTTATTTATTTATTGAGACAAGGTCTTGCTCTATAGTCCAGGCTGGAGTGCACTGATGCAATCATAGCTCACTGCAACCTCAACCTCCTGGGTTTACATGATCCTCCCACCTCAGCCTCCTGAGTAGCTGGGACTACAGGCACATGCCACCATGCCTGGCAATTTTTTTTTTTTTTGTAGAGATGTTGGTGGTGGGGGGCGGGGATCTCACTATGTTGTCCAGGCTGGTCTTGAACTCCTGGGCTCAAGTGATCCTCCTGAAGTGCTAGAATTACAGGTATGGGCCACCACACCCAGCCCATTTTTAATTATTATTATTTGTCCAGCACTAAAGATACAATCAGGGAAAAGGGAAAAACGAACATGGAAGAAAAGCTGGGTGCTGTGGGAGGCAGAAAAAAGCCTCTCCAAAGATGACCATGTCCTGGTCCCCAGAACCTGTGAATCTGTTACCTCAGATAACAAAGAGACTTTGCAGATGTAAAAAGAGATCTTGAGATGGGGGTATTATCCTGTTTTATCTGGGTGAGCCCAATGTAATCACAAAGGCTCTTAAAAAGATGGAAGAGGAAAGCAGAGCATGGTGGCTCATGCCTGTAATCCCAGCACTTGGGAGGCTGAGGCAAGAGGATCGCTTACCATTTGACCCAACAATCCTATTACTGGGTGTGTACCCAAATGATTATAAATCATTCTACTATAAAGACACATGCACACGTATGTTTACTGCAGCACTATTTACAATGGGAAAGACTTGGAACCAATCCAAATGCCCATCAATGATAAACTGGAAACAGAAAATATGGCATATATACACCATGGAATACTATGCAGCCATAAAGAAGAATGAGTTCATGTCCTTTGCAGGGACACAGATGAAGCTGGAAACCATCATTCTCAGCCAACTAACACAGGAACAGAAAACCAAACACCGCATGTTCTCACTCATAAGTGGAAGTTGAACAATGAGAACACATGGACACAGGGAGGGGAACATCACACACCGGGGCCTGTCGGAGGGTGGGGAGCAAGGGGAAGGAGAGCATTAGGACAAATACATAATGCATTTGCAGGGCTTAAAACCTAGATGACAGGGGCCGGGCACAGTGGCTCATACCTGTAATCTCAGCACTTTGGGAGGCTGAGCCGCGCGGATCATGAGGTCAGGAGATCGAGACCATCCTGGCTAACAGGGTGAAACCCCGTCTCTACAAAAATACAAAAAATTAGCTGGGCGTGGTGGTGGGCGCCTGTAGTTCCAGCTACTCAGGAGGCTGAGGCAGGGGAATGGCGTGAACCCAGGAGGCAGAGCTTGCAGTGAGCCGAGACTGCACCACTGCACTCCAGCCTGGGCAACAGAGCAAGACTCCGTCTCAAAAAACAAAAACAAAAACAAAAAACAAAACCTAGATGACAGGTTGATAGGTGCAGCAAACCACCATGGCACATGTATACCTAGGTAACAAACCTGCACGTTCTGCACATGTATCCCAGAACTTAAAGTAAAATTTTAAAAATATTTTAAAAACAGATCAGCCTGGGCAATGTGGCGAAACTCTGTCTCTACAATAGATACTAAAAAAAAAAAAAAATTAGCTGGGTGTGGTAGCATACACCTGCAGTTCCACCTACTTGGGAGGCTGAAGTGGGAGGATCACCTGAGCCCAGGTAGGTCAAGGCTGCAGTGAGTCATGATCACGCCGCTGCACCCCAGCCTGGGCAAAAGAGTGAGGCCCTGTCTTGAGAAAAAAAAAAAAAGATGGAAGAGGACAGTAGGAGAGTCAGAGAGAGAGATCTGAAGATGCTCCACTGCTGCCTTTGAAGATGGAAGAGGAGATATGAGCTAAGGAATGCAGGCAGACTCTATAGAAGTTCGACAAAGCAAGGAAACAGATTCTGCCCCAGCATCTCCAAAGGAATGTAGCCCTGATAATATCCCTATTTTATCCCAGTAAGATGCATTCCAAACTCCGACCTCCAGAATTGAAAGATAATAAATTCGTATTCTGTTAAGCCGCTAAGTTAGTGATAATTGGTTACAGCAACCACAGAAAACTAATATAGGCACAGTCGTTTCCCCATCACCCACAGCGTCACTTTCTGCAGTTTCAGTTACCTGAGTTCAACCACATTCCAAAAATATCAGATGGAAAATTCCAGAAATAAAAAATTCATCAGTTTTCATGTGCATGCCATTCCAAGGAGCGTGATGAAATCTTATACCATCCCAAACTGCCCCACCTGGGGGCATGAATCGTGCCTTTGTGTAGCCTAGCCACACTGTCTACACTACCAGTCTGTCAGTCACTCAGTAGCTGACTGAGCTATCAGATCAACTGTTGCAGTACACGCTTTTTTTTTTTAATTTTTATTTTAAGTTCTGGTGTACATGCACAGGATGTGCAGGTTTGTTACATAGGTAAACATGCACCATGGTGGTTTGCTGCATCTATCAACCCACCACTTAGGTATTAAGCCCAGCAGGCATTAGCTATTTTTCCTAATGCTCTCCCTCCCCCAACGCCCCTGTCCAACAGGCCCCAGTGTGTGTTGTTCCCTTTCCTGTGTCCATGTGTTCTCATTGTTCAGCTTCCACTTACAAGTGAGAACATGCAGTGTTTGGTTTTCTGTTACTGCATTAGACTGCTGAGGATAACGGCTTCCAGCTCCATCCATGTCTCTGCAAAGGACAGGATCTCATTCTTTTTTATGGCTTCATAGTATTCCATGGTATATGTACCACATTTTCTTTATCTAGTCTATCACTGATGGGCATTTGGGTTGATTCCATGTCTTTGCTGTTGTGAATAGTGCTGCAATGAACATACATGTGCATGTATCTTTGTAACAGAATGATATTTTATTGCTATTGTTGTTAGTCTCTCACTGTGCCTAATTTATAAATGAAACTTTCTCATACGTAGGTACCTATAGGAAAAGATGTACTAGGTACAGAGCTCAGTGCTATCCGTGATTTCAGGCATCCACTGGGGGTCTTGGAACTCCTCCCTTGCTGATAACCCCACCCTTACTGTACCATGCTGTGGAATGCCTGGGCTGTCAGGGTAAGAGTAGACTAAGGAAAAGAGTGATCAACTAGAGCTATATTTTTTGTAAAATCAATTTGTTTAGCAGCATGTAAGTTGCACTGGGGGGCAGGAGAGAGGCAGCAAGTGTCAGAAAAGACGCTGTTGTCTTGGACAAGACAGTGCATTGAGAAGGAGCCTGACAGGTGTGAAATGTGTGTTGGGATATTGGATGCATAAAACATATGCAACTTGGAGATCCCCTACAGGCTGGGGCCAAAGGAGAAGGGTCAAAGAAGACAAAAGGCTGGCTCATGGGAATCACAGTGACACCATTCTAGGGGTCAGAAGAAACTGCCTCAGCAGGGGGAGCAGAGAGGATGTAGGAGCATGCATCAGCTCCGGCAAGGGGTTTAGATTTGGGCCAAGAGCTTAGAACTGCAGTCAGAACTAAAGATCCCATTGTAGAACCGTCATCGCAGAGGTGAAAGCCAAAAGTAATCCAGGTCCGGGAAGAAGACAACTAATTGAACAACTGCATTGTACGTGATAATACTATTTACAATAGCCAAGCATTGGAGAGAAACAAAAATCCAACAAATAAGAGATGGTTAAATAAGTTATTGTCACTTCATGCAATGGACTCGTAGAAAGCTTTCAAAAAAATTTTTTTTTAATTTATTTTTTGAGACGGAGTCTCACTCTGTTGCCCAGGCTGTAGTGCAGTGGCACCATCTTGGCTCACTACAACCTCCGCTTCCCAGGTACAAGCGATTCTCCTGCCTCAGCCTCCCAAACAGCTGGGATTACAAGCACCTGCCACCATGCTGGCTAATTATTATATTTTTAGTACAGACAGGGTTTCGCCATGTTGGCCAGGCTGGTCTTGAACTCCTGGCCTCAGGTGATCTGCCCATCTTGGCCTCCCAAAGTGCTGTGATTACAGGCATGAGCCACCACACCTGGCTTAAAAAGTATTTTTTAAAGAATAGTTAATGGTTTAGGAAACATATGATATATTGAAATTTTTTTAATACAACATAAAAAGCCAAATTCCTTTAAAAGACTGGAAGGAAACAACAGACTTTAACACTATCTATATTGGGTATAGTGATGACAGTGACACCTTCTTCTTCATAATTTGCTATATTTTTAATTTAGCATAAATTAGCATGTTTAGCATGTAACATGTTTAGCATGTTTCCATAACATGGAAACACAGTTTTCAATAATATGCATATAATTTTATTGCACCTGTTTAAAAGCTTTGGCTTTATTAAGTTCTTTCTCTGATTGTTGATGAAAAAGTTTAGTTCCTTTATTTTGGTCACAAGGGACTGTTTTTCGTCACTATTTTTACTGTTTGACTTCTTGATACAATAAAGATCATTCTGTAAAAAGGAAAAAAAAAAAAAAAGAAGGCACTGTGGAGAAAGGCATGGAGGAGATCATTTGAGTAAAGGACCCACTGCAGGGTTGGAAGGAGGAAAAAAAGCAACCCCAAGGACAGAATAAGAGCCAAAGGAGAAGACGGTCTCGGGGAGTTGCCTGTGACCCTCAGTGGGATGGAGAGTTAAGGGGCTAAGGGGAGAAGAGAAGGCAGTGTTCACAAAGAGATGTTTCCTTTCAAGAGAGAGAAAAAGGCTGGGTACAATGGCTCATGCCTGGAATCCCAACAACTCAGGAGGCCAAGGCAGGAGGATCACTTGAGACCAGGAGTTTGAGACCAGCATCGGCAACATAGTGAGACCCCATTTCTACAAAAAAAAACAGAAACATTAGCCAGGAGTGGTGGTGAGCACTTATAGTGTCAGCTACTTGGAGGGCTGAGGCAGGAGGATTGTTTGAGCCCAGGAGTTGGAGGGTGTGGTGAGCTATGGTCACACCACTGGGCAACAGAGCAAGGCCCTTTCTTTTAAAAACTAAATTAGGCCAGGCATGCTGGCTCACATCTGTAATCCCAACACTTTGAAAGGTCGAGGCAGGCGGATAATCTGAGGTCAGGAGTTCAAGACCAGCCTGGGCAACACAGCAAAACCACATTTCTACTAAAAATACAAAAATCAGCCAGGCACAGTGGTGCACACCTGTAGTCCCAGCTACTCAGGAGGCTGAGACAGGAGAATCGCTTGAGCCTGGGAGACAGAGGTTGCAGTGAGTCAAGATCACACCATTGTACTCCAGCCTGGGCAACAGAGCAAGATGTTGTCTCAAAATAAATAAATAAACAAACAAACAAACAAACTAAATTAAGCTAGAAAAAGAGAAACAAAGAGGAAACATAACAATAGAAAGACACACTGATGTTTACAAGGAAACAGTAAGGTTGAGAAGAGTTTGCCATGGACAGTTTCAATCTTTTACCACAAAGATAGAGGCAGTTTGCAGGTAATTACAAGGTAAAGCAGGATTAGAACCCTACAGAGCACAGAGAAAAGCTGCGATCTCTGCTTTGGATGTCAACAAGAGAAGACAAGAAACTTCCCCGGGAGCCCAGCCAAGATTAGACTCTGCCTAGATTCCTCCAGCCAGCAAAGTACCTCCCACAGTCTAGCACATATGAGGCCATTAGTTAGGGTGGCCTCTGACATCTCCTGAATATTGTTGGCTTTGTTATTTGTTATCTGAAGTCCACTTGTCTTTTTTTGTTTTGTTTTGTTTTTTTGTTTTTTTGAGATGGAGTCTCGCTCTGTCACCGAGGCTGGAATGCCATGGCGCGATCTCGGCTCACTGCAACCTCTGCCTCCCAGGTTCAAGTGATTCTTCTGCCTCAGCCTCCCAAGTAGCTGGGATTACAGGTGTGCACCACCACACGCAGCTAATTTTTGTATTTTAGTAGAGATGGGGTTTTACTATGTTGGCCAGGCTGGTCTCGAACTCCTGACTGCAAGTGATCCGCCCGCCTTGGTCTCCTAAAGTGGTGGGACTACAGGCGTGAGCCACCGTGTCCGGACATGAAGTCCACTTGTCTTATCTTCCTAACTTGTGGAGAACAGAGGCCATCTCTAATTTAATTTGGTATGTTCTCCAGATGCTGGATCTCGGTAGATATCCCCTAAGTACTTAATTATGGGTGGAAAGCAATGGAAGAGAAGCAATAATAGCAAATGCTTCTAGTTGCTATTGCTATAATTTCCCAACATATTGATTAAAACTTGCTTTAAAGAAACACAACAGATAAAAACTTATAAAACAGACCTGGTGTGGTGGCTCATGCCTGTAATCCTACCACTTTGGGAGGCCAAGGTGAGAGAATCACTTCTGGAAGTTCAGAAGTTTGAGACCACCCTGAGCAATATAGCGAGACTCTGTCTCTGCCAAAAAAACTAAAAATTAGCCAGTCATGGTAGCATGCTCCTGTAGTCCCAGCTACTAGGGAGGCTGAGGTGGGAGGATCACATGAGCCCAGGAGTTGGAGGCCACAGTGAGCTATGATCACACCACCGCACTCCAGCCTGGATGACACAGTGAGACTCTGTCTCAAAAATAAATAAATAAATAAATAAATAAGAAAAATAAATAATTTTCCAAAAAGTTCAAGCAGATCAATTAGAGTGTGTCCACGCCTTATAGAATTCCTTTAAATACTGCATTAGTATTGTCCTGGGTGCATTTTAAAAAGAATTTGCTACAGGGAAATCTACATTGAAGGCAACTCCTAAAGAAATAGCTCCATAGTGTAAAAATCATTTAACGCTAGCACAGACAGGCTTGCAAATGAAATCCTTCACAGCCCCAGCAGAAAGAGTCCCACACACTCTGCTGTGCAGCAGAGAAGGATGTCAAAGCAGCCCGTGTTGATTAGACTGTAAAGGGCTCAGAATTCCACTCCGGGGACCTGGCACATTTCTAAACATGTGGGAAAACTCTCCAGCATCCCCCACCCCCGCCCCCCTAACCTTGGACTCCATGACATCTCTCCCTCTGCTGTCTTATGTTGTTATTAAGCCTGTCAATCAAATCTCTGCCCCATCACCCCTTGGCCATGTAGCCCTGGAAGGCCAAGTTACAACCACTGTCCCTTTGGTTCTTGCCCACCCGGTACCCCATCCTTATATACTTGTACTTGCACCCTCTGCAAAGAAAATACCCCAAGCTCCAAGGTAGCACAGAACTGCTACCTGACCAAGAACCAGCCCTGGGGTCCAAATAACCTGATTTCACATTCTGGGCCAGGCACAGTGGCTCATACCTGTAATCCCAGCTCTTAGGGAGGCAGAGGAGGGAGGATAGTTTGAGCCCAGGAGTTCGAGACCTGCCTGGGCAATATAATGAGCCCATTCTCCACAAAAAAAAAAAAAAAAGAAAGAAAGAAAAAAGAAAAAGAACCTGATTTCACATTCCAGTCCAATTTCTTACAAGCTGAAAACCCTCAGAAAAATCACCTAATTATTGGGATAGTGACCATCCCAACCTTGTTATTCACGCAACGTCTCTCACTTACGTAAAGGCTCATTAAGGTTGGGTATTATCATTAAGTGTTTAAGGAAGAGTTGACTTGGCTTGTAAGGCTGAAAGAGAACATATAAAATACTCAAAGTCGAAATTCTCAGTGTTCAGAGCCACTCATCAAGCCCACCCGCCCTCCGAATCAACTGCAGAAGAAACCAATAAAATGGGATGGTCTCTCATCGAGCAAGTTCTACTGACAACAGTCAATATGGAGGCTCATATATGTTCGTTAAACCAGGAAATCAGTGAGAAAAACCTGCCCATAGAGATAGCAGCAAAGACCCAAGGAGAACCTCAAGTCCTGCCATTCATTGGCATGCCTGAAAAAGTTCAGGGTTGCAGAATTTTTTTCCTCTTGCATCGTGGTGGAAAACGCCAGGCTCATCGCAAAAATCAAATTATCCCTACAATATGTGATAATTAATGGTTGGATTATCTGAACCAAATGACATCCCAGAGCAAACTGTGCTAACTGTTGGGAGGAGGAAATAAATGTGTCATTGATTTTCAGCTTTAATGATATAGTACAGGTATTTGTGACTATCTGTCACATGGAAAAGACTCAAGACATGTTGGTTATTATTATTTCATAAGCAATGTTCATGGTCTTTGGCCAAGGGATAGATTTGTGTCCTAGGACACCTCCCCATACTGGGAGTCTGCAGAATTTAATTGATGTGTTGAAGGAGCCTGCAGTGGGAGGTGAAGTCTGACCTAGTTGGGAACTTTTTTTTTTCTATTTTTATTTTTTTTTTTTTGAGATGGAGTTTCCCTCTTGTTGCCCAAGTTGGAATGCAATGGTGCAATCTCAGCTCACTGCAACCTCTGCCTCCTGGGTTCAAGCAATTGTCCTGCCTCAGCCTCCCGAGTAGCTGAGATTACAGGCATGTGCCACCACACCTGGCTAATTTTCTATTTTTAGTAGAGACGGCGTTTCACCAAGTTAGCCAGGCTGGTCTCAAACTCCTGACCTCAGGTGATCCGCCCGGCTCAGCCTCCCAAAGTGCTAGGATTACAGGCATGAGCCACTACACCTGGCCCTGGGGAATTCTTATTATACCGGTAAGGGAAGATCAAATGGATTTGAGGCATCACTAAACTGCAACATCACAAACATCTGCTGCTCTGAATCCCACCCCCATGGCCAGAAGCTGAAATTGGGAGGTCCTTATTCCAGATAAGGGAGACAGGGAGAGACGACAGGGCCAAAGAAGTAGACTGCACCTGTCACTGAGCAGAGGACTAGAGAGAGCAGCAGACCAGGAGAGGCAGAGACAGGCACAGAAGCCACAGCGAGGGCCAGGAGACAGAAGCAGAAAAATGCATTAAACCAAGGAGAGTCTTCACTGCCTGTTAGAGCATTTCAGGTTGGCTTTTTAAGGTTCTTGGGGCTGAGTTCTGGGAGGGCTGGTTTCACTCAAGAACCATCAGCCCTTACTGAGTCCTCCCTCTCTTAGGAGTTCCCCAAAATGACCAACACAAAAGCAAGACAGAGAGAAACCCTTCCTTCTTCTAGCCCCTTCACAAATCCAGAGTTTCTCTGGCTACTCAAGAGGAAATCTATAAGGTGAGATTGCAGACATCAAGGGAATGAGGCATGTTTAACAAGGAGTGCCCCAGAAATGTTACCATGGAAAATGGAAGTGCCTGCAACATCATGGCTCTTTCTGCCTGGCACTGTTGACAGCAAATGCATAAAGGACAAGGGTTTTGGCAAGTTGATGAATGTATAAATCTAGCATCTTGAAGGACTCCAAAAACAGAGGTGGCATTCAGAAGCTTGTGAAGGTAATGACCCACAAAACAAGGAAGCCCTACAGAAGACAGCCGGGTTCACCAAAGCTCCAGGTGACAGCTAATTGTTTAGGGTCTGCAGGTGTTCACCTTGGGAAACATTGCAATTGTTGCTCAGGAATAATACTCTTAAATGAAAAATTCACAAAAGGAAATCAGTATTCTATGATAGTTACAAGAGCACATCAAAATTAAGTTTTAATATTTCCATTTTTTTCTTTGATTTTTAAATTTTAACTGGAGTCTTCTCCATCCAGAGAAACAAATGTCTATGAGAATGAGTTGCAAAGAGACTGAGCTGCTGGCTTTATTCCCTAGAAATTCATGGTATAATGAATTTATTTCCTAGAAATTTATTGAATGAATTATTTAATGAGTATAATTTATTATTTAATGATTTTTTTATTTAATGAATTTATTCCCTAGCAACACTTTATTCCCTAGAAATTCATGGAATAATGAGTGTCTGATATGGTTTGACTGTGTCCCCACCCAAATCTCATCTTGAACTGTAGTTCTTGTAATCCCTACATGTCATGGGAGGGACCCAGTGGGAGGTAATTGAATCACAGGGAGGGTTAGCTCCATGTTGTTCTCATGATAGTGAGTGAGTTCTCACAAGTTCTGATGGTTTTTTAAGGGGCTTTTCCCCTCTTTGCTCTGCACCTCTATTTGCTGCCGCCACGTGAAGAAGGGCATGTTTGCTTCCCCTTCCACCATGATTGTAAGTTTCCTGAGACCTCCTCAGCCCTGTAGAACTGTAAGTCAATTAAACCTCTTTCCTTTGTAAATTACCCAGTCTCAGGTATGTCTTTATTAGCAGCATGAGAACAGGCTAATACAGTGTCATAGAAAAAGAAAAGATTGTGACAAGACAGAGACCCAGACCTCTCATGATCAGACATCCCCCACTAATGTGGACAAAGCTAGGAAGCAGGAGAGAGGGCCCTCAGACTCTTGCCCCACCTTAAACAGCCTGACTCTTCACACTAATCTGTGCCTTTACAGCCAGTAAGATGTTGTACTCCGTGACTTCTAAAATACCTCCTGGTGCTTTCTATTCAAATATTCTGTGATGGCTGGGAAAAGTGGCTCATGCCTGTAATCCCAACAATTTGGGAGGCCAAGACAGGAGGATCACTAGAGGCCAGGAGCTTGAGACCAGCCTGGGAAGCACACCAAGACCCCACCTTTCCAAAAAAATAAATAAATTAGCCAGGAGTGGTGGCACGTCCTTGTATTCTCAGCTACGCAGGAGGCTGAAGCAGGAGGATCACTTGAGCTCAGGAGTGAGGCTATAATAAGCTATGATTGCACCACCGCACTCCAGCCTGGACAACAGAACAAGACCTTGTCCCTAAAAATAAATAAATAAATAAATAAATAAACCAAAGATTCTGTGACGCTCTGCTGTCTTAGCTTCTAAACCCTCTTGATGTGCAGAGATTTTTATTTCTATTGTATTCTGCACATCTGACACAGCATAAATATCAACATATAATAAAAGTTTAGTATATTCCTGTATTTAAATGTAAACAGCAAAATCTTCCTAAATTATCTGGGTATAACTTTTCTAAGGTGTTAATTTCTTAAATCCCCAAGGTGCATGGGTTTGTAGATCAAGTTAACTCAACAGAATAACGTGGGATGCTACAGAAAAAAAAAATGTGGATTTTCTAATGACACAGAATGCCCAGCCTCTGCCAGGTAGCTCCTACATGTGCCCTCGATCCCAACAGGGTTCAGAAGAGAGAATGTGCACCACTTAGTACACAATGCACAGCTTCGACTGTGCATTCCCTTACTAAAACCAACAGAACCACTGTCAAAGTGCCTCCCCTCCTGAAAGCAGGATAGTCTTGTACATTGCATGCCAGCAGAGACAACACAAGCCAAGGGTGGAAGGGCTTAAGGATTTCTATTCGACCATGCTGAAACCAAGCTTTAAGTTTAAATATGAGTGACATTCTTACAACCAGCTCATTTTGCTGGGTAAACAACTCAACAATCCTGGAGAGAATCCTAGCCTCAAGTTCTAGCTGTAATGACTTGAGACTAATGTTTTGAAGAGAGACTCCAGGAGTGTGGGGGCTACTTTGGGAAGTCTCATAGGATCCACCAGTCCTATAGTTCTCGAAACACTTGGGGAAATTTCTTTTTTTTTTTTTTTAAATAAAGATGGGGTCTTGCTTTGTAGCCCAAGCTGGAGCGCAGTAGAGTGATCATAGCTCACTGCACCCTTGAATTCCTGGGCTCAAGCTATCCTCCCACCTCAGCCTTCTGAGTATCTGGGACTATAAGGACGTGCCACCGTGCCAGGCTAGTTTTTTAACTTTTTGTAGAGTTCGAGTCTTGCTCTGTTGTACAGGCTGATCTTGAACTCCTGACCTCAAGCAATTCTCCAGCCTTGGCCTCCCAAAGCGCTGGTGTTACAGGTATGAGCTGCTGCGACTGGGGGAGATTTGCTGAATAGCTTCCAAAGCCAGTGTCTAACAAACACAGATCAACTTGTTACTGCATGTTCATACAAACATTACTGCTAGTTTGATCAATCAACTGCTCCACATGATTTGACTCTAAACTGCCATTCTCTGTTGCTAAAACTACCCTCATCTTCAGAAGAGAAGGATTCGTTGCTGTTAAGTTTATTCCTGAGGATGTCTCAAGGCCCTATAGTCAGCTGGCAAAGAAATCCAGTCATTCACTGAGTGTGGGCAGTGTTCTTGGAGAAAGAATCACTAATGTGTAGGGTCCATCACTTCCACTGGTCTGAATTATGTTTCCAAGTGACCTATACAAATCAGAGTGTATCATGCTTTTCTGCTGTTCTCTCTACCTGGAAGGCCAGTCCCATGCCTGTTTACACTGGACAAATATTTGGTTTTTAAAAGCATTATTTGGCCTTCTGGAACCTTCCTTGAGTGCTCCCAGCCACCTCCTCTAAAAGCATTACTTACTCCCCGCATTATCAGAGTCTATATCTGCCCCTCTCAATAGACTGGAGTGGAATCAAACTATCTTTGAACCATTTCAATTCCAATCTAGCCTTTACTACATTCTCTGGCACACAGTAGATTCTTAGTTAATATTTGCTGAATTTGAATAGTTTTAGTTCAAGTAAGTTGGCTTGAGAATCATTCATGTTAGAGTCTGTTTTGCACAATGAAAGTATTCACCATTCAACAGGCATTTATTGGTCACTAAACTTACACCAGCCATGGACTAGGGGAAGGGAGAGTCGTTTCTTAGTGTCTTTTCTCAGACTTGTGCACTGCATTTTTGGGGTGTCTTTATTTTGTTCTGTTTTTAATAATTTTTAAAAGTCAAGAATGGTACGAGCACATTCTGTTTTCCCCCCCACACATTTACTTAAACAAAAAAGGTTCAGACCGGGTGCAGGGGCTCACACCTGTAATCCCAGCACTTTTGGAGGCCAAGGCGGGCAGATCACCTGAGGTCAGGAGTTCGAGAGCAGCCTGACCAACATAGAGAAACCCTGTCTCTACTAAAAATACAAAATTAGCCAGGCGTGGTGGCGCATGCCTGTAATCCCAGCTACTTGGGAGGCTGAGGCAGGAAAATCGCTTGAATCCAGGAGGCAGAGGTTGCAGTGAGCCAAGATCACGCCATTGCACTCCAGCCTGGGCAATAAGAGTGAAACTCCATCTCAAAACAAAAAAAAAAAGGTTCAAATATATCTGATGCAACACACTCATGTCTAAAACAACAGATACCATAACTCAGCCATGCCTCTTTAGTTTGTCTCCAAACAAAAGCAGCCCATGCCATCTAAAAAGTAAAGGCCACTAGGATGAAAGTTTACGCATTTAAAATCCCTCTCTCTCTCTTTTTAGTCATTTAAGCTTTTGAGTATACAGTTCAGTGGCATTAAGTATATTTTCATTATTGGGCAACCACCACCATCCATCCTCAGGACTTTTTCATTATCCCAAAGTGAAATTCTACCTATTAAATAACTCTGCACTTGTTAAACAACCCTATTCCTCCTCTTCTGAGCCCCTGGCAACCACCCTTCTACTTCCTATGAATTTAGCTATTCTAGGGACCTCATAGAAATGGAATCATACAGTATTTGTCCTTTTGTGTCTGGCTTATTTCACTTACCATGCTATCTTCAAGGTGCACCCATGCTGTAGTGTGTGTCAGAATGTCCTTCCTTTTTAAGGCTGAATAATATTCCATTCAATGGCTATACCACATTCTTTCCACCTTTTGGCTATTGTGAATAATGCTGCTATGAACATAGATGTGCACATATCTGTTTGAGTCCCTGCTTTCCATCCTTTGGGGTATAGGCATAAATTGATGGATAATATGGTAACTTTATGTTTGGGTTTAAAAATCTTAAATTATTTTTAACCTTTGGGAGTAAGAGAGAACAACTCATTATTTTTTGTACACGGTTGGGAAAATAAAATCCACTCTAGTGGAGGATCTGGAAATGTCAGGTTTTTACCTACTCATAAACAATTCAAAAAAAGTAAATGATCATACCTTCAGGGACTCCTAAAAGCATTGGCTAAATATGGTTGAAATATTAAAATTAAGGCCAGGCGCAGTGGCTCAAACATGTAATCCTAACACTTTAGGAGGCTGAGGTGGGCAGATCACTTGAGGTCAGGAGTTTGAGACCAGCCTGTCCAACATGGTGAAACCCCATTTCTGCTAAAAATAAAAAAATTATACAGGCGTGGTGGCATGTGCCTGTAATCCCAGCTACTCAGGAGGCTGAGGCAGGAGAATTGCTTCAACCTGGGAGGCAGAGATTGCAGTAAGCCAATATTACAACACTGCACTTCAGCCTGGGTGACAGAGCAAGAATCCAACTCAAAAATAAAATTAAAATTAAAAAATAAAAATTAACTGGCTTTTAATTATTGCCAGAAAAATAATACTAAAGTTAGCAAAGACATTTGATATTATAGATATGGATGTAGATATTCCCAAAACCCAATTTCACTCAATGATCTGAACCTAACCAGTAATCCAGATAAAGGGAAGTGATGCGGAGTGAATGCTTGAAGCCTTAATTCCCAATGTGATGATATTTGGAAGTGGGACCTCTGAGAGGTAATTAGGTTTAGATGAGGTCATGAGGGAGGAGCCCCCGTGATGGTATCAGTGCCCTTATGAGGAAAAGAAAGGACTGAGCTCTCTCTCTCTCCATGTGAGGACACAGCAAGAAGGCAGCCATCTGCAAACCAGGAAGAGAGCCCTCAAGAACTGAATCAGCTGCCGTCTTTAATCTAGACTTCCTAGCCCTTTAGAACTATGAGAAACAAACTTTTGTTATTTAAGCCACCCAACTGATGGCATTTCTATAGCAGCCCAAACTGACCATGATAAGAAGTAATTTTGATTATTTTCCTACTCCCAACTGTCTAACGTTTGTTTGTTTTTTAAATCAGTGAGCTTCTTTCGGTGCTAAGTGCTGACCTAGCAAACCTTAGCTGCATCCGGGGATGCAGTGTTGGGGACTAAGAGAAACAGCCCCAGGCACAAGAAGGCGGGAAGAGCACATGAACCAGCGCTCCCCACTCCTCCGCCCCTGCCCCCAGTACTCACTGTCAGGACTTAGTGGTTTCTCCTGTCTGGAGTGAGTGACCTTAGACAAAACCCCTGGCCCTTCTGAGCCAATCAAGCTGCTAGGCTGATCTAATGAGATTCTGTATGTGGACAGCAAAGTGGGCCATAGAACTAACTGTGAGTCCTCACTGGCCCGAAGGAAAGAACTCATTCTACCTAAGTGAATTTCTCTACCTAACTAAAGTCCAGAGACAAAGTCCACTTAGTAAGTTTGAATGGAAATACTGCTGAAACATATGACATACTTCTATTCCTTCTTTTTAGTTTTTATTTGCTAGCTCAAGGTCACCATGAATGCCGACTGTTCTACCTCTATCTACCGTACAATGGTCTTTCCAGGAGCTACTGTCAAGTCTGTATATTGAATTCTCCCATCCTGCTGAATGGAATGAGGACTTTTCTGAAGGCTGAATCTCCTTGCTGAAAGCTAAATCTCCTTGCTCAAGACCATACACATAGAAGGTACAATGCATGGGCTGACCCTGCAAGGAACTCCAGAAAAGAACCTAAAGTTACGTTTTTGAAGAAATCTCTGATTTTAGGCACAGAGACTTCAACTTTTTCATCACTGCATTCCCAGTGCCTGGCATATAGCAGATGTTCAGGAAACCTTTACTAGATTCCGATAAAACGATAGGGTAAAGATCCCTCAAACTCTGATTATTTCAGAATTCTGGGTATTTGGTTTCAATTATTTCAATGCAAAGCTATTCAAGAAGTCCACAAATACCATATTAAGTTCCTACAACGTACAAGACTGCTGTAAACAGGATTGAAAAATAAGCGTGTTCCTGCTCTCTAGGATGTAATCCAGTAGAGGAACTAAAATATATAAACAAGAAAACAGAAAAGTTCCACAATTTATTATTGGGATATAAATGAGGAATAAACCAAGTTAAAGCACAGAGAATGAATTCCTTTTTTTTTTTTTAAATCAGCTTTCTCAGGTTGAAGAGAATGAATTTCATCTAGCTGTAGGGTGATTTTAGAAGGTTCCATAAAGGATGTGGCAATTAAAATGGGGGTTGAGTAGGAACTCAGCAGGTGAAGAACAAGCAGAAAGGGCTTCCCAGACAGAGAAAATATAGTTATAAGTAGCTTGCAGGCAGAAAAATGTGGTTTTATGGCACTACCAATGGATAGAAAGAATGACTATTCCCTTTCTCAACTCCACAGTTAGCAATAACTTACATAACTTGGTGCTCAACTTCAGAGAGAGAGGAAAAGCAAATTCCAATTTCCTAAATTGTACCAAATACTAAGACGGCCCTACCCTCTGACTCCCTCTGACTTTTATTCCAACTCCTCTAAATCGTGGTGTGGAGAGATGGATGACATCATCAGGCATCCTACATCTCACATGAGGAAAACAGAACAGGACCATTATTCAGCATCCTCATCACCTTGCTCCATCCCAAAACATCGTAGGTGATGAGTTCTCTTGGAGGAAAATATTCAAATGAGGTGACGTAGACAGAACAATCCCCGCTGGAGGTGCTATGTAGGGTTTTCCCTCCTCCCTCTGAACTGTTCAAGTTTTCATGAATCATCTGTGCAGGCAGCCCAGCCCCGCCCTGGTAAGGACAACATCATCTGAGCCACCAATTCCTAGGCACCAGTAACGTGCTGACTTTTCCTGCAACCCTACGTGCAGTACTGTGATGTGACTCATTTTAAAGCTGTGTAAAGTGGGCCTGGGCACAGTGGCTCACGCCTATAATCCCAGCACTTTGGGAGGCTGAGGCGGGTGGAGCACCTGAGGTCAGGAGTTCGAGACCAGCCTGACCAACATGGTGAAACCCCCATCTCTACTAAAAATGCAAAATTAGCCGGGCATGGTGGTGGGCACCTGTAATCCCAGCTACTCAGGAGGCTGAAGCATGAGAATCACTTGACCTGGGAGGCAGAGGTTGCAGTGAGCCGAGATTGCACCACTGCACTCCAGCCTGGGCAACAAGAATGAAACTCCATCTCTAAATAAATAAATAAATAAATAAATAAATAAATAAATAAATAAAGTTGAGTAAAACAAGATCAGAGATAGAATTCACTTCCCAGACATCACACCATTGGCTAGAGGCAATGCTGGGATTTTCATCCAGGTATCTGCGACTCCAAAGCCCATGGTCTTTCTTTGCTAGGCTGATGCCTCAGCAAAACTCAAAAGACCAGTTCTTCTTTCAATAGCGACTGTGCACCAGTGTTCTGGTGCCACCATTTCTAGATGTGTTTCCATTCCACCAGCAAAGAAATGTAGCTGGCCACAAGGTCTCACTGCCCTGGCAGCAATGCTTACACTGCAAGGCGTCCTCCACATTTTTGAATTGAAAAAAGGTCACTATGAAACAAAACTCAGACCTAAGATGTACCCAGCCTCCTTTCTTTTCTCCCTATGGGATTCCCTCTCTCTTCTCTAGTTCCAGAGTGCCCTCTTATCCGACAAAAGTAATTTCCAGACACTTTATTATGATAACATCTTTCCAGTTCCACTTCCTGTCTGGGTCTTGGGATGAAGGAATCAACTCCTTATGCAATGGGACCTCTGGATCATCAAACCCTTACCTCAGAAACACCCCCTTTTTCCTCTCTCAGATAGAACTGAGGTTTCTTTCTTTGGCAGAGGATAAAAGCTCTCATTTCAAAATTAGGGACTGGCCTTAAAATGCTGACACCATTGTGAGGGGTGAGGGCTCCTGCAGACACCTCTGGACTGACTCCAACTCAGAAGACTCGGGCTCTGCGGTCTAAGGGACACACGGTGGCTTGGTGATGTCCCTTGGAGAGTGGTGTCCTCCCTGGGAAGCCCCAGGAGCTGCCCTGTCCTGCCCCCAGTGTCACCTGCCAGGCTAACTTTCAGTAACTCTATAATTCCGTGATCAAAACTCATCCAAGGTATAAATCAGTATTACCAGATTCTCTTTCGAGAGAATGTTTTGCTAAGAAAGTGATGAAAAAAAGGAGAATACTACTAAATGCCTCAAAGTGGACAGGAGAAAAAAAGACATAGAAATAAGGACACGGTCCTTTGACCATCTTCTTGTTTTGTCCAGGACTATCCGATACCCCATCCTCACAGTTAGGCCAATGATCCTCATTCCTACCAGAACAATTTTTTTTTTTTTTTTTTGAGATGGAGTTTCACTCTTCTTGCCCAGACTGGGGTGCTGTGGCGCAATCTCAGCTCACTGCAACCTCCGCCTCCCAGGTTCAAGCAGTTCTCATGCCTCAGCCTCCCAAGTCGCTGGAATTACAGGCATGCGCCACCATGCCCGGCTAATTTCATATTTTTAGTAGAGACAGGGTTTCTCCATGTTGGTCAGGCTAGTCTCGAACTCCCGACCTCAGGTGATCTGCCCGCCTCGGCCTCCCGAAGTGCTGGGATTACAGGCAAGAGCCACTGTGCCCGGCCAGCCCTACCAGAACAATTTTTATATAATCACAGACAGCCCAGTGTATGCCCTGTGGCCACCTTCCTCTACTCACCCTATCCCCACCCAGATAGTTACGGAGAAAGCTACAAGGTATTTCATGAACTTCGTGGGTCCTTGGTCTGGCAAGGGTTTTCAACAGACCATTTTCTTTCTTTTTTTTTTTTTTTTTTTTTTTTTTTTTTTTTTTTTTTGAGATGGAGTCTCACTCTGTCACCCAGGCTGGAGTGCAGTGGCGCGACGTTGGCTCACTGCAAGTTCCGCCTCCCGGTTCACGCCATTCTCCTGCCTCACCCTCCAGAATAGCTGGGACTACAGGTGCCCGCCACCACGCCCAACTAATTTTTTGTATTTTTAGTAGAGACGGGTTTCACCATGTTAGCCAGGATGGTCTCAATCTCCTGACCTTGTGGACCTTGTGATCTGCCCGCCTCAGCCTCCCAAAGTGCTGGGATTACAGGCATGAGCCACCGTGCCCGCCCTCAACAGGCCATTTTCTTATTAAAGATAAATTATGATTATCATGCCCACTTTACAGAAGTGGTAACATAGTCCCCTGGTAGACATCTGTATTTGTTTCCTGTGGTTGCTGCGACCAGTGATCACAAAGTTAGTGGCTTAGAACTATACAAATGTGGCCAGGCATGGAGGCTCATGCCTGCAATCCCAACACTTTGGGAAGCCAAGGCAACAGGATTGCTTGAGGCCTGGAGTTGGAGATGACCAGCCTGGGCAATACAGCAAGACCCCATCTCTACAAAAAATTTAAAAATTAGCCAGGCATGGTAGGTAATGCATGCCTGTAGTCCCAGCTACTTGGAAGGCTGAGACAGGAGGATGGCTTGAGCCGGGAGTTCCAGGTTGCAGTGAGCTACAATCACACTACTGCACTCCAGCCTGAGCAACACAGTGAGGCTCTGTCTTTAAACAACAACAAAGAAAAACACAAATGTATCATCTTATTGTTCTGGAAGTCAGAAGTCCTGAAGTCAAGATATTGGGAGGGCTGTATTCCTTCTGGAGGCTCTAGTGGATAATCTATTTGCCTTTTTTCTTTTTTAGATGGAGTTTTGCTTTTGTCACCCAGGCTGGAGTGCAATGGCACGATCTTGGCTCACTGCAACTTCCACCTCACAGGTTCAAGCAATTCTCCTGCCTCAGCCTTCCAAGTAGCTGGGATTACAAGTGCTCGCCACCACACCCAGCTAATTTTTGTATTTTTAGTAGCAATGGGATTTCACCATATAGGCCCGGCTGGTCTAGAACTCCACCCACCTTGGCCTCCCAAAGGGCTGGGATTACAGTCATGAACCACCACGCCCGGCCTCTTTGCCTTTTCTCACTTCCAGAGGTGGCCTGCATTCCTTGGCTCATGGCCCCTTCCACCATCTTCAAAGTCAGCAATGCAGCAACTTCCAGCCAATCTCTCTCTCTCTTTCTCCTTCTTTCTCTCTTCCATTCTCTCTTCTTCCATCATCATATGGCTTTCTGACTCTGACCCTCCAGCCTCCCTCTTATAAGGACACTTATCATTACATTATTATTCCCACCCAGATAACCTCAAATAATCTCTCCATCTCAACATCCTAATGTAGTCACATCTGCAATGTACTTTTTGCCATATAAAGTAACATGTTCACAAGTGTCAGGAATTAGGACACGCACATCTTTAGGGGGATATCTTTGGGGGTACATCTTTCGGGGGACATTGTTCAGCCAACCACAACATCTATTAAATTTCGATCTAGATTTTTTTTTTCAAAAATATAATCTCAATCCCATTTTGAGAATCAGGATAGTCTATAATCGATCATGTTTTGTTGCTATGGGAAACATTTCAAAAGGACATTTTAAGTTTTAGAATGTTCCAAGATATAAGAGAAAGGCTTAAAAGAAGTATTTTTAATCAAGAAGACAAAAGGAAAGCGAGGCAAATTAATTTAAAAAATCACATAAGCAGTGATGGATCACGAATTTCTTCATTAAAGAAACACTGAAAAACCACATGGGTTGTGCTAAAAGGCAACTAGACATCGCAGAGTTCTGACTGACCTGATTAGACACAGACATGCAGATTCATCATTCTGCCCTGAGTGAGGACAAGCTCAGGCCACCCCTGCCTGGCTCAGTATCACTGATGAAAAAAATCAGACAGATTCACCAGACCCTCCACTCCAGTCGTGAGCAACAGAGGTGTCATCTTCCTGTACAAAGCACCAGACACCTGCCCATACACAGCTCATGAAACCATCATCGCAACACCACCAGGAAGCCAGGCAAGCATTTCCACTCTCCTGTGTGAGGTCAAGAAGTCAGGGCTCAAGGAAGTCAAGAAACTTGCCCAAGATCACATGTTTAATGGCTGGTGGAGGCAGGACTAGCCCAGGCAAGAAGGCACACTTTTCCCCCAGATCTATCCACAGGATCTTCAACAAGAAACAGACCTTCAGCAGGGCATGGTGGGTCATGCCTGTAATCACAGCCTTTGGGAGGCTGAGGCAGACAGATCACTTGAGTTCAGGAGTTTGAGACCAGCCCTGCCAACATGGCAAAACCCTGTCTCTACAAAAAATACAAAAATTAGCTGGGTGTGGTGGCAGGTGACTGTAATCCCAGCTACTCAGGAGGCTGAAGCAGGCAGATCACTTGAGGTCAGGAGTTCGAGACCAGCCTTGTCAACATGGCTAAAGCCTGTCTCTACAAAAAATACAAAAATTAGCTGGGTGTGGTGGTGGGCACCTGTAATCACAGCTACTTGGGAGGCTGAGGCAGGAGAATCACTTGAACCCAGGAGGTGGAGGTTGCAGTGAGCCAAGATCACACCACTGCACTCCAGCCTGGGTGACAGAGTGAGACCCTATCTCAAAACAAACCAAAAAAAAAAAAAAGAGAGAGAGAGAGAGAGAGAAATAGACCCTCAGTGAACCATGCTGATCCTGCTAAGACCGCTCCTTTAACTCAGATGGGCTCTTTCACAATTCCATAATTCCCTGCAGTCTTCATTCCAAATCTTTACTATCCTTCACCCAACACCACTCTTTCTCAAAGTCCCTCCCCAAAATTATCTGAAAAATTCTATCTTAATGCAGTGTTCATCTTTTCTAGCCACTGGCTCCTCCCCTTAAAAATAAGCCTGGGATCTAAATAAGATGATTAGGAGAGGCTGAACTGTGAGAGGTTCAAACAAGGAGCCTGGAAGTCAGACAGCCTGGGTCTGCCACCTGGCTTTGCCTTGCTAGCTGTGTGACCTTGAGGCAGTCACTTAACCTCTCCATGCCTTAGCATTCTCATCTGGAAATCAGAATGACAGCATAGGACCTGGCAGAGCAGTTGTGAATACTGAATGAGAGTGATGTCAGGCACATGGATAGCCTGGCTCCTGCACCCGTACTCTTAACCATTCACATGTGGTACAGACTCATTTTGGGGGCCATCTGACATATAGTTCAGATGTCTGTCCCCTCCAAAACTCATATTGAAATGTGATCCCTGGTGTTGGAGGTGGGGTCTGGTGGGAAGTGTTTGGGTCATGGGGCGGATCCCTCATGAATGGTTTGGTGCCCTCCCTGCAGTAATGAGTGAGTTCTTGCTCTATTAGTTCATGTGGGAGCTGGTTGTTTAAAAGAGGCTGGCATCTCGCTTACTCCCCCTCTTGCGACGTGATGCCCACTCCCCTTCCTCTTCCCACCATGAGTAAAAGCTCCCTGAGGCCTCACCAGAAGTCCAGCAGATGCAGGCACCACGCTCGTATAGCCTGCAGAACCATGAGCCAAATAAACCTCTTTTCTTCATAAATTACCCAGTCTCAGGTATCCCTATATAGCAATGCAAAATGATCTCATACACCATCCTTTTCCAACCTCTGTGAGGTTAAGAGCCTGGCTTTCCTTTATCCTTGGCTGTTGGGCAGGGTCTCTCTGGTCACCCCAATGTTCCCCCTGCTCCATTCCATTAAAGACATAGAGACCAGACCAATCATCTTGGAGCTGAGGCTGCACCCTTTCAAGCTCAGAAAACTTCCAAGATCCCCCAGCTACCTCCCTACTACAGTCCCATCTTTTGACCTGGTACCCTAAGCCCTCAGACCTAATCAGCCCTTCAATTCTGCTTCTGATGTGCCCACCTCTCACCTTCCACTCTGGTCAAAGCCCAACAGCCTCCAAGGTCCAACACACACTGAACTTCCACATCACAGGATTTTTTTCATTCTGCCCTTTATTATACTATCTATCCCAATTGTTTTCATCCTTCAGGGCCCATCTCAAGTGCCTTCCTCTGTCTGAGCAGTTACACCGGGACATTCTTTCTCTTTCCTCTGAACTACTTTTTTTTTCCTTTTTTCTTGAAACAGAGTGTTGCTCTGTTGCCCAGGCCAGACTGCAGTGGTGTGATCATAGCTCACTGCAGCCTCAACCTCCCTGGGCTTAAGCAGTCCTCCCACATCAGCCTTCCAAGCAGCTAAGACTATGGGTACACATCACCATGCCCGGCTCATTTTGTTTATTTTTTGTACAGACAAGGCCTCACTCTGTTGTCCAGGCTAGTCTCAAACTTCTGGGCTCAAGTAATCCTCCTACCTCAGCCTCCCAAAGTGCTAGGATTACAGGCATAAGCCACCATGCCGTAGCTTATTTTCTGTAGTGTTTATGGCATCTAATAGATTACGTGAATATGAGTGAGTTGTGGTGATGGAAAGGTTCTATATATTAACTGTATCAATGTCAATATCCTGGTTGTAATACAGTACCATAGATTTGCAAGACATTACCACTGGGGGACACTGGACAAAGGGTAGAGGCACCTTCCTGCATTATTTCTTACAATTGCATGTGACTCTACACACATCTCACAATAGGAAGTTTAATTTTAAAAATATAGATTAAGAATTATAATTAATTGATCAATCATTAAGGTTATTCAGCACCCAATTCTGCAGCACACCACACAAGATATTTTACTTATGTAAATCTTAATGCGTCCCCAAAGTCCAGACTCAGTTTTGTAATGGCCTATTCAGAATCTCCACCTGGACAGCTAATAAGTATTGGACTCAACACGTTCAATACTGAGCTCCTGGACTTTCTTTCTCCCCTCTCAGTTAATCTCACCTCTATTCTTCTAGTTGATTGAGCCAACTATCTTGCTAGTCCTCCCTCACTTCTTTCTTCCTCTTGCACTCTACACCTACCCCGCACCCCAATCAGCAAATCTTGGTAAGTCCACCTTTGAAATAGATCCAGAATCTGTCCAGGCACAGTGACTCACATCTATATTCCTAGCACTTAGGGAGGCCAAGGCAGGCAGATCACTTGAGCTCAGGAGCTTGAGGCCAACCTGGGCAACATGGTGAGACCTCTTCTCTACTAAAAATACAATAAAAAATTAGCCATGTGTGGTGGTGCTTGCCTGTGGTCCCAGCTACTACTCAGGAGGCTGAGGTGGGAGGACTGCTTGAGCCCAGGGTGGGTGGAGGTTGCAGTGGGCTGTGATCACACCACTGCACTCCAGCCTGAATGACAGAGCAAGACCCTGTCTCAAAAAAAAAAAAAGAAAGACAGAGGAAGGAAGGGAGGGAGGGACGGAGATCCAGAATCCCACTGCTCCTTCCAACCTCCAGGGCCACCACCCTTGTCCTAGCCACCACCGTATCTCGTCTGGATTATTACAAAGCCTCCATGCTACTCCTACTCCTGTTCCTGCTTATTTTATTTTCTGTAATTTTTATAATATAATATACTATGCCTGCTGCCACAAGAGCAGAAGCTCTGTGGGAATTCTACTTTGCTTACTGCTGCATCCTGGACCTTAAAACTGTGCTTCAAACATTGTAGGCACTCAATCAACATTTGTGAATGAATGAGCAAATCAATGAATATTATGCCTTCGGTATTTAAAAAACTTCACAAAGTTACTTATTATTGTCTCATTTTTACAAGTGGGGAAACTGAGGGTCAGAGAAGGTCAAGGCTCTGGAAGGGATGAGAGCTGAAGTTCTCCTATTCTGAGACTGACATTCCATCCACCCTGTTCTACCTGGACTTAGTCTCTTGGCTGGGTCCTCAGAGGCTGGACCTCTGTCTGATTGATCATTTTGGTTTTCAGCATCTGGGAATACTGCTTAGATATTGCAGAAATGCAATAAAAACTTGAAGAACTAATGCAAATTTTTGATCATTTTATGAAAATGTACCAAATTCAGTTATGAGTTTATTTCTCATTTATTTATTACCTCTATGGAACTGATGCCTTCATCCTTACAACTTTCTTCTGTGAGTCAAGGTGTGATTCTGAGATAACAATTCCCATTTGTGTTAGTTTGTTTTAAGGACTGCTATAAAGACATACCTGAGACTGGGTAATTTATAAAGGAAAGCAGTTTACTTGACTCACAGTTCTGCATGGCTAAGGGGGCCTCAGAAAACTTACAATCATGGCTGAAGTTGAAAGGGAAACAAGCACATCTTACCATGGCGAAGCAAGAGAAACAGAGAACGTGCAGGAGAAACTGTCATTTATAAAACCATCAGATCTCATGAAAACTCACTGTCATAAGAACAGCACGGGGGAACTACCCCCATGATCCAATCATCTCCCACCAGGTCTCTCCCTGGACATGTGGGGATTACAATTCAAGAAGAGATTTGGGTGGGGACACAAAGCCAAACCATATCCCCATTCTTTTTTTATAGACAAAGTCTCACTCTGTTGCCCAGGCTGGAGTGCAGTAGCGTGATCCCAGCTCACTGCAACCTCCGCCTCCCAGGTTCAAGCAATTCTCCTGCCTCCGCCTCCAGAGGAGCTGGGACTACAGGGGTCTGCCACCACACCTGGTTAATTTTTATATTTTTAATAGAGATGGGGTTTCACCATGTTGGCTAGGCTGGCCTCAAACTCCTGGCCTCAAGTGATCTGCCCACCTCAGCCTACCAAAGTGCTGAGATTACAGGCATGAGCAACTGTGCCCAGCCTCATATCCCCATTTTACCAGAAGGCAAACTGAGGCTCCATTTCTGCTCTTCTTGGTGGCTCTGACTATTGGGTAGCACTGCCTGTCAGCAAACTAGACCAACTACTGCACAGAATACACAGGAACCTTTCTCGGTGCTGCGCTGTCTCTCTTGTGTAGTGCACTATAGAATCTTGTGATGAAGTCTTTCCTGTTGGATTTCCTTAGGCTGGCAATGAACAATTTTATAGCTGCCTTCTCTACAGATGCCCTGGTTTTGTTGCACATAATTTGCTCAGGACTGCATCAAATTTGGGGAGAATGCAGAGAACATGATTGTTTGAGTGTACTTGATTTGTCTCTGCCTGGTAATTTGTTAAGGCCATGAAAGAACAACGTGATGCATGAGTCCCCTGCCTGGATCCATCGTCTGCTGTCCCCACTCATCAGCCTCCCAAGTGACTTGTAGCTATCTCGAGCACACACACAGAGCCACTGTCTCTATGAAGACAAATGTGTTTTACTGTGAGAGGGCAATGCTTTAGGGCAAAAAACACATTATAATCAAAAACAGTGATCAGAGGCTCAGAGGGCACTTCCTCACTCCGTTGTTTTTTTATTTTTATTTTTTTTTGCTGAGGGGACAGAATCTGTTATGAGCTCTTAGTCATAACATGCAGCACAAGTCAACCTGAAGCCATTAGCACTTACCTTCACATCTTAGCTCACTTACATAAATATTCTTTTTCTTTCCCCCCCGCTGAGACAGAGTCTTGCTTGCCCTGTTGCCCAGACTGGAGTGCAGTGGTGCCATCTCGGCTCACTGCAACCTCTGCCTCCCAGGTTCAAGCAATTCTCCTGCCTCAGCCTCCCAAGAAGCTGGGATTACAGGCTTGCACCACCACGCCCAGCTAATTATGTTTTATTTATTTATTATTTATTGTTTGTATTTTTAGTAGAGATGGGGTTTCTCCATGTTGGTCAGGCTGGTCTTTAACTCTTGACCTCATGATCCACCCACCTTGGCCTCTCAAAGTGCTGGAATTACAGGCATGAGCCACCATGCCCGGCCTTTCTTTTCTTTTGAGACGGAATCTCTCTCTGTCACCCAGCCTGGAGTGCAGTGGCACGATCTCAGTTCACTGCAACCTCTGCCTCCTGGGCTCAAGCGATTCTCATGCTTCAGCTTCCCCAGTAGCAGGGATTACAGGTGCCCGCCACCACACCCGGCTAATTCTGTTTGTTTATATTTTTAGTAGAGACAGGGTTTCACCACGTTAGCCAAGCTGGTCTCAAACTCCTGATCTCATGATCCACCCTCAGCCTCCCAAAGTGCTGGGATTATAGGGGTGAGCCACCACACCCAGCCTTTTTTCTTTTCTTTTCTTTTTTTATTATTATTGTTATTTTTTTTGAGATGGAATCTCGCTTTGTCACCCAGGCTGGAGTGCAGTGGCATGATCTCGGCTCACTGCAACCTCTGCTTCCTGGGTTCAAGTGATTCTCATGCTTCAGCTTCCCGAGTAGCTAGGACTACAGGTGCCCCTACCAAGCTTGGCTAGTATTTTTATATTTTTAGTAGAAACAGGGTTTTGCCACATAGGCCAGGCTGGTCTTGAACTCCTGACCTCAAGTGACCCACTGGCCTCAGCCTCCCAAAGTGCTGGGATTACAGCTGTGAGCCACCACACCCAGCATAGCTCACTTAAATAATTTTTTTTTTTTTTTTTGAGACAAAGTCTCACCCTGTCGCCCAGGCTGGAGTGCAGTGGCGCAATCTCGGCTCACTGCAACCTCCGTCTCCCGGGTTCAAGCCACTCTCCTGCCTCAGCCTCCTGAGTAGCTGCGATTACAGATGCGCACCAGCACGCTGGCTAATTTTTGTATTTTTAGTAGAAATGAGGTTTCACCATGTTGGTCAGGCTGGTCTCAAACTCCTGACCTCGTGATCCACCCGCCTCGGCCTCCCAAGGTGCTGGGATTACAGGCGTGAGCCACCGCGCCCTGCCTAAATAAATATTCTTTAAGGAGAGATATACGGAAGCGATGGGCACTTTTCAAGATTTCACAACTTGTGGGGACATTATTAGTGTCCTATTAGATGGGGGCTTTTTTGCCCCTACACTTCAAGAAATTCCATCTCGAAGAATTCTTGCCTGGCCTGACACAGTGGCTCACACCTATGATCCCAGCTGTTTAGGAGGCCTACGTGGGAGGGTCGCTGGAGGTCAGAAGTCTGAGACAAGCCTGAGCAATAGAGTTAGACCTCATCGCTACAAAAAGTTTTAAAAATTAGCCGGGTGTTGTGACATGGGCCTGTGGTCCCAGCTACTTGGGAGGCTGAGGTAGGAAGATCACTTGAGCCCAGGAGTTCAAGGCTGCTGTGAACTATGATCATGCCACTGCACTCCAGCCTGGGTGAAGAGCAAGACCCCATCTCTAAAAAAGAAAAAAGAAGCACATGCACACACACATACACATACTTCTAAAAAAGATGACCAAAATTCTGGATTCACAGATAAGACTTGGTTTTTCCCTTTCACATTAAAATATCCTTCACACTTTCCAGTTTTGTTCAATCAATTATTTTTTTTTCTTTCAAATTTGAGACCAGGTTTTGGTCTGTCACCCACGCTGGAACACAATGGCACCATCATAGCTCACTGCAGCCTCAAACTCCTGGGCTCAAGCAATCCTCCTGCCTCAGCCTTCCAAAGTGCTGGGATTACAGGCATGCATGACCATGCCTGACCTAGTTAACTCATTTTTAATTGGACAGACTGGGAAAAGATAAAAGAAATTCATTATTGCCCTATTCCCTTACTCCTTCCCTCTGACATGCCAAGCAATAGTACTAAATACTCAGCTATTGCCAAGTACCCTGCCATGTGCCAGGCACCTTGCCACATCCTCCTCCCAGGAGGTGGGTGATTATATTCCCCACTGTATTAGTTCATTTTCACACTGCTATAAAGACACTACCCAAGACTTGGTAATTTATAAAGAAAATAGGTTTAATTGACTCACACTTCCATATGGCTGGGGAGGCCTCAAGAAACTTACAATCATGGCAGAAAGAGAAGCAAGGCACATCTTACATGGCGGCAAGAGAGAGAGCGTGCACAGGGGAAACTGCCACTTACAAAACCATCAAATCTCGTGAGAACTCACTACCATGAGAACAGCATGGGGGAATCCGCCCCCATTATCCAATCACCTTCCACCAGGTCCCTCACTAGACACGTGCATATTGCAATTTGGATTACAATTGTTGATGAGGTTTGGGTGGGGATACAGCCAAACCATATCACCCCATTTGACAGATGAGGACACTGAGATGTGTGACTGTTTAAAACTTGCCCAAGGGAAATGAAAATTAAAACCACAATGAGATGCCACCTTACTCTTGTAAGAATGGCCACAATTTTAAAAATAAAAAAAAATAGATGTTGGCATGGTTGTGGTGAAAAGGGAACACTTCCAACGCTGCTGGTGAGAATGTAAACTAGTACAACCACTATGGAAAACAGTGTGGAGATTCCTTAAAGAACTAAAAGTAGATCTACCACTTGATCCAGCAATCCCACTACGGGGTTCCTACCCAAAGGGAAAGAAGTCATTCTATGAAAAAGACACAAGCACACACGTTTATAGCAGCACAGTTCGCAACTGCAAAAATGTGGAACCGACCTCAATGCCCATCAACCAACGAGTGGATAAAGAAAATGTAGTATATGTTATGTGCACCACGGAATACTACTCAGCCATAAAAAGGAATGAAACAATGGCCTTTGCAGCAACTTAGATGGAGTTGGAGGCCATTATTCTAAGTGAAGTAACTCAGGAAGGGAAAGCAAATACTGTGTTTTCTCACTTCTAAGTGGGAGCTAAGCTACGAGGATGCAAATGCTTAAGAATGATATAATGAACTCTGGGGACTCGAGGGGGAAGAGTGGGAGGGGAGTGAGGGATAAAAGACTACATATTGAGTATGGTGCACTCTGCTTGGGTGATGGGTGCAACAAAATCTCAGATATCACCACTGAAGAACTTACCCATGTAACCAAAACCCACCTGTACCTCAAAAACTACTGAAATGAATTTTTTAAAAAAAAACTTGCCTAAGAGCACAGAGATATAAAACATCCAGGATTTGACCCAAGTTCAGTGTGATTTCACAATCCCTGGAATTTGCTCCTTCACCGGCAAGAAGTCAAGCTCCTTATCCATGGGGCAGCCCTAATTATAGGCAGGCAATCTTTGATTTCCTGCAGTCTCTTTATGGTTCCATTTAGCAGAGGAAACTACAGCATATTTCTGATACCCTGAAAAAGAGATTTGTGTGGCCAGGAGCCAGAGTGAACTTCCTTTAAAATCGGAGACAGCTACTGGGTTTAGACCGGTTTCTGATTCAAACAAGCAGTTTGAAAGAGAAGAACTCCATCAATCAATAACCCAAGGGCACTGTCAATCAATAAACCAGATTAATTGAGCACAAATAGGTGACTTTTTGAACTCAACATGTTCATCTTTCTGATACGGGATTTTGGCTTTCAGAATACTATGGGAAACTAGGGGACTAAGCATGGCATGTTAAACACAGCCAAAAGATATGAAGAAGCCAGGGGTGGTGGCTCACGCCTGTAATCTCAGCACTCTGAGGCTGAGGTGGGCAGATCACCCAAGGTCAGGAGTTCAAGACCAGCCTGGCCAACATGGTGAAACCCTGTCTCTACTAAAAATACAAAAATTAGCTGGGTGTGGTGGTGGGTGCCTGTAATCCCAGCACTTTGGGAGGCTGAGACGGGCAGATCACCCAAGGTCAGGAGTTCGAGAGCAGCCTGGCCAACATGGTGAAACCCTGTCTCTACTAAAAAGTAAAAAAAAAAAAAGAAAGAAAGAAAGAAAGAAAATTAGCCAGGCATGGTGGCACACACCTATAATTCCAGTTACTAGGAAGGCTGAGGCAGGAGAATTGCTTGAACCTGGGAGGCGGAGGTTGCAGTGAGCCAAGATCACATCACTGCACTCCAGCCTGGGCGACAGAGCGAGACTCCATTTCAATTTAAAATATATTATTTATATATATATATATGTATGCATCAAAAAAAGATATGAAGAAACTTAGCTGGAGAAGCAGTGACTCCCAGTTCTCCAGCCACCATTGACCACCTTGTGATCAAGCATGATTAAGACTACTGGGCCTTGGGGATGGGTCTTTGGCTGTCTTCTCATTATCATCACTTAAGTATAATGAAGACTCCAAAATCTGTATATCTGGGATAAACACTTTGAGTCCCAGAAATCAATATGCAAGAACCCACTGGACATCTCCAGTAAGATGACCTTCAGTTCTCATCACCATTCCACCCTATCCAGACTCCCTGTCCCTGGTCTCAGCGGTTGTCACCACCTGTACCTCATTACCTAGTTAAGCGGCCACACACCTCACTCCTCACCCCCACATCCATATCTCATCAAGATGAATTACAGTAGAGACAATTTAACATGGTAGTTAATTAAGAGTAT
Source organism: Homo sapiens (assembly GCF_000001405.40). Lineage (NCBI taxonomy): Eukaryota > Metazoa > Chordata > Mammalia > Primates > Hominidae > Homo > Homo sapiens. Next base: position 72,259,548 of record NC_000007.14, read on the forward strand.
GGGCTTTGGAGTCTGATTAAGCTAAGCGGGAATCCCACTCCCACCAATTATGAGTTGTGTGACTTGGCCAAGTGACTTTTAATCCCTTTCACATTAATTTCCCTCATCTGTATAATGGGGACACCAATGCCTCCCAGTTATTGCAAACATCAAATAGAATAACATAAACACAGCAAGGGTCTGTATTTTTAAATTCCCATGCCAACTTCTCCCCAACTCATTGCTCCTTCCTCAGTCTAAGCCCTTTCCTTTCTTTTCCTTTCTCCCCTAACTATGCAAAAGGGCTTCTGGTTGTTGCCCCAGCCTCAAGGCCCACTTCTCTCAAATCCATTCTGCAAACCACAACCAATGCAACCTTTTAAAATGCAAAAAGGATCTCATCAGCAAGCATCAATATACCTTGTCCAGTCTTCCCACCAAAAGCAAAACACTCCAGTGCTTTGGGAGGCCAAAGTGGGAGGACAGCTTGAAGCCTTGGATTTGAGACCAACCTGGACAACATAGTGAGATACCATCTCTACAAAAAATGTAAAAATTAGCTGAGTGTGATGGCACACACCTGTAGTTCTAGAGGCCAGGAGTGTGAGGCTGCAATGAGCTATGATTGCACCACTGCACTTCAGCCTGGGAGACAGAGCAAGACTCTGTTTCTGGAAAAAATAAAATATAAAATAAAGCAAAAGCCCTGTGCAGTGATAAGAATAAGAGAAGTCCAGTTCATGAAGCATGGATTAGCAACTGATGTTACCCTTTTTGTTGAACTCCTTTGACAAACTCCGTTTGTTGAACTCCATATGACAAAACTTACAGATCTGTCTTCTCTCCAGAAAAAACATCACTACTCATAAACACACACAATATTGTTAAGCTCCACGGGTGCACAGACCCCAGGTTAAAAACTTCAGAGTTGGGCTGCTAGGCTGATCAACCACAGTCGTGGAGATTCAAAATCTAAAACATTTTTCTTAACTTGCATACTGAGGATCTTCAAAATCTGGCAAGAGGCTTCGGCAGCAGCTCAGGGCACTTTTCCCAGAAAGAGTGGCACCTCTGAAGGGATCTTAAAGGGAGTAGCACAAAACCATGATCAATCATGCACCTGAAACCCTCAAGTTTTACACCCCCAGTGGGTGCTGGCTAAGCCATTGCACTTGGCTATCTGAGGAGCCCCCCACACAGATGTAAGAAACACTAAGTTCTCAGATTTGTCTCCATGACACCCCTTTTCCCACTTCCCCCCACCACAGCACCAGATGGCAGAGAAGCAAGCTCTCCAAAGTGCCCTACAAATTGCACAGGGGTACCAGACCAAATTTTATGATCTATCATCCCTACGGTGCTTCTAGGTTCAGAGATGTTAAATTCCCACCCAGATGGTTGAGGTCTGCAACATACCCTGAGGCTCATTTCACTGGATACGAGCAGAGTAACAGCAGCAAAGCACACACCAACTGGCACCAGCTTAAAAACTATCAGTAGGCTGGGCACGGTGGCTCTCGCCTGTAATCCCAGCACTTTGAGAGGCCGAGGAGGGTAGATCACCTGAGGTCAGGAGTTCGAGACCAGCTGGGCCAACATAGTGAAACCCATCTCTACAAAAAATTACAAAAATTCGCCAGGTGTGGTGGCACGCACCTGTGATCTCAGCTACTCGGGAGGCTGAGGCAGGAGAATTGCTTGAACCTGGGAGGCAGAGGTTGCAGTAAGCGGAGATCACGCCACTGCATTCCAGCCTGGGTGACAGAGCGAGACTCTGTCTCAAAAAAACAAAAACAAGAACAAAAACACAAAAAATCTATCCGTACACATGAGCATGTAAATGGTGGCACACTCCTGAGGCCAGCATCACCTGCAGTCCTGAAACCATTTATTTCAGAAGCTTTTTTTTTTTCTTAGAGTATCACTCTGTTGCCAAGGCTGGAGTGCAGTGGCTGGAGTGCGATCATAGCTCACTGCAGCCTCAAAGTCCTGGGCTTAAGCAATCCTCCTGCCTCAGCATCACAAATAGCTGGGACTACAGGTGTGCACATCACGCTTGGATAACTTTTTCAACGATTTTCTGTAGAGATGGGATCTTCCTATGTTGCCCAGGCAAGTCTCAAATTCCTGGGCTCAAGTAATCCTCCTGCCTCGGCCTCCAGAAGTGCTGGGATTATAGGCATGAATCACCACACCCAGCTTATTTTAGCAGCTTTACAGGAAAAAAACACCACCACCACATACTTTTTTCACCATCACCATAAAACTTTAGTGGAACAAACAAACTCTTAATATTGAAGTTGATGAGTAGAGTTTGGAAGCACCACTGAAACAAAAATGGCCTTGAATGTTAACCAGATGACGTTAGGGAAACCGCAAGAGGAGTGAGAATAATCAGGGAAAAGGAACACTCCTGAAAATAGGCATGCTAACATCCACCACCAGCAACACGGATGGTTGGGCTCTTCCCATTTTCAGAAAGCTTCGCTCTTCAAACACCACCTCCCGCTTTAGAGAGGAAGGCAGAGAAATATTTCCAGTGTGCTCAACTCAAAGAGAGGCCAGTGTCACCCTCCATAGGGGAGTGAGTTCTGGTCAACCGGCCTTGCTTTCAGCCTCCCCATGTCCCATCACCACCGCAGCTCCTACCCAAGGAATAAGTATTATAGGACACATCTACTAACTTTAAAAGGAGATCTATGGACACGTTCCCTCCTGATCCTTGAGAGCATCACACGGAGGACTTGGAAGGCCTGCATATGCAGCCATCTGCAGATGTTTCCCACATCGAAACCCAGGTCTTAGAGGATCCTGGATCTTTTTTGTTTCTTTTTTCTTTTTAGATTCGGGGGTAACCTGTACAGGTTAGTTACATGGATATATTGCATGATGCTGAGGTTTGGGCTTTGATGGAACCATCACCCAAACAGTTAACACAGTACTACTCAAATAGGTAGTTCTTCAACGTGCCCTTTTCCTCTCTCCTCTGTTTTGAAGTCCTCAGTGTCTATTGTTTCCATTATTATGTTCCCGTGTACCCAATGTTTATGTCTCACTTATAAGTGAAAAGATGGAGTATTTGGTTTTCTGTTTCTGCATTAATTCACTTAGGATAATGGCCTCCAGCTGCATCCATGCTGCTGCAAAGGACATGATTTCACTTTTTATGGCTGCACAGTATTCCATGTTGTATATGTACTACGTTTTCTTTAAGAGGATCCTGGTTCTATCCCTCAGGACAATTCAAGGTTTGGAAACTATTATTGGTTCCTCTTCCCTCTCCTCTCTCTGGCAATTTAAGTCTGTTACCTCCAAACCAATGAGGACAGCCACTGCGATACAAAGTGCTGAGGTTGAAGTGGGGGAGTAGGAAAGGTATCCTTATGCGCTTAGAGCTAAGACACAAAGACTCACAATGGGTTGTCCAGATTCTTCCATTTACTGACAGGCCTCTCCAGTTAGAGGCATTTACATTGTGAAGTGGGCCTGTCCTGGCAGAACAATTGCATTGGACCCTGTCCAGTGTTTTGCTTCTCCTCTAAAGAGCTACTATTTGCCCCAGTGTTGGGGTGGTGGTCCTTTGTCTGGGTTTGTTCCATCATAATAAGCATCATCATCATAACAATAACAATAATTACTATTCCTGCTATTGTTCCCATACTGTGTGTATTTGGCATGCAGTAAGTGCCCAACAGATAGGAACAATAATAGGAATAGTAATTCCTCACTTTGCATGTATTATCTCTTATTATCCCTATAAAGTATATATTATTATCCACATGGTACAGGTGAGAAAATCAAAACTTGTGGGGTGGTGAAGTAGGTCAAATGCCATGCATCTTCAACCATGCATTTTTATTTTATTTTATTTTTTATTTTATTTTTTTTAACCAGGGACTCACTCTGTCATCCAAGCTGGAGTTCAATGACATGATCGTGGCTCTCTGGAGCCTCAAATTCCTGGGCTCACACAATCCTTCTCCCTCAGCTTGCTGGGCAACTTGGACTATAGGTACCCACCACCATGCCTGGCTAACTTTTTAATTTTTTGTACAGGCTGGTTGCCCAGCCTGTGCCATGTTGCCCACTATGTTGCCCAGGCTGGTCTTGAACCCCTGGCCTCAAGCAATCCTCCCTCCTCCGCCTCCCACAGTGTTGGGATTACAGGCACGAGCCACCATGCCCAGCCTAATGAGCTCATTTTTTGACAAAGTTCTCTTATCAGAGGAACTAGTGTTCATTTATTCAACAAGTATTTTTGAGCAGTCACTATGTGCCTATCATTTCACTGTGTTTGTTCCCAGGGATAAGCATGATATATTTAGGCACTGCCTCAAGGATGAAACAAATTCCCCCCAAATTAATGTCCTCCTGCAGGCTTCAAGGGTCTAGGCCATCCAGCCTTCCCTGTTGACTCCCCTCCTTTTACCTTGCTGAACTGCTTTGCATAAATATTAAGTGAAATTGATGAGGGCCACTGGTTTGGACTGAGCTCCTGCACGCGGCCCAATAAACCAAACCAAAATGGAGTCCCTCATGCTAAAAGTTCCACACGACCGAGCCAAAACTAATTGGTTTATATGACCTTCTGAGAAGTCAGGAGACGGAGAGCTGGCAGCCAAACCCTAAGCAAGCCCATTTTAGCCAGCATGTGAAGGAAGTCCCTCTGCTCTAACCTTTACAAGGAAAAGTCGCTCTGAAACAATCAATCTGCTTTTTTTGTTTTCTGTTTCTGCTTTCCTCAGCCCTTTTCTGTCTATAAAACCAAACTTCTCTGCTCAGCTCATAAGAACACTCACTTTATAGAATGAGGTGTTGCCCAACTCCAGAACTGCATATAAAAGCCAGTTAAGATCTTTGAACAAAATATATCTTCAAAAAAGGACAAATCTCCAACACTTTAAAATTATAGATCTGTCTGTAGATCCTAATCTGCTACAACACTTCCTGCTCAAAAATAATAAGCAGGATTTTTTTTTTTTTTTGAGACAGGGTCTCGCTCTGTTGCCCTGGCTGGAGTGCAGTGGTGCGATCATAGCTCATTGCATCCTGGAACCTGGAACTCTTAGGCTCAAGCAATTCTCCAGCCTCAGCCTCCTGAGTATCCAAGACCACAGGTGTGCAAGCACCACACCCAGCTGATTTTTTGTGGTTGTTGTTAACAACTTTTAAGTTTAGGGGTACACGTGCAGATTTGTTCCATAGGTAAACTTGTGTCATAGGGGTTTGCTGTACAGGGTTATTTCGTCACCCAGGTATTAATCCTAGTACCCATTAGTTATTTTTTCCTGATCCTCTCCCTCCTCCTACCTGCCTCCACCATCTGATAGGCCCCAGTGTGTATTGTTCCCCTCTATGTGACCATGTGTTCTCATCATTTAGCTCCAGATTACAAGTGGGAACATGCAGTATTTGGTTTCCTGTTCTTGCGTTAGTTTGCTAAGGATAATGGCCTTCAGCTCCATCCATGTACCTGCTAATTTTTGTAGTATTTGTAGAGACAGGGTTTTGTCTCGAACTTCTGGCCTCCAGTTATCCTCCTGCCTCACCTCCCAAAGTGCTGGGATGACAGGCATGAGCCACCACGCCCAAGCTAAACCAGGAAGTTTTTGAGTCATTTGTTACACAGTAATATGGCAATACAGGTCTGGATGTAAATTCAACACTCTTCCTTCTTGAGAAGTAAATATTAATGACCATGTTGATAGAGCAAATTTGTATTTTAAATGGGTGTGTCCTAACTCATCACCTGCGATGAGTGGAGCAACGTTTAGATGCCCTGGATGCCACTGTGAAGAGAGAAGACCAGTGAGTCATTGCTGCTAGAACATGTTGCTAATATCAAATTCTTGAGTAGTCCCAGGGAACAGTTGAACCTGCTGCTGGCCAATTACTGCAAGGAGAAACAATAGTGTCAGTGAAGCCAACATCGGAATGATGGGTTTTGGCAAACTCCCTTCAGCATCCAGATGGATAATGTTCAACAACTCTACTCAACAGGTTAACTCATTTAGTTATCTGGGGGAGCACGATGGGGCTTAATTAGCTTACTAGATCTGTTACAATGCATTTCTGTTGAAAATGAAAGGTTCCCCAGGAACAAGATACAGGTGATTTTATGACTGAGATAAACACGTGGTTACTCCTGTTCCTCAAATAGCTCAAGTCAAAGTCATGCTTTAAGATGCAGCAGGTTCTTTTGCATAACAAGATACCACCCTCTGCTTGCTATCTCATGCAGGGTTCTTAGAAATAAGAACCTAGGACACATTTTTCTAAAGCCAGTATTTAGATCACCTGTTGGGAAGGCTTTCTAAACTACAAAGGCTGGGCGCAGTGGCTCATACCTGTAATCCCAGCATTTTGGGAGGCCAAGGAGGGAGGATCATTTGAGCCTAGGAGTTCCAGACCAGCCTGGGAAACACAGTGAGGCCCTATCTCTCCAAAAATAAAAAACAAAACAAAATTAGCCAGGTGTAATGGCACGCACCTGTGCCATTGGGAGGCTGAGGTGGGAGGGTCGCTTGAACCTGAGAGGTTAAAGCTACAGTGAGCAGTGAAGGCACCACCACATTCCAGCCTGGACAACAGACCAAGATCCTATCTCAGGAAGAAAAAAAAAAACTAAACTACAATGTACCCCCATCTCCTTGCATCTAGAAAGTCTAGTATGAGCACCTCTTTCCTCATTGAAAATCACCATCATGATAGCTTACTATTACTAGAAGAAGTATGTTTTGAAAAAGTCCACAGAAATTTGATAGTGAGGTAAGGTTGAAAGCCACCAATGTGTCTGAAATAATACAAAATACTTGTATATTAGATAATTTGAATATGGGGCAAAGAGTTCCTGCTTAAAATATAGTTGAGAAAACCATTCTTCCAATAGACACTTTAAGGCCATCACTGGAATCAGGTAACTGGTGTTTAACTTTTTGCCTCAACCAATTGGAAATTTGCAGCTAATGTCATGCACATTCCGAGCCAATGTGTTCCTTTAAGGGGCTGTCATATTTTTTTCCTTCCTCCCTGTGTGTGGATTTCTATTTTCTATTTCTATTCTGACAGCCTTTGCAGTTGTGTTTTTTCTTTTATCTTATGATGCCTTGATCGCTTTTGGAAACAGGCAGAATATAAATTACAAATTAATAGCATGAAGCTGGCAGGGAAGGTAGGTACTCGGGTTTCTTTCTTGGCCACAGCTATCAAAATGCATTTTCAGAACAACATGCGGGAAACTACTAGAAGACTTAGCAAGTGCCTCTTTAAGGAATGGGCCCTTGGAAGCAGCTACCATCAGAGAAATCCCTGCTCTGCCCTGCTAACAAAGCCTCACAACTCTCCACAAAAGATATCTTTCTCAAGGCTCAAAGGGCAGGTCAAGCCTCCAGGAGGAAGGTACCCAGGCAGATAAAAGACGTATGTTGTAAAGCTAATTCCCAGCTCAGGGCAGAGCTGTATATCTGACACTCCCCCTCTTATTGGGATGATGATGTGGCTCATTCATTGCGTAGGTTTTAGGCTTCCTCTGGAGGAGAGAACTTTGAGCCATCAGATAAGAGTTGTGAGCTTGTCTTCTTGTAACAGGAATGTTTCTGCCTCCTTCAAACCTCCTCTTAGAAAGCCTGTAGAGAGAAGTGTCTCCAAAAAAGGCAAGTTGAGTTTGCCTCTGGGATCCTGAAATCAACCGGCAAAAACGGGATAAAACAGTAGGGGACGGGGGACCTTCATTACAAGAAAACGTAGGATGGACCACATGGGTGGCAGGTGGAGAGGGCCCTCCAGAGCTTACTGCACAGAAACCAGCCCCCCTCCTGGCATAAAGTCATGCTCATGGCCAGCCTTTCCTGGGCTGCAGGGCACCTCTCCTCTCAGTAAGGAGCACTCTGGGCTCACACAGAGCTTTAAAAATATCTCTCCACCCACTGAAATTTGATTAATCAGCCAAGTGCTCACCCATGTGTCACAGTGGTGGCAGAGATATATGTGATGGTGACATGACGGGTACAAGGGAAGCACACAGGATCTCATCTCACAGGGAGCAGGATTCAGTACATGAAAGTGAATGGCATGGGCTGTGCAGCCAGGTGGCAGCTTGAATCCCAGGTCCAGCAGATGCTGGTTATGTAACCTTGGACAAGGTTATTTAACTTCTGGATTTTTCACGTTTGCAAAAATGTAGTTAGTAACAGTACCTGGGCCGGGTGTGTTGACTCACATCTGTAATCCCAGCACTTTGGCAGGCTGAGGAAGGAGGATTGCTTGAGGCCAGGAGTTTGAGATCAGCCTGGGCAACACAGCAAGACCTCGTCTTTGCTAAAAATTTAAAAATTAGCTAGGTGTGGTGTTGTGCACTTGTAGCCTCAGCTACTCGGGAGGCTGAGATGGCAGGATTGCTTGAGCCCAGAAGTGTGAGGCTGCAGTGAGCTATGATCGTGCCACTGCACTCCAGCCGGGGCAACAGAATGACAGTCTGTCTTTAAAATTTTTTAAATAAATAAATAAAAATTAATAGTATATGCATAATAGGATGATTGAAAAGGTTAAATGAGTTAATCCACATAAAACACTTTGAACAGTGCCTAGCACATAGTAAGCACTCAATAAGCTTTAGCTGTGATGATGATTATGATGATGACAACAGTGACAATATTGAAACTAAAAAGTTGAATGAATAGGTAGGGATTTCCCAGGCAGACAAAGAATATGTCTGGCCCAAGAAGCTTAAACAAAAGCGGAGAAGGAGGAAGGAGCTCAAGGCAGCAGGGGATCGTGTGGAGGGTAAGCAGGGAGTTGAAGCAGACAAAAAAAAAGAAGGGATTCAGCCACACAGGACTTCATACACTTTGTCACCAAGTCTAGATACCAGTAACATGGCTGTAGGCTGTAGAGAGCTATTTAAGAATGATAAGCAGAAGCAAAATGTTAAAAGTGCTATAATGGTTGACAATTTTAACTAATTCAGGGAAACAAAATAAAATTAAATTAATTGTAACAGGATGAGCATGGTGGCTCATGCCTATAATCCCAACACTTTGGGAGGATGAGGCAGGCAGATCCCTTGAGCCCAGGCGTTCAAGACCAGCATGGGCAACATGGCAAACCCTGTCTCTACAAAAAATTATCCAGGCATGGTGACATGCACCTGTAGTCCTAGCTACTCGGGAGGCCGAGGCAGGAGAATCACTTCAGCCCAGAAGGTGGAGGATAAAGTAAGCTGAGATCACACCACTGCACTCCAGCCTGGGCAACAGAGCAAGACCCTGCCACACACACACACACACACACACACACACACACAGAACTAATTGTAACATACTTCTGGGTATGACAAAGAAACTTATGCAAGAATAACCCTCCCACCATGTGCCATAAGCCAGGCACAATAAAACTGAACCAAATATATGAGGCAACTGTTTTCAGGCAAATGACAACAGGCAGCACAAGATTACAATTGCAAGGAGAAGGGAAATTCACATGACAAGCCCCATGCTCGCCCTGGCTCTCTGCCTGGGGACAATTTCCCAACCACAATTCACGTAGTAGCTGCACGAACTAGAATCTGCAGGGTAGGACAGGAGAGAGAAGAACACTATGCAGAGAGGGAACATCAGAAGCCCATGTGTGGGTTCCCCATGAACATCTGGTTGAAGCCTATGTTATCCAGATGCAAGGTGAGATTTTATTTTATTTTATTATACTTTAAGTTTTAGGGTACATGTGCACAATGCGCAGGTTTGTTACATATGTATACATGTGCCATGTTGGTGTGCTGCACCCATTAACTCGTCATTTAACATTAGGTATATCTCCTAATGCTATCCCTCCCCCCTGCCCCCACTCCACAACAGGCCCCAGTGTGTGATGTTCCTCTTCCTGTATCCATGTGTTCTCATTGTTCAATTCCCACCTATGAGTGAGAACATGCAAGGTGAGATTTTAAATAAGACTTAACCAGGAAGCAGCTGCTATGAGGTTGAGAACAGAAAACAAATACTATAACTGAAGCAGCAGATAGTGGAAAAACCTCATTAGTACTCCAGGCATCCAGCTAAGACACTAGAAAGACCACCTCTTAAGAGATGGTCAGTTTCCACTGATTTGCCCCCCAACAGAGCGTAAAAACGAACCTACACAAATTTAAGGTGGTCAGCCAGTAATTGAATTACCTACTAGAACAAAAATCAGCACTCTTCAGAGAAAGATAACACATAATCACTCTAACATAGGATTCACAATGTTCAGTCTATAGTCAAATATTCACAGGCATGCAAAGAAAAAAGAAAATCTGACCACAGTCTTTTTAAAAAGTCCATAAAAACCAATCCCAGGATGGCCTAGAGCCTTGATGTTGGATTTAGCACATACAACTTTAAAGAGCTATTATAAACATAGAAAAGTATATTCAGAGAATTAAAGAAAACTATTGTCTTAATGATTAATCAGAGAATTAAAGAAAACTATTGTCTTAATGATTAAACAGATAGGGTATCTCACCAAAGAAATGGGAACTATAAAAAAGAACCAAATGAAAATTCTAGATCTGAAAAAAATTTGGGTGTTTCCGTGTGTGTGTGTGTGTATGTATGTGTGTGTGTGTGTTGAGAGAGAGAAAAAAACCCTAAATGCTGAAAAATGTTAAAAAGTAAGCCAGGCACAATGGATCATGCCTATAATCCCAACTACTTAGGAGGCTGAGGCAGGGGGATCACTTGAGCCCAGGAGATCAAGACTACAGTGAATTCTGATGGCACCACTGCACTCACCAGGGTGACAATGCAAGACCCTGCCTCAAAAAACTAAATAAATAAATTCTAAATAAATGAAGGATATACAGATATTCACTTTTACTTTCCAAAAACCTCTGTGGATTTGAATTTTTTAAGACTAAAGAAATATTTTTTAAAATGTATTTTTATTTGTATATACACAAAAAAAGAAGATAAAAGTTTTAATAAGCCAAGGCTGGGTGTGGTGGCTCATGCCTGTAATCCCAGTACTTTGGGAGACTGAGGTGGGAGGATTACATGAGCCCTGGAGTTCAAGACAAGCCTGGGCAACATAGTGACACCCCATCTCTAAAAAAAATTTTTTTTTAATTTAGCAGGTGTGGTGACACACACCTGTAGTCCCAGCTCCTTGGGAGGCTGAGGCAGGAGCATCGCTTGAGATCAGGAGGTCAATGCTACAGTGAGCCATGTTTGTGCCACTGCACTCCAGCCTGGGCAACAGAGCAAGACACTGTCTTAAAAATAAACAAAAAAAGAAGTTATAAGCCAAGGAATAACCTAACTAAGTGTGCATTTGAGTAGCATCCCTCCAATGGTATCGAACTGAACTGACATGTGGGTGGATCATAGATGAAACCCAATAAGATCAGCTCCAGTGAATGCTGTTGTCTAGGAAGTGGAAACTTGACCCAAGGCAATACCAATGTGGTCAGAGAGGAAGGAAGACTTACAGAATACGAAGAGAGGTCAAGATATATGGGACTAAAGATTGTATGTAAGGACCAAGAGATAACAAGGATGATTCCCAGATGACTGCTGTGGCTGACTGGCAATATAATTTCCTGGGAAAAATCCCAGAGGAGAGGCAGTTTTCAAGAATAAAGAAAATCCATTTTGGCTTTAGATATTTGGAGTTTAAGGGACTTGTGAGACACCTGCACAGGACTACAGGTACTAGGTCTAAAATCCAAGAGGGAGGCAGGACTGGAGATACGTATCTTGAGGTCATCAGCACGTAGATGCTCGGGCAGAAGGCAACAAAAACCAACCCCAGGAGACAAAGAGTGTGCCTCATACTTCTTTAATCTTTTTTAAAAATTTCACATCTATAGAGGTTTAGGAATGCATGGTGAATATCTATCTTCCATTCTTTCTTATAATATTTCTTTTTGTTTTCTTTTTTCTGAGGGAGTGCCATGGCACAATCATAGCTCACTGCAGCCTTGACTTCCCGGGCTCAAGCAATCCTCCCTCCTCGGCCTCATGAGTAGTTAGGATTATAAGCATGAACCACTGTGCCTGCCTTTTAAAAAAAAAAAATATATATATATATATATAGTTTTCAGCAGGCAGGAGATGAGGGGTACACAATGAATGCAGAGATGACAAATATGTAGAAAAGAGGAAGGAGGAGATCTAGGTAACGACATGGGTACCAAGGCAGTGATGGACTGCAAAAACTAAGGTGTGAACAACAGTGCCAGATGCTGCAGAAAGTCCTGAATAAACATTAAAAGTCATCTAGGCCAGTCATGGTGGTTCATGCCTATAATCCCAGCACTTTGGAGGCTGAGGCAGGCAGATCACCTGAGGTCAGGAATTCAAGACTAGCCTGGCCAACATGGTGAAACCCCATTTCTACTAAAAATACAAAATGTAGGCGGGCGTGATGGTGGGCACCTGTAATCCCAGCTACTCAGGAGGCTGAGGCAGAAGAATCGCTTGAACCCAGGAGGCAGAGGTTGCAGTGAGCTGAGATCGTGCCACCGCACTCCACCCTGGGTGACACAGCAAGATTCTGTCAAAAAAAAAAAAAAAAAGTCATCTAGAGGAGGCAAATAGGGGCTCCTAGAGAAAACTGAGCTGCAGGAGAGCAGTGACTCTGGAATAGTCAAAGTGACACTGGTCAACTACTAAAATGGAACCCCAGGTTCAAAGGATGGCAGTCTGGTATTCTATTCCCATACTCAAAATACCCCCTATGATATACAGAAGAGTATATCAGTATAAATATTAATTTTGAGGCCAGGTGTGTTCGCTCATGCCTATAATTTCAGCACTTTGGGAGGTCGAGGCAGGTGGACCACCTGAGGTCAGAAGTTCGAGACCAACCTGGCCAACATGGCAAAAACCCATCTCTACCAAAAATACAAAAATTAGCTGGGTGTGGTGGTGCACGCCTGTAGTCCCAGCTACTTGGGAGGCTAAAGCCGGAGAATCACTTGAACCCAGGAGGTGGAGGCTGCAGTGAGCCGAAATCGCACCACTGCACTCCAGCCTAGGCGACAGAGCCAGACTCTGTCTCCACGAAAAAAAAGAAAGAAAGAAAAAGAAATATTAATTTTGAGACATGCACACATGTGAGAGGCTGGGAATTTTTGCTAATTGCCCCGCCAATGAAATTGGAGAGACACAATTTCCACCCACACTTGGAACTACAGTGGCACATAAGGAAGACTGACTCACCACAATACATTGACAGTAAATCATGCAGTCACTCCCTACTTCACAGCCACTGTTTTCCATGGGAATCTATTCCTCAACCCAAACCCACTTCAGCAGCACCCTTTTTTAAGCTCATTTGGGGAACACAACTTAACCGCAGCCATGGGTTGGTATGTCCCATCCTGGGTTATCTATACAGCACAGGTGAAAGCCAAAATGTTCCTAGGATGACCAAACGTACAAGAGTAGCTTGGGAATGGGAAGGAGAGAAGGAGAGAGGAAGAACAAACAACATAGATGGAGAATTCTGTGGCATAGGGCGCAAAGACAGCAGGAACAACCACCGAGACCCCCACCTCTGCCCAGAGCCATGGGCTACATGAATGTCTTCTGGAAACTGGAGACGGCATGCATATCAATCTCTCACCAGTCTAAGGATAAAAAGGCTTAGGCCAGGCACGGTGGCTCACACTTGTAATCCCAACACTTTGGGAGGCCAAGGTGGGCAGATCACAAGGTCAGGAGTTCGAGACCAGCCTCGACTACCCTGTCTCTACTAAAATTACAAAAATTCGCCAGGCGTGGTGGTGCATGCCCATAATCCCAGCTACTCAGGAGGCTGAGGCAGGAGAATCACTTGAACCCAGGAGGCAGACGTTGCAGTGAGCCAAGATTGCACCACTGCACTCCAGCCTGGGCAACAGAGCAAGACTCCATCTCAAAAAAAAAAAAAAAGCGGCGGGCGGGGGCGGTGGGGAATATTATCTCAGGTTTGGGATAAAGTGAAGAAGGCAAGATTCTTTTTTTTTTTTTTTTTTTCTTCCCCCTAGAGACAGGGTCTTTCTTTCTCACCAAGGCTCAAGTGCAAGTGCAGTAGTACAATCATAGCTTACAGTAGCCTCAAACTCCTGGGCTCAGGCGATCCTCCCACCTCAGCCTCACAAGTGGTGGGGACTACAGGCATGCACCAACACATCCAGCTAATTTTTTGTAGAGACAGGGTCTCCCTATGTTGCCCAGGCTGGTCTCCAACTCCTAGGCTCAAGTGATCTTCCTGCCTCAGCCTCCCAAAGTGCTGGGATTACATAGGCATGAGCCACTGTGCCTGGCCAAAGTTAGACTCCTTACAAACCTTGTTTACTGACAAATACTGAGCCTACAAAAAAACTTCATAATGTTGAGTTACAAAGCATAATAGAAAAAAGCAATATAAATTATACAAAAAAAAAGTTTCATGCAAAAGAAAGTTACCATCATCTGGAAGACGTAGAGAAAAAGACTTTTATTATGAATATATATACAAATAATTTATGACCAGAAACAGAAGAGATTTTCACAAACTGGAAAATAGCTAATAGCTATTTCCTAATAGCTCCAAACTGAAAACAACCCAAATATCCACTGAGAATAAAATAGGAAAATAAATTAAGATATATTTATATACAGTGGAACATTATATATTAAAGAAAAGAGGTAAACTTCAGATGGAGGTGAATTTAGTTTAAGATTAAGATAGCATTACAAGGCCAAGCACAGGGTCTCACGACTGTAATTCCAGCACTTTGGGAGGCCAAGGTGGGTAGATCACTTAAGGTCAGGAGTTCAATACCAGCCTGGCCAACATGGTGAAACCCTGTCTCTACTGAAAACACAAAAATTAGTCAGGCGTGGTGGCACATGCCTGTAATCCTAGCTACTTGGGAGGCTGAGGCAGGAGAATAGCTTGAACCTGGGAGGTGGAGGTTGCAGTGAGCAAAGATCGCGCCACTGCACTCCAGCCTCGGTGAGAGTGAGACTGTCTCAAAAAAAAAAAAAAAAAGATAGTATCACGAGATTATTCAATAAATAGCATTAAGAAAACTATTCTTCAACAATCATACTGCATATATCTAATAGAATTCCATATAATGCACTCTAAAAGTATAAGATATTGCTAATAAATCTGGTATATGCATAAACTTCCTGGATAGACGTAAGCTCCTTGGAAAGAGGCAATGAATATTATGCTTATTTGATTTTCCTCTACTACCTAGAAGGCATTTCCTCCTCCACCTAGTAAATATCCGTTTAATGAATGAATAAAAATGGATGAATGAATGAATGACTGTCTCCATCAATCCACCTTCACTGAGTTTGGCTGGGTGATTCCCAACTTTAATCTGATCATTTTGAAGCAGCTTTGCATGTTTCCCTCCTGAGCTTTGTGTAAAGAGAAGAAATAGGGACTTCCCAGAAGGGAATTGCAGCTGAAAATGACCTGCGTGGCAAGTGGTCCTTTTCATGCCTGTTTTCAGAGGATAACCATTCACGAAGTGCACACCTTTGGCCCTTACACTGGAGGAAAGGGATTTTCCATCATTGGTGATAAACACGAACAGGTGGGGAAACCTGTAGCCATTCACAAGCAGAAGGCTGCAGTGGCTGCAGGGTGGGGAGCTTGACAGCAGATAAGGATAGCACCCAACTAATGCCTATGCTCAAGGCAGCCAGACCACAAAGGATGCTGCGATGTCCATCAGTGTCCAACACATCAACTCCCAGTGCAGCACCACCTGTCCTCTGAGGGTAAATGAGTGCCCCCAACCAGCAGAACTTTAGGGTCACCTTGCCATGCAGCAGCCCAAGAGAACAGCAAGCAAACTATGCCCTGGAAACTGGCTTCCCCAACACCAATCCATAGTCATCTGAATTGATTCAAGCCAGTTGGTTTCCAGACCCTGCGTGCCTGCTCTAAAATCAGAACACATCCGCACTGTCCTGCCCAGAGCCCCGAGATGCTTGTAATAAACCAGGAACAGTCATAACTCAGTGTTCGCCTTGGCAAAAACTAAATAAATAAGTAGAACGAATCTTCTGTCAGAAAATAAATGGCCCTTCCCCAGGCTGAGAGCCTGGATTACCCTCCTGAAGGACAAACACAGCATCTTCACCAGCCAATCTCGGGACTTTATAAAGCCCCCACTTCACTCAATAAACTACCCCAAGGCTGCCAATGCTCAGGCTGCCAGCCTGGGCTTGGAGGGCTCTTAGAATTACTCTCGCTAATCTACATACTGAAAAAGTGCATTTCAGTGCTTCTCAAGCTGCCTTTGCCTGATTAAAATAGCAAGTTTATATGCTTTTCTGTTTGTCCAGGAAAGTGGAGGGCATTTCACCAGGGCACCCAAGTAGGGAGAGGAGGGTTGAAATCCAGCCAGCAGCCCTCTTGAAAAGCCATGCACCCCCACAGTAGCCCTGAACAGTTGCCTTAGCAGAGCTTGAATTTAACAGTGAAAAAAGCCATTGCACTGAAAAGTCACAGAGAAATCATCTCTTGATCATTCATGGCAAAGTTGGGAAGGAGGAAGGGGGGAGAATATGGAAAGCCACAGATGATTCCAAACTCCATTTGGTTAGTGATTTTTAACCTCTTAAATAATTGCCCAAAACATATAGATAGTGTTGCCCAGTTCTCAGCCAGGGCCACTCAGTGGGTCCTGCACGCATGGGGGACTCCCAGTCCCTCCTGCTGATGACTGAGCCTGGAGGATCTACTCAAATAAACACAAGCAAACATCCACCCCACATTAATGTACCACCTGCCCTAATGTCTATTCACAGTGAAGACTCCCATAGGTAGGAAAAGCCTGGGCCTCACTTCACCTCCCAAACACACCTGCTATGAGCTGAATGTTTGGGTCCCCCCAAAATGCCTATGTGGAAACCTAACCACCAACGTGATGTCATTAAGAAGTGAGGTCTTTCAGGAGGTGATTAGGAGGGAGCAGCCCTCATGAATGGGATTAGTGCCTGCTATGGTTTGAATGTCCCTTCCAAACCTCACATTGACATTTGATTAGCATTATGACAGTGCTAAGAGGTGGGATGGTTAAGACGTGATTTGACTATGAAAGATCTGCCCTCATGAATGGATTAATGTCATTATCTCGGGGGGAGTTCATTATCCAGAGCGTGGACTATTATAAAAGTGAGTTTAGCCCTCTCTTGCTCTTACCCTCTCTCGCCTTTCCACCTTCTGTCATGGGATGAAACAGCATGAAGGCCCTCACCAGATACCAGTGCTATGCACTTGGACTTCCCAGTCTTCAGAACCATCAGCCAAATATAGTTCTTTTCTATATCAATTACCCAGAAGGTACTATGTTGTTATAGCAACACAAAGCAGACTAAGACAGTGCCCTTACATACTCAAGGCACAAAAGAACTTATTCACTCTCTCCACCATATGAGGACACAGCAAGAAAAGTGACATCTATGAATCAGAAAGTGGCCCTCCCCAGACATCAAATCTGCTGGCACCTTGATCTTAGACTTCCAAGCCTCCTGAACTGTGCGAAATAAATTTCTGTTCTTTATGAGCCACCTAGTCTATGGTGTTTTGTTATAGCAGCCTGAACAGACCAAGACGCCACCCAAGTGACATCTATGAATCAGAAAGTGGCCCTCCCCAGACATCAAATCTGCTGGCATCTTTATCTTAGACTTCCAAGCCTCCCAAACTGTGAGAAATAAATTTCTGTTTTTTATGAGCCACCTAGTCTATGGTGTTTTGTTACAGCAGCCTGAACAGACCAAGACACCACCCAAGGGCAGCCTTAGCCTGAATTTGTGGTCGCCTGTATGGGCTCACTTTGGAGGAGGTCAGAGCTCAATTTCCTGCTTCTGTGTCCTGCACCAGCACACCTTTTGCTCAACTGAAGACCAGAAGATGTAAGGGTTCCTGCTCTCCTCTCAGGCCACCAGTCTTTGTCCAGACCACAGTGAGCAGCCGCTATCCCTAGGAATCTTGATTCTGCCCCAATCACTCCACTTCTTCAAACATCCCCCAGACTCTCTTTGGACCCAGCCCACCGGGGCCACATCCTCTGCTGCCTCCCTGCTCATTCATGTAAATAAGCAAGCATTTAAATAAGCACACAAGCAAAATGGATGAGAGAAGGAGAAGCTATTCAATGGCCTCTCCTCTTCACCTCCCTCACTTCCTGCCTGTTGTGAAGCAAGTTTGGCTTCACTGTCTCAGAGCCAAATGTCCTCCATCTTCCTTCTGGGAGAAATGAGGCTCCCTAATGTGCACATACAAAGCACACTGATTTGAACCATTACACTTAAAAGCAAATATGTGGGCCAACTGGGGTAATTTTGACTTCTCTACTTGAGAAAGTAAATTTAAACTTTGTGCCTTAAAATGATATTATTACAAACAACAAAGTATTCAAAAACACGAGGGAAAACTGATTCTGGTTTGACCTCAGCCGATGTAGTACCTAGGTAAAAACATCAGGCCAAATCAACCTAATCCTCTATTCCGGGGGGGGGGGACTTGTTTTTCCTATTTTTAATTAGAGGATTGGTTTATCCAAGATACAATGAGACACAGTCCTAGGATGAATTTAGTCATCACGTTCCCAGGTTTATGTCCATCCCTAACCCCTGCCTTGAGCACCCAGGGCTGTACTGTGTTACAAAGAAACAGAGGCAATTAAAATAATTGCTATCCACTGTCACCTAGACAAAGCTTCCAGATGATTCTGATCTGAACAGGATTCAAAGCACCATGGCCAGAAGTCAAGAGACAGCCATTAACAGGGCTTAAACCTCCCCTGCAGATGGACTCCATTGTCAGTGACAACACAGAAACAAGACAATTCCATTGGTGATAAAGACTCCGGAAAATGGAAAACACATTTTAAGAGAGGTGAAGGCTATCCCCCCAGTCACTATCCAAGGAAACCGAAATATCCACCATAGATTGCTCAGGCTATCAGGTCTGTACACACACACACACACACACACACACACACACACACACACACGTCACTTGGGCAAAACTTTGTCTCTGAACTCTTTCCCATTATGCCATGGCTACACTTGGCCACAACTGCCAAGGAGTGGCCAAAGTCCAGGGCTTTCAATTGAGCTTCACAATAGCCAGAAACACCTCCCTGGGAGGGGGGCCATCCCCCCAAACAGGGTAGGCTCCTTACCATCGAGCTCCTCCACGGAGATATTAGCCAGCTGTTCGCTGTCACTGCCAGCAGAGAGCGATCGGTTGAGGTAATTCCCCTTGTACAACAAGCCGGCGGTCACATGGTGGAACGGCATCTTTTCCCTGCCCAAGAGAGAACAGGGGAGGGGAAAAGAAAGACATCATCATTCATTCTTCCTTTCCTTTCTTAAAGGACCATCTGATTTTCAGATGGCCAGTGTCATTTTAAAAATAGCAGTAATATTTCTAGTGGGAAAGTCAAGATATTTCCAGGGTCCCAATGACCTGAGCAATTTCCAAAGGAATTCAGGTTTTTCCCATTCCTTCACTGTACATCTTACTTCATTTTCCCCATTTAATTATGAATTTGAACGATGTTGTCCTTGTTAATCATGGCACACCACATCACCATCGAACTATCTCTTTGCAAACGGCAATATCCTTGACTCCTTTCCTTGGCCCGATAAATTCTCACTTGATGCTTGTAAGGAAGGACTGAGAATCCCAGAAGTGTAGGGATGCCCAGGGACTAGATGTCTTGTCTGTGATCAAGCAGAGATCCAAATGTCTCATTTCTCCCAGATAATATAGGCATTGCACTCACACAGCACTCAAAACAGGTAGGAAATGCCCAAGCTCTAAGTAAGTACATGCAATGCTCTGCATCTCAAGCAGCAGCTGCCAAACCTGGTTGAGATGCAGATGCTGCTTACATGAGTGGTGTGTGAGCACACACATTCTGAAATGCTAATCACACCTGCCCTGCTGGAAACAGGAGTGACGCCTTCAGGTGTCCCACAACGAAGCTACTTCCAGCACTCTCACACAAAGTTAAAGCATCCTTCTACGCCAATAGAAAAAAGCTCCTGAACCCAGATGGTCATCAATGGGGCTTAGAAGTTTCCACTAATGCAAGGCTGACTGGAGGCTCCAGGCTACGGAAAAAAGAGATGTGAGATAAAAGGACAGCAAAGACAATGGAAGAGAATGGAAGAATGAGCAACGACAAGAAAGAGGAAAGGCAGATGGGAAGATTATCTTCTCCAAAGCAGAAAGAGCATAGCTCCTGGCCCAACTTGTCTAATGATGCTCTCCGTGACTTTGAACAAGACGCCGAATGCTTCACATTCTGGTTCCCCATCTAGCAAAGGGGACTAAGAGGATGGATAAACCTCTGAGCAGAATTAGGGCCAACAGGCAGGAAGCACAGGAGTCAATCACAAGGAGTGGGTAGAGAACATCTTTGTATCGGAGCTTCTGGAAAGTGAACTGGGCAGCACTCAACCTGTGAAACCCCTGAAAATTAAAAGGTTTAACCAGGAGCACAAAGCCAGTTAGTGACAGAAGTTGTTCTAGAACTCCAGCATCCTACATGCTATTTCCATTAAGCAGACCCAGCTAAGTGCCAGACATTTCCACCCGGATGTCAAACCCTCATTTCAAACTCAAAATGTCTAAAAATGAATTAATTATCTTCCTACAAAGTAGGCTACACTTTCTGGTTTCTCTATTTCTATCAAAGGTGCTTTTCGCTCATCACAACAACTGGGACAACTCTCCCAAATGCTCGGGGCCCCAAAAAGTAAAACAGACACATGGCTGAGGCAAGAGCCAACTGTCAGCTTGCAACCCATCCCCTCGCCCTTAACTCTTTCCATAGCTAACAGCATGTACATCCACAGAACAATTGCAAATGGCAGGATGCTGATTACAAAGGGTATATGCATTTGCCAATTATAAGAGGTACATCTTCAGCTAGTTACAAGTGAGATGTTTCCAAATCTATCCTTATATTTAAACAGAATACAAGAATCTTTCTCTAGAAGAACACTTCAATGACCACCTCCTTTTTTCTCCAAGTTAATTTTCAGACCAAAAAGCTTTAAAAGGAAGAATCGCATGTGTGAATTAGGACTACTCTATCTTTTCCTTAAGGCCAATCCTGATTTCTTGGGACTGTGTGTCATGGTCATTTGAGTACGGACTGATACCCACTGCCATAATGTGAATGTCTCCCCAAAATTTTGTGTGTCAGAAACTTAATCCCCAATGCAACAGTGTTGAGAGGTGGGACCTTTAAGAGGTGATTAGGTCATGAGGACAGAATTAATGCTGTTATTGCAGGCATAGGTTACCTATCACAAGAGTGAGTTCCTTATAAAAGGATGAGTTCAGTTGGGTGCGGTGGCTCACACCTGTAATCCCAGCACTTTGGGAGACCTAGGCAGGTGGATCACCTGAGGTCAGGAGTTCGAGACCAGCCTGGCCAACATGGTGAAACCCCATTTCTACTAAAAATACAAAAAATTAGCTGGACATGGTAGTGCACACCTGTAATCTCAGCTACTCGGGATACTGAGGCAGAAGAATTGCTTGAACCCAGGAGGCAGAGGTTGCAGTGAGCTGAAACCATGCCATTGCTCTCCAGCCTGGGCAACAAGAGCGTCTAAAAAAAAAAAAAGATGAATTCAGCCCCTTTCCCTTCTCTGCCTCTTTCATTCTCTCTCTAACACTCATGCTCTCTTCCTCTTCTGCTACAGGACGACACAGCAAGAAGGCCCCTGAAAGATGTAGGACCCTTGCCCTTGGACTTCCCAGCCTGCAGAGATATAAGAAACAAATCTTGGCTCTTTGTAAACAACCCAGTCTCAGGTATTCTGTTACAGCAGCACAAAACAGACTGAGACATCCATGGTCCAGAAAATGAGATGTCAACCCTGGCTAACACTTCTTATGTGATTTCAACTTCACCCTCAGTACCAGTCCCACACACAGTGAGCCTCACCAGCTGTTATCTTAACATGTTTAAGTCTTCATAAACATGGGAAGACACCTGCTCTGATATTATCTAATTTGTTAGCTAAGCCTCACTAGATGAGCCTCACCAGCTGCTACCTTAACCAACGTTTAAGTCTTCACAAGCATGGAAAGACACCTGCTCTGTTCTTATCTAATTCACTTCCTGGAACAAGACCCACTAAGGTCGGTACAAAAAGCATTCCTTCCATTCCACCATGCATCACTCTAGTTTCTCAGCATTTTATAAATATCTTCCTATTGTCACCTTTTACCTGGTTGTCTGCAGCTTTGGATTCACTACACAAATTTTTACAGTCATAATAAGGATGTTATACTCAAGCAAGCATCTCCAACCCACGCCCCAGTTCAGCCACAGAATAAATGTTGAGTACTTTGCAGAGAAAACTGGTCACAACTGAATCCCACTTGATATACCAACATAATTTGCTTCTGAAAAAAAAAGGCAGCTTACAAAATTAGGTACACATTCAGTTCATTTAGTCTCTGCATTCAAAAAGCTCAAAGTCTAGTGGGGAAGAAACCATGAGCAATGGAACGATCCATATAGATATATAAAGTCATGTTCAAGAAAGGGAAGAACATTATCCTAAGTAAGCTAAAAACAGCTGCTGCAATTAAGGACTAAATTTCACTCCAAGCTGCCTAGGGAAACCCAAGCTTTAAGATTCTCTCCTTGGCTAAGGGAAGAGAAATACACAAGTTCAAGCAAAGATAAACCTTGTCCTGAAACTAAAACTTGAAGATGGATCCTTCTATAGAGAGCAACAAACAAAAATAAATAAATATTTTCAACAGCAGTTTCACTCACTGTGAAATATTTAAGCGACTGTCATGAAAACAATCTTTCTGTGTTTTATGTAAACCAGTGATATGGTCTGAATGAATGTGTCCCCCAGTAATTCATACACTGGAATCTAAGACTCTAATGTGGTAGTATTAAGAGATGGAGCCTTTAGAAGCTGATTAGGTCCATGAGGGCTCCTCCCTCACTGATGGGATTAATACCCTTATAAAAGGGTTGGAAGGAACTAGCAAGGCTCTTTTGTCTTTCTGCCTTCCACCATGTGAAAATGCAGCAACAAGGCAGCATCCTGGAAGCAGAGAGCAGCTCTCACCAGACACAAAATCTATAGGTGTCTCGATCTTGGACTTCCCAACCCATAGAACTGTAGGCAATGAATGTCTGTTGTTTATAAATTAGCTAGTCTAAGGTATTTGTTACAGCAGTAGAAACTAAAGCAGAGTGGTTTCATGGTTAAGAATTGGCTGGGTGTGGTGGCTCATGCCTGTAAACCCAGAACTTTGAGAGGTTAAGGCAGGCAGATCACCCAAGGTCAGGAGTTGGACACCAGCCTGGACAACATGGTGAAACCCCGTCTCTACTAAAAATACAAATATTAGCCAGGCATGGTGGTGGGTGCCTGTAATCCCAGCTCTACTTGGGAGGCTGAGGCACAAGGATCACTTGAACCCGGGAGTGGACGTTGCAATGAGCCGAGATCGTGCCACTGCACTCCAGCCTGGGTGATCGAGGGAGACTCCATCTCAAAAAAAAAAAAAAAAAGAATCAGCACTTTCTAGTCAAAAACAGTGTTAGATTTGAATCCTACCTCTGCCCTTATTAGCCAGGTAAATAAGTAGTTTGACCTCTGTAAGCCTGTCTCCTCTTCTGTAAAATGGGTTTTAATATATACTGAAGAGAATAGTACTGTTGTAAATATTAAATAAGATAAACGGCCAGGCATGGTGGCTCACATCTATAATCCCAGCACTTTGGGAGGCCAAGGAGGGAGGATCACTTGATGTCAGGATTTCCAGACCAGCCTGGGCAACAGAGCAAGACCCTGTCTCTTCACACAGACCAAAAAATAAAAAAATTTAGCTGGGCATGGTGGCACACACATGTAGTCATAGCTACTCCGGAGGCTGAAGTGAGAGGATCATGTGAGCACAGTAATTTGAGACTTCAGAGAGCTATGATCCCACCACTGTACTCCAGCCTGAGTGACAGAGCAAGACTCTTGACTCTAAAAAGATAAGATATGGAAAGCACTGTACTTAGCACCAGGCATCTGCTCAGTGAGTAACACCAGTAATTATTTGCTAAGGATCATATGAAGCAGGATGCAGGGGCAACAAGAAGTCATGGATGAATTAGATTGATGCCTGGATTACATGCTGGATTACAAAGGAGGGTCAGTGAGACCTGACAAAGGGCAAGCTTCAGGGAGAGGCTGGCATGTAAACCACTGTGCTGAGGGATCAGGTGTGAGCAGCAAAGCACCAGCGGGTTCCAGTGCTGAATGGTGTCAGTATGCAGAAGGGGCTACTTGAATGGAAAGTGCCAGAGCCAAAGAAGAGTCCACTTCCTGGGTGCCAGGGAGGCTGGCTGAATTGTCATATCAAAGAAAAGATCTTGTGAGGTTAAAACCAAAAGGGATGGTTCCTGTTAATGGGGTCAAGGAACTGGTACATTTCTTGACAGAGTAATATACTGAAGAGGCCATGTATGGTGCCTAACACCTGTAATCTCAGCATTTTGGGAGGCTGATGCTGGAAGATTACTTGAGGCTAGGAGTTCAAGACCAGTCTGGGCAACATGGTGAGACTGTGTCTCTACAGAAAAATTTTAAAAATTTTAGTCAGGCATGGTGGTGCATGACTGTAGTCCCTGCTACTCAGGAGGCTGAGGTAGGAAGATCACTTGAGCCCAGGAGTTTGAGGCTGCAGTGAACTGTGATCTTGCCACTGCCCTCCAGCCTGGGCAACAGAGGGAGACCTTGTCTCTAAAAAGTTAATTAAATAAATAAACTAAAGAGCCTCATTCACATTAACTTGAAATGATGCCCTTTTGTGATGGTCAGTTTTATGTGTCAACTTGACTGGGCCATGGGTTGCCCAGATATTTGGTTGAACATTATTCTCTGTGATGTGTCTGTGAGGGTGTTGCTGGATTAGGTTAACTTTTGAATTGGTAGTCTGAGTAAAGCAGATTCTCCTCCCCAGTGTGGGTGGGTCTCATCCAACAGTGAATAGAATGATAGGCCTACATGGAATGAACACACTAAGAAAGAATTTGCTCTTCAAACTGTCTTCAAGCTGGTACATCAGTCTTAATTCTGCCACTGAACTCAGACTTGGACTGGAGCTTTTCACTATCTGATTCTCAGGTCTTCAAACCAGACTGGAACTATACCATTATTTCTCTTGGGTCTTCAGCTTGCTGACAGCAGACTGTGGAATTTTCAGAGTCTGTAACTGCATGAGCTAATTCCTTATGATAAATCTCTTTAAAGTTATACAGATAGATTAAGGATAGATAGATAGATAGATAGAGATATATGATAGATGATGGATGGATAGGTAGGTAGGTAGATAGATAGATAGATTCTGTTTCTTTGGAGAACCCACATTAATGCACCTTCCTTTTTTTTCCTCTACAGTACCAAGGACCCAGGCACATTGCAGTAGGGTATTATTATTATTCTGAGCAAAGCCCTGTGTGTTCTGCAGGGCTTCTAAAGCAGTGCTACTCAAAGTGTGGTCTATAGACCACTGCAAATTGCATAGCATTTGTTGCTGGTCTGCAGTGAGATAAGTAAAAGAACTGAGAGAAAGCATTGAAATAGCAATTTAGAGCATTGCCCCAACTTCTAAGCACTTGACCAGTGGACTTGATTTTTGTATATTTTTGCTTCTTTTATTTTTCCTGGTAATTCTTTCTTACTGGTTTTTGTTTTGTTTTGTTTGTTTTTGAGATGGAGTCTTGCTCTGTTGCCCAGGCTGGAGTGCAGTGGCACGATCTCAGCCACTGCAAGCTCCGCCTCCCGGGTTCATGCCATTCTCCTGCCTCAGCCTCCCAAGTAGCTGGGATTACAGGCGCCTGCCACCACGTCTGCCTAATTTTTTGTATTTTTAGTAGAGATGGGGTTTCACCGTGTTGGCCAGGATAGTCTCGATCTCCTGACCTTGTGATCTGCCCGCCTCGGCCTCCCAAAGTGCTGGGATTACAGGCGTGAACCACAGCGCCCAGCTCTTACTGTACTTTTTTAAAGTATCAGTCTACAAATGACCGAAACTAAAAAAAATTAAAACTGGTCCTTCCTCACAAATAGTTTGAGAAGCACAGCTCTAAAGTATTTAATTTATGTTGTATAGATTTCTGGTAATGAACCACAGAGAAAGCAAGAAAAACATTTGGAGAAATGCATCTTAACTTGTCCCTGAAACTTTTTCAAAGAGCTTAAGATTTCTTAAAAGTCTTAGATGGACTTCTGAAAGAAGCTGAAAGACTTCAATTGATTCCTGAGCTCTCTATAGAGTGCTAGAGAAGTACAAGGCATCTCTTGCAGACTTGACAGCAATCCGTGTCCTCCAATTACCAGACATACAAGGGGCAATATTGATCTTGCATGCTAAAGGTTAAAGAGCCTAACCAGTCCTGACACAGCCTTTGCCAAATTCCTGTAAAAACAACCACGAAAGCACACCAAAATAATGATATTCTCAACACCACCAATGCCAGAGTATGGAAGAAGCTTTCATAAAATCAGTGCAGTTAGGATTAGAATGATGAATAATCAGTGGTGCAGCCTTGAAGTCAGAGACGGAATAACAGAGTCAGATAGTACAGGGATAAGAAGAGATTGTTATCTACCCAAATTCTCTTCTGTTTCAGGGACTTAGGGATGACCAACCATAACAGCAGGCAATCACCCTTCTGACTGGAATTGCTTTATTAAAGCAGCCAAGGTCAAATCCCACCACCATCTCTTCCACCACTGTGAAGCAACAACTTTTTTTCCTCTAGCTACTCATGGATCATAACTCCCAGTATGCAAGGTGGCTAGGAATGGAAGGTCTGAGACGTGGACCCTGCACATGAAGATGAGAAATTAGCTGCAAGGCACAGGTGTTGGTGAGAAGGATCCCAGGAGTAATGACCTATGGGGATTATGATTTTTCATGCATTGCTTCTGATTAAGAAAAAACTGCAGAAGGCCTCAAATAACCCAGAAATATATATGTCTTCCTCTCTGTTCAACAGCTACATGGTGGGCACAAGAAGATCTCATCTTACTCCAGCAAAGATGCTCTCAACAAAGGCCAGCTAGACCCTGGACATTTGGCTAAGCACTTATGAAACAGTTTTGTTCCCCTGTTAAAATCCTGCAGGGGCATGCCAGTTGGCAAACACTTGGTTTGGACAGATCTCAAATCAGACAAGAATGAGTAAGCAAAAACACTAACGTAGTGGTCTGTGTAAAAGTTCTGCATCATTAGAGAAGGAAGAACTTTCAAGAAGAAGTACAGCAAAAGCCTATTGCCAATAATGATATAATACAAGAAAGGACAATTTTACAAACTTTAACAAGGTGTCTATGACACAGGAATGCAAATTCATAAAGAAATATCAGAGTGAGAAGAAGAGATATCAAGACAAAAAGAAAAGGCAATAAGCTGAGAGGTAAGCCGGTTTGGAAAAGGTGCATGCATTTGCAAACAAAGGAGAAATGCAAAAACAGTAGCAGAATGAAAATCTGCATTAAAGGCAATGAAGAGTATTTCAAAGAAACAGAAATTTTACCACATAATGCACCCATGTACCCACCACCCAGATTTAATGATATTTTGCCTTCTTTGCTTATTTTTTAAAGAAATAACATATTACACTGAAACCCTTACCACCTACTCTATTCTTTCACTTCCCTCCCTCCACAGTGACAACTCTATTATCCTTCCTGTCCATGCTTTTAAATTTGTCCAGATTTTGATGTAACTACATAGAATATATTGTATCATTGCTGTGCCGATCTTTAAATTTACATAAATGATATTACACCATCCATATGCTTTTGCAACCTGCATGGTTCACTCTATATTGGATTTCTGAGATCTATCTAAATCCATACACATACACCAAATTAATTTTTTTTTTTTTTTTTTTTTTTTTTTTGAGACAGAGTCTCGGCTCTGTCACCCAGGCTGGAGTGCAGTGGCGCAATCTTGGCTCACTGCAAGCTCCGCCTCCTGGGTTCATGCCATTCTCCTGCCTCAGCCTCCCGAGTAGCTGGGACTACTGGCGCCCGCCACGACGCACGGCTAATTTTTTGTATTTTTAGTAGAGATGGGGTTTCACCGTGTTAGCCAGGATGGTCTTGATCTCCTGACCTCGTGATCCACCTGCCTCAGCCTCCCAAAGTGCTGGGATTACAGGCGTGAGCCACTACGCCCAGCCTAGTTAATTTTTAACTGCTCAACAGTTTTCCATTGTATATAAATTACACAATCGATGGAAAAGTGTGCTGCAATGAATACCCCCATGTGTGTCTCTTCATATATATTTGCAGGAATTTCTCTGAACTGCATATCTAGATAAAATACTACCTGGTTATTGAGTATGCGAATCTTTACCTTTATTGGATTTAGTGAAATTGCACTCCAAAGTGATTGGGTTATTTATTGGTATATAATAGTTATTTATTGGTATATAATAAATTACCCCTGAACTTTGTGGCTTAAAATAAATATTTATTATCTCAGGTTCTGTGGGTCAGAATCAGGAGCTGCTTAAGCTGGGTGGTTCTGGCTCAAGGAGTCTCCTCTGATTGCGGTCAAGACACTGACTGGGGCCACCATCATCAGAAGGCCTGACCGGGGCTGGAGGATCCATTTCCAAGATGGTGCACTCACATAGCTTTGTTCACGTGAGTTGGGAGCACTCACATGGCTCCCAACATGATGCCATTAAACATGGATTTGGAAAGAGATGTTCATAAAAGGTCTCACTTTCTTGTGGGTCTCTCCATAGGGCTTCTGAAGTGTCCTTATGACATGGGAGCTGGATCACCCCAAGCAAGTGATCAAAGACATGGGGGTAGGGGCTCTTATGACTTGGTCTTGGAAATCACACATCATCACTTCTGCCACATTGTTTTCATTAGAACTGTGTCACTGAATACAGCCAACACTTAGGGGGAAAGGAATTAGACTCCACCTTTTGAAAAATGGAGTATCAGATAATTTTTAGATGTATTTTAAAAACACCTTAATGATTGTGACAATTTACAGATCCACCATTAGTCTAGGAGTGTGTCAATTTCCCCGATAGCCTTGCCAAAACTTGGTATTAGCAGACTGTTTCATTTTTAATTGGATTTCCTTCACTGCTAGCTTAAGCATCTTTTTATATGGCTTTTACTCATTCAATTTCTTCTGCTACAAGTATGCTTTTCATCTTTATGTATTGGATTGTTTATGATTTTTGCACTGCTTTGTCCTTCTATGTTATTGTCCAGTGTCCAATTTCAATCTTATTTTTAACCCCTTTTCCCCAAAAATTAGTCAGAATTATTGTTTCTTACAATCGATACTTATGTAAACTTTTCCACAAGTTTGCCAATTTTCTGCTCATCATTGGTTCTTGCAGGCTACTCCTTTGTTCCAGATTCAATTTCTTTTTCAATGAAGTGTAAATGTAAATAAGGGGCTATAAATGGCAAGCTTTCTAAGTCTTTGTCTTAAAAAGTCTTTATTTCAACTTCATTTGAATTATGAAGGTTAACCTAGTAGAGAATTATAAATTAATGATTTCCTTAGCACTTAAAAAATGTTTTGTTGCTGATGAGAAATCTATAGGTATACTTGCTGTTCACCTATTCATACTCATTCTGGACAATTCTAAGTCATTATGTTTTCAGATATAGGTGCTCTCCAAATCTCTTTATTCTCTTTTTGGTAAGCTCTTATTAGATGTACGTTGGACCTCTTTGTTCAAGCTGGATTCTCTTGACTGGTTCACCCAAAAGCTATTCACAGTTCATCTGACTGAGGAAGCTGGGAGGCCAATAACTATTTTCCAGACTTTCTTGCTACTAAGGTTCTGGATGAAAGTTAGTTCTAATATTCAAAAGCTCTTACACAAAATTTGCAATATAGACATGAGGTGAAGGCAGTGATATACTGGTAAATGTTTAGCACTTGGTCTCAAAAAGAAACACTCTTGATGTGTAGCATTTTCCATTTTCATGGTGAAAATATTCCCAACAAGGACCAATTCCAAGCTCCCAACATGGTACCACTAAACATGGATTTGGAAAGAGATGTGCAGCAGTATACCAGCATACCACCATGAAGTATCTCCACCACACACACACAATAGGCTAAATTAACCACAAAATCACAAATAATAGTAAAATGTAGCAAAATGATTAGGAAGTGATGAATTTTAAATATTTATTACCTTGATTTTTCACTTATTTCATTGTAAGTTCATATTCCATTTTTAAGAATGAATGCATAGGCTGAGTGTGGTGGCTCACACCTGTAATCCCAGCACTTTGGGATGCCAAGGTGGGAGCCCGGAGTTCAAGACCAGCTGGGCAACATAGCAAGACCTCATTTCTACAAAAAATAAAACAATTAGCCGGGCATAGTGGTATGTGCCTGTAGTCTTAGCTACTCAGGAGGCTGAGGTTGGAGAATCGCTTAAGCCCAGAAGTTCAAGGCTGCAGTGAGCTATGATTAAACCCCTGTACTCCAGCCTGGGTAACAGAGAACGAGACCCTGTCTTAAAAAAAAAAAAAAAAAAAAAAAAAAAAAAAAAAAAAAAAAAAAAAAGGATGCATTTAATAGTCACCTCACAAAATCCCTTAAAATTTAAAAGTGGGCTCTCACAAGCCAGTATGAGCTTATGAGCTAGCTCCAGCATGTCACTGGCTGTTTCCTTGCCATGTTTTGACTTTCTACAGAAAAGAAGACATGAAAACATGACATTTTCCTGCAGCAACATTCCATTGTTCACTCTCCAGTTTCCTGGCTGTGACAAAGCAGCTATGGTGGTGGCAGCAACAGCTTCTGAATCCCCAGATCACAGCTCTAGGGGACCATTCTCTAAATGCTGGGAAGTCAAGAGAATGTTGCAGGGACAATATACAGCAGTGGCAGCCTCAGTGGTAGCAACTCTCCTGGAGAGTTGACTTTGAGTTATTCTGGAATTCATTCTGGACAACCACCTAAAATCCACTCCTTCAACCCTTGAACAGTTATGCAAGCATCAAATCCCTTATACTAAATCCCCTCCTGCTTAAAATACCCAGAGTGGTTACTGGTTCTTGAACTAAGTCTTCACTGATACATCATAGTGTTGTCCATATTCTTTAAACTCTTTTTAATTGTTCACATTTTTACCTCTCTGTGTATCTTAGAAGTAATCTCCTCAAATTATTTGCAAATTTGTACTTTCTCTTTTCAGTTTTTACTGAATGGTGGTTGAACCTGTCTACTGAATTTTTCATTTACATGACTGTATTTTCCATTTCCAGAAGTTTACTTTGGTTCTTTTATAAACACACCTCTTATTTTTCACTGAGTATCAATCTTTCATTATGATTCCTATACTTTCTTTCACCTTTTAACCATTTTTTTTTTTTTTGAGACAGAGATCTCACTCTGTCATCCAGGCTGGAGTGTAGTGGTGCAATTTGGGCTCACTGCAACCTCTGCCTCCCGGGTTCAAGCAATTCTCCTGCCTCAGCATTCCAAGTAGCTGGGATTACAGTTATGCACCACCATGCCTGGCTAATTTTTGTATTTTCAGTAGAGACAGGATTTCACCATGTTGGCCAGGCTGGTTTCGAACTCCTGCCTCAAGTGATCTGCCCACCTTAGCATCCCAAAGTGCTGGGATTACAGATGTGAGCCACTGCGCCTAGCCCTTTTAACCATTTCTGACTTATTTCATATTTTTCTTCAGAATGTCATTTTATAATTTCCATTTCTGAAGGCACTAATCCTCTTTTTGTACTACTCTGACTTTCCCAGTGACAAACTGTTTCCCAGTATTGCCTGTCATTTGTTGAGGGGAGGAACCCCAGCAGCCTTTGCAACAGGTGACGCTTTTCCCACTGGAGTTCCAAGTTCACAGAGATCCCCGTCCATCACACAGGGCATCTCACCAGTTCAGAACCAGTCATTACATTAATTCCTTAACTTAGAAGCCTGCACCACACAGGCAGTGTACATTTGGACTGCACATCCCCTGGAACACTGGCTTAGAGTTTTGATTTGTCACTGTAGCCTTTCTCTTTTGTAGCCATTGATCTGGGAAGAAAATAAGCATCACTGCTACTTTGCTGGGCCAGTGTGGAGACTGAGTCTAGCTCCCACCTGTAAGTGAAAACTGTAACCTCCACCTCCCGGGTTCAAGTGATTCTCCTGCCTCAGCCTCCCAAGTAGCTGGGATGACAGGCATGTACCACAATGCCCGGCTAATTTTTGTATTTTTGGTAGAGACAGGATTCTTCATGTTGGCCAGGCTGGTCTCGAACTCCCAACCTCAAGTGATGCACCTGCCTTGGCCTCCCAAAGTACTGGGATTACAGACATGAGCCACCGAGCCTGACCATATGTTGAAATTCTTATTGCCAATGTGATGGTATTAGCAGATAGGGGCCACCGCACTTCAGCCTGGGTGACAGAACAATACTCCATCTCAAAAAAAAAAAAAAGAATTTCAACATATGACTTTTGGGGAAACACAAACATTTAGTCCATGAATAGTAAGTTGCTACTAGGTTGTACAAGAATAATTGCAGTTATTGCCATTACTCTTGCACCAACCATTACTTTCAATGGCAAAAATCGCAATTACTCTTGCACCAACCCAATATAACAGAATATGTGGCTTAAACAACAAACATTTATTTCTCATGGTTCTCAAGCCTGGAAGGCCAAAATCAGGGTGCCAGCTTGATCAAATTCTTGATGAAGACCCTCTTCCTGGTCTACAGGGGGCCCTCTTCTCATTGTGTCCCCATGAGGTGGACAGCAGAGAGCGCTCTGGTCTCTTTGTCCCCTTATAAGAGGACATTCGTGAGGATTCCACCTCATTAGTGAATGAGGCCTCCACCTCCCACTCATTAGCAGATAGGGCCTTTGAGAGGTGATTGGGTCACTATATCATGACCCAATCACCTCTCAAAGGCCATATCTGCTAATACCATCACATTGGCAATAAGAATTTCAACATATAGTCAGGTGCAGTGGCTTATGCCTGTAATCCCAGCACTTTGGGAGGCCAAGGCAGGTGGATCACTTGAGGTCAGGAATTCGAGACCAGCCTGGCCAACATGGTGAAATCCTGTCTCTACTAAAAATATAAAAATTAGCCAGGCATGGTGGCGCATGCTTGTAATCCCAGCTACTCGGGAGGCTGAGGCAGGAGAATCACTTGAACCTGGGAGGTGAAGGTTACAGTGAGCCGAGATCGCGCCACTGCACTCCAGCTTGGGCAACAGAACAATACTCTGTCTCAAAAAAAAAAAAAAGAATTTCAACATATGACTTTTGGAGAAACACATTTAGTCCATGAATTACAGGGGGCTGGGAAACCGGAGTCTCATTTCCTATTTCCTGCCTGTGCCAGTCCAAGACCACATCTTTTGTCTCTGCATGAACATTAAAACCCCATCACCAGAGCTTTCTGGGGGGCAGGGAGGTTCCTGTTGTTCAGTAGCGCCCACTCCTATGCTTATCTCCCTGGGCTCTGAGTTTCCCCTTCCTTCCTTTCTTTCTAACTGATTTTATTCGTCAGAGCTTAGCCAGGAAAACAGAGCCTGTATCAGGCAGTTCAACAAGAGGATTTAAAACAGCTATCTACTAAGTTGTTGGAAGGGTGGAAAAGCCAAACAGAGATACTTAGCAGAGATTAGAGATGGCAGCAACGTATTCCCACCCCTAGTCTGGAAGGACGTAGGGAGAGGGTGGTACTATCAGAACCTCAAAGTTGAGTTTCCCAAAAGGATCTAGCACCGTGGTAGGGGCTGCCCAATAGGAACTAAAAGGAGAGATGGAAAGGCTTTGCTCTGCCAAGATTCAAAGCAAGAACCACTAAAAAGAGACAGCCACTGCTGGAGACAATTATCAAAAGCAGATCGAGATGGGGAAAAATACCCCAGCCTCTCTCTTTTTCCCGCCTTTTCATTTCCTGCTGGTGTCTCCTTTTGGCCAAATCAGTCAGCAGCCTATTGCCAGGGAATCTGGAAATGTAGTTTGCAAACATCAAGCCCTACCATGCAGGGTAGCAGGAGAAAAAGGCAGATAAATCCGTAAGAAAGCAGGCAGATGACCAGCAAAGTGACACGTTTGGTATTTTTTTTCTATTTTATTCTGCATTTCTATGTTGATAGCAGAAAAAGCACCCATGTTAGCTTAGGACACTGACAGAGGTAGATCTCCAGGTAACATTTTTGAACTTCAAGGATAAGAAAAAATGCTCTGAGCATTCAGGTAGAAAATACAGTTTACCGGCCAGGCACGGTGGCTCACACCTGTAATCCCAGCACTTTGGGAGGCCAAGGCAGGCAGATCACTTGAGATCAGGAGTTTGAGACCAGCCTGGCCAACATGGTGAAACCCCGCCTCTCCTTAAAAATACAAAAATTAGCCAGGCATCATGGTGCACACCTGTAATCCCAGCTACTCGGGAGGCTGAGGCAGGAGGATCACTTGAACCTGGGAGGTGGAGGCTGTGGTGAGCCGAGACCACACCACTGCACTCCAGCCTGGGCGACAGAGCATATCCACAAAAAAACAAAATGAGATTCAGTTTCCTTCAGAATAATAATGGCTTCTGAAGATTCCTCCAGAAGCAACCACAAAAACAACACTATCTCCACCTCCCGCCGCCTTGAATGGGTCACTTAAATTAAAATAAGTAGAGAAGTTTATGAAGTAAATCATGAGGAAATATTGTAAGTCAAATGTAATAGAAAATAAAGTTCTCACTTCAAACAATTCAAACTAAAAAACATTGAAGTACAGTGAAGTCCAAGTGAAAGATGATGAAGGTCATTCTATGTTTGAGGGTAAAATTCAAAATGATAGCATATTAGTCATAAACTTCTATGTACCATATCATAGCACTGTAAAGTAAAAATAATTTAAATATAAAGAAAAACTGCCTGGGCACAGTGGCTCATACTCACAATCCCCACACTTTGGGAGGTTGAGACAGGAGGATAACTTGAGGCCAGGAGTTTGAGACCAGCCTGGGCAACACAGCGAAACCTCATCTCTATGAAAAATTTAGAAATAGCCTAGCGTGGTGGTGCGCACCTGTAGTCTCAGCTACTTCGGAGACTGAGGTGGGAGGATCGTTTGAGCCCAAGAAGTCAAGGCTGCAGTGAGCATAATGTTGCCACTGCACTCCAGCTGGGACGACAAAGACTGTCTCTAAAAAAGTAATAAATAAATAAATAAATAAATAAATAAATACAGATTTTTAAAAATGGTTGAAGTCTTTAAAGACACCCTATAAGCCTCTGATAAATTACCTGGACAAAAAATAAAAACAAAAAGGATATGAAGAAAAGTGGGTATTAGGCTATGAAGGCTAATTTAATGTGTGCATTTCTGAGTGTGTGTGTCCCCCAGAGATCCGTCAAATTATCAAATATAAGACCACAGAGCAAACTTCAGCATACGTATTTAAAAAGTTGGTCTACCACAGTTGAATTTAAGTAGAGACAATAATGAAAGTCAATACTTTCAGTGTATACTGGGCAGATGATGGGTGCACCCAAATCTCACAAATCACTACTAAAGAATTTATGTAACCAAACACCACCTCTTTCCTAAAAACCTATGGAAATAAAATTTTTTTAAAATAAAATAGAAGCCAAAATTGAAAATTTTATTATATTCCCCTAAATATTTCCTAGGTCAATGTTTAAATTAAAGTTATAATTACGGGCTATCTTTAAAGTAATGAAAATGGAAACAATACTTATTTTTAAAAATAACAAAAACAATACTTATTTTTTTTAAATCACAGAGTGTAGCAAAGGAGCATTCATATGAACTTTAAAGTAGTTTTTTCCAATTCTGTGAAGAAAGGCATTGGTAGCTTGATGGGGATGGCATTGAATCTGTAAATTGCCTTGGGCAGTATGGCCATTTTCACGATATTGATTCTTCCTACCCATGAGCATGGAGTGTTCTTCCATTTGTTTGTATCCTCTTTTATTTCCTTGAGCAGTGGTTTGTAGTTCTCCTTGAAGAGGTCCTTCACATCCCTTGTAAGTTGGATTCCCAGGTATTTTATTCTCTTTGAAGCAATTGTGAATGGGAGTTCACTCATGATTTGGCTCTCTGTTTGTCTGTTGTTGGTGTATAAGAATGCTTGTGATTTTTGTACATTGATTTTGTATCCTGAGACTTTGCTGCAGTTGCTTATCAGCTTAAGGAGATTTTGGGCTGAGACAATGGGGTTTTCTAGATATACAATCATGTCGTCTGCAAAGAGGGACAATTTGACTTCCTCTTTTCCTAATTGAATACCCTTTATTTCCTTCTCCTGCCTAACTGCCCTGGCCAGAACTTCCAACACTATGTTGAATAGGAGTGGTGAGAGAGGGCATCCCTGTCTTGTGCCAGTTTTCAAACGGAATGCTTCCAGTTTTTGCCCATTCAGTATGATATTGGCTGTGGGTTTGTCATAGATAGCTGTTATTATTTTGAAATACATCCCATCAATACCTAATTTACTGAGAGTTTTTAGCATGAAGGTTGTTGAATTTTGTCAAAGGCTTTTTCTGCATCTATTGAGATAATCATGTGGTTTTTGTCTTTGGCTCTGTTTATATGCTGGATTACATTTACTGATTTGCGTATATTGAACCAGCCTTGCATCCCAGGGATGAAGCCCACTTGATCATGGTGGATAAGCTTTTTGATGTGCTGCTGGATTCAGTTTGCCAGTATTTTATTGAGGATTTTTGCATCAATGTTCATCAAGGATATTGGTCTAAAATTCTCTTTTTTGGTTGTGTCTCTGCCCGGCTTTGGTATCAGAATGATGCTGGCCTCATAAAATGAGTTAGGGAGGATTCCCTCTTTTTCTATTGATTGGAATAGTTTCAGAAGGAATGGTACCAGTTCCTCCTTGTACCTCTGTAGAATTCGGCCGTGAATCCATCTGGTCCTGGACTCCTTTTGGTTGGTAAACTATTGATTATTGCCACAATTTCAGCTCCTGTTATTGGTCTATTCAGAGATTCAACTTCTTCCTGGTTTAGTCTTGGGAGAGTGTATGTGTCGAGGAATTTATCCATTTCTTCTAGATTTTCTAGTTTATTTGCGTAGAGGTGTTTGTAGTATTCTCTGATGGTAGTTTGTATTTCTGTGGGATCGGTGGTGATATCCCCTTTATCATTTTTTATTGTGTCTATTTGATTCTTCTCTCTTTTTTTATTAGTCTTGCTAGCGGTCTATCAATTTTGTTGATCCTTTCAAAAAACCAGCTCCTGGATTCATTGATTTTTTGAAGGGTTTTTTGTGTCTCTATTTCCTTCAGTTCTACTCTGATTTTAGTTATTTCTTGCCTTCTGCTAGCTTTTGAATGTGTTTGCTCTTGCTTTTCTAGTTCTTTTAATTGTGATGTTAGGGTGTCAATTTTGGATCTTTTGAATGTGTTTGCTCTTGCTTTTCTAGTTCTTTTAATTGTGATGTTAGGGTGTCAATTTTGGATCTTTCCTGCTTTCTCTTGTGGGCATTTAGTGCTATAAATTTCCCTCTACACACTGCTTTGAATGCGTCCCAGAGACTCTGGTATGTTGTGTCTTTGTTCCCGTTGGTTTCAAAGAACATCTTTATTTCTGCCTTCATTTCATTATGTACCCAAGGAGCATTCAGAAAAAAAGTTTTGTTATTTAAATGTTCTCTTTTATCTTAAAGAGGAAAAAACACTAAGTCCTCAATGCTAACTTCTTAGTTAAAAAATAACAACAAAATAAATTAAGAAAATAGGAAAAAAAGGAAATAATGAAAGTGAATTAGAAAACAGATAATTTGAAAAAGCTAGTTCTCCAGAACAAAACCAATAAACAACAAATCTCTGACAGGTTTATTAAAACAAATATAGAAAGCATAAATAGATAACATCCTGAAATATGGGAATTCTACATGCAACTCCAGACTAATAAATTTTAAAACACTGGTTAAATGAATAACTTTGCACTCAAGATAAAGAAAGTGGATTTTTTTAGCGAAAACAAGATGATTT
Organism: Homo sapiens; assembly: GCF_000001405.40. Classification (NCBI taxonomy): domain Eukaryota; kingdom Metazoa; phylum Chordata; class Mammalia; order Primates; family Hominidae; genus Homo; species Homo sapiens. The sequence continues at coordinate 72,297,571 of NC_000007.14, forward strand.
AATATTATTCACACTTATTGAAAACCTTGACATAACACTTTGTTATACAGTAATTTGAAGATTTGGTTTTGGGTTGAGTTTATTTCCAGACTTTATTTTCATGTCTGCCATAACCAAAAATACACCTCCGTAAGAGACACAGATCCAAATGGAAGAAAAATGTCATTGGCAGTATTTACGAAGTCATAATATTCATTCTTCAATTCCATCTGACAAGCATGCCAAGGTTTTTGCTGACATTTGGCTGGTGAAGTTTCATCTTCCCTAACGTCAACAGATGATTTTGCAAACTGAAAGCAGTTGCATTTTCATATTTTTAACAAATGAGTCTGAAACTCCCTTGATCTCTTCATTTGGAAGTTTCTCACACAGTTGACAAAGTTCTGTTTCCAGATTTTTGAACTTTACAGAGTAGAGTTTGTAGATAGTGCACTCACCATCTTATTATTTTTTTTAGCTACAAAATCACATAATAGTTGAGACATTTCCAAAAACATCTATTTTCAAAAATGTTCTTTCCACAGCATAAGGTTCCTTTGAGAAGCGGTGATTTCCTCAATCTTTGTTAAAATGTCATCTTTACCTGTGTATGGCCAACAACATCCCACCATCTCAGAAAAGACCAGAAAGTGTAGATCATTTGACTGTTTATGACAGAAAGCGTGCGACTCTTATTTGTGTTTGACAATTCACTTAAGAACTTTGCCCTGAAATAAGACGCACACTTTGTTGTGGCACAAAAGCCACCTGCAGCCATCTTCCATCTCATCTCAAAGATGTAGGCCAGTGAGAGTCAATAGAGATCTACATTTTAAATTGTCTTTTGGAAGTCTGTTAATCGTTTTGGCCAACTTCTGTCCAATCTGATGAACTCCTCAGTGCTCTAACTCATAGAGTAACTAATGAAGGGCTCCTTTTGGGAGCAAAGGAAATGTCAGCTTGGTCACTGTCTTGGGGTCTACTTGGGCCTGTTAGATCAGCATGATCAAAAGCTGAGGTTTCTTGGTAGACGTTCTGTAAAGCCTCTTGCCCATTATCTATTAGTCTAGTTGAAGCAAATTAATATAATCTGTAAATCCCTGATATGGTTTGGCTTCATCCCAAGCCAAATCTCATCTTGAATTCCCAAATGTTGTGGGAGGGGCCTGGTGGGAGGTGACTGAATTATGGGGGCGGGTCTTTCCTGCACTGTTCTTGTGATAGTGACTGAGTCTCAAGAGATCTGATGGTTTTAAAAAAAAAAAAAAAGAGGGGAGGGGTGCGGAGTTTCCCTGCACAAACTCTGCTTTTGCCTGCCGCCATCCACGTCAAGTCGTGACTTGCTCCTCCTTGCTTTCCTCCGTGATTGTGAGGCCTCCCCAGCCATGTAGAACTGTAAGCCCAATTAAACCTCTTTCTTTTGTAAATTGTCCAGTCTCTGGTATGTCTTTATCAGCAGCTTGAAAATGAACTAATACAATCCCCCTAACCAGGCACTTGTGTCACAAGTCACTGGAAGGTACCACAGTACCTCCCAGTGTGAGATGCTCTCCTTTTCCTAAACACTTCACACCAGACCAGACAGCATATGGGCAACTGAAGGCGGCAGTGTCATTCTCTACTGTAGATAATCAGTAAAGTATAATTTCCTCCTTTTATTCTTATACTCCAAAAAAACCCTTACATGCCCTCCCCTTTGAAAATCAGGCAGAGAAATTACCATGAAACAAGGAAAAAGACAAGAAGCCCATTATGTCCACTATTAAATAACACTATCCTAGAAATTCTACTTAATGCAGTAAAGCATGAACACAATAAGAGACTATTTAAGAGGAGAAAAACTAAAAAATAAAAATGAAAAGCCTAGAGTGAAATACATGTAAATATTTAACTCATCTTTCATAGTTAAGAGGCAGAAATTACAAAGGAAAAGATGAATAGCCTTGCCAGTATAAAAATACAAACTTCTAAACATTATAAACGATATAAATAAAGGTAATAGGCAAACAGGGAATGCAAAGACTGTATGATCAGACAATTCACAAAACTGGAAAGACAAAGAATTAATAAAGTATGCAAAAACAACAGTTGATCTCACAAGTAACCAAAGAAATACAATTTTTTAAAAGATGCTCTTATCTTTTTTTTTTTTTTTTTTTTTAAAAAGAGAGACTGAGGTCCTGCTGTGTTGCCCAGACTGGTTTCAAACTCCTGGGTTCAAGGGATCCTCCTGCCTCGACCTCCCAAAGTGCTAGCATTACAGGCCTGAGCCAGCATGCCTGACCATGTTATCTGCTTTTTCAATGGGGGAGAGTTTTTGTTTCAATTTTTGTTTTGTTTTGTTTTTTTGTTTGTTGTTTTTTTCTGAGACGGAGTCTTGCTCTGTCACCCAGGCTGGAGAGCAGTGGCACGATCTCTGCCTCCCCGGTTTAAGCATTCTCCTGCCTCAGCCTCTGAAGTAGCTGGGATTACAGGCGCATGCCACCATGCCCAGCTAATTTTTTGTATTTTTAACAGAGATAGGGTTTCACCATGTTGGCCAGGCTGGTCTCGAACTCCTGACCTCATGATCCGCCCACCTCGTCCTCCCAAAGTGCTGGGATTACAGGCATGAGCCACCATGCCCAGCCCTTTTTCAAGTTGTTTTTAACATACTGGTGAGAATGTAATGGGACTGATACTTCATAGCAATTGAAACAACAGTTCAGAGAAAGTAATTTGGCCATTCTGCATCACAAGTCTGAAAAAAATAGTTCTGGCCCTTTGACCCTGTAACTCTATTTTTTTTTTCAGTCTGTCCTGAGATGTAGCCAAAGATTTGTGTATCAAGAAAAGGCACTGCGTTGTATTTTTAATGAACAACAACAACAAAAAAGATAAAAACAAGAAAAAAAAACAGTTAAAAATACAGAAATCAATAAGCAAAGTGCATTCATATCAGAGTATGTTGTGGATCAAAGACGCTCACTAAAATTTTAATGACATCCAAACATCTTTATAATGTACCACTAACTCTAATACGTGTTTCAACTGAGAAAAACGAACACACTTCTCTCCTAAAATTCTATTACAATCATGATATAGGGAACAAAATAGAATAAGTGCATAAACACAGATGTATGTATTTAAGTATAAACTGTATTTGTCTAATTATATTTATAGCCAGTCACGGTGGCTAATGCCTGTAATCCCAGCACTTTGGGAGGCCAAGAGGGGGCAGATCACTTGAGGTCAGGAGTTCGAGACCAGCCTGGCCAACATGGCGAAACCCCGTCTCTACCAAAAATACAAAAATTAGCTGGGCATGGTGGCACGTGCCTGTAATCCCAGCTACTCTGGAGGCTGAGGCAGGAGAATCGTTTGAACCCCCGAGGTTGGAGGTTGCAGTGAGCTGAGATCATGCCACCACACTCCAGCCTGGGTGACAGAGTGAGACTCTGTCTCAAATAAATAAATAAAAATGTAAATAAGCACAGAATATCAGGGAAAGACCATCATTGGCCCAAAAACTTTGGCAGATCCCTGGAGGGCAGGATGAATTCATCCATCTTTACAGACGTAATTGGGCAGACAGAAGCCAGGCTGAAAGCATGCAAACTGGAAAGAAAGTGGAGGAGGGAGAAGCGCTGAGAGCACACAGAGTATAGTCCCAGTCAGCAGTTGCTAAGATCTGGACTGGAGACAGGGTGGACAGGGGGTGACTGATTTAAGTCCTTCACTTAGATCAGCTTGCTGGGTTTCCCACCCCTAGAAAAAGATCCTCTTAAAAGCAAGCAGGCCGGGCTGGGTGGCTCACACCTGTAATCCCACCACTTTGGGAGGCCGAGGCAGGTGTATCACTTGAGGTCAGGAGTTCGAGACCAGCCTAGCCAACATGGTGAAACCCTGTCTCTACTAAAAATACAAAAATTAGCCTGGCTTGGTGGCGCATGCCTGTAGTCCCAGCTACTCGGGAGGCTGAGAGAGGAGAATCGCTGTAACCCAGGAGGCAGAGGTTGCAGTGTGCTGAGATCACGCCACTGTACTCCAGCCTGGGCGACAGAGCAAAGACTTTGTCTCTCAAAAAAAAAAAAAAAAAAAGCAAGCAGTGATCTGCCTGAGGAGTAGATCTGACGTTGATCTCCCAGAGTAAGGCCTTCATCTCCTGGCATTTACATGGGGCATCCTGTTCACCCCTTCCCAGTCTTGAACCCTACAATGAAGCCTACTGGTCAACATGCCCCACTGCTATAAAAGAGTTTGCAGCCATTGGTCTCATTCAGAGAGAAAGGCTGCTACTAAAACCTGCCTCTTATCACAGCCCATCACATTCAGAAACGCCAGGAATGGCAATGACCAAACAAGGATTGCCAGACACTTCAAGAAAACCAGTGTCACCGACAAGCAGGACAGAAAAGGTGACCCCAGACACAGCAAGGATGATCCTGGAAAAAAGAAGAGACCTTGGAAGAATTTTAATGTAATGCTTCAGGGAGAGCTGAGAGGCTGCTAAAAAAAAAACAGTCTGAGATGAGGAATTGAAGAAAGTTTAAAGAACTGATGAAATAGGAGAGAAAATTCAAATTGTATACACAGTGAATTACTGCAGATGCGTTTCAGAACAAGAGAACAGAGACCACGGAGAGGAAATAATACAAGAGAAATTCCCAGAGCGGATGAGATGAAGCTTGAGACTGAAAATGCCTGTCAGCTGCTATATGGGATAAATGAAAAGACCCACAAAGAGCCAAACCTCATAAAATTTCAGAACATCAGAATTAAAGAAAGCACCTAAAGCCCTAGAGGAAGGAACGGACAACGTTTTAATGAATGGCGATCATGCTGACATTAAACTGCACATCAGCATCATCAGACACGAGATAACAGTGGAGCAAGTGGTCTGGACATCACAGGAAAAACTAATTTACACCCAGTCAAAATCCAATCAAGACAGAGGCTTAGAAAGTTTACAATTTGGCTGGGCGTGGTGGCTCAGGCCCATCATCCCAGTACTTTCGGAGGTGCAGGCATTCCAGATTAGCCAGCATACCAAGCCCCCATCTCTACAAAAAATACGAAAACAGGATGAGCGCAGTGGCTCACACCTGTAATCCCAGCACTTTGGGAGGCCAAGGCACGTGGATCACTTGAGGTCAGGAGTTCATGACCAGCCTGGCCAACATGGTGAAACCCCGTCTCTACTAAAAATACAAAAAATTAGTCAGGTGTGATGGTGGGCACCTGTAGTCCCAGCTACTAGGGAGACTGAGGCACGAGAATTGCTTGAGCCCAGGAGGCGGCGGATGTTGCAGTGAGCCGAGATCGCGCCACTGCACTCCAGGCTTGGAGAGAGAGTGAGGGTCTCAAAAAAAAAAAAAAAAAAAAAAAACGAAAAGAATCCGGGCCTGGTGGCATCCATCTGTAGTCCCAGTTACCACAGAGACTGAGGCAGAAGGATCCCTTGAGCCCAGGAGTTCAGGAGTTCAAGGATACAGTGAGCTATGATGGTGCCATTGCACTCTAACCTGGTGACAGAGACAGACCCTGTCTCAAAAAAAAAAGAAAAGGAATTTTACAATTCATAGACATCATCTAAAAAGAAATCACTCAGTGAATTATTTCAGCAACATGCAAAAGGAGTCCAAGAAATGAGAGAAAATGAGATCTAATTCATGAGATGGATTCTAACAATGAGGTGAGAGCCCAGAAGACCACAGTGGGGGCAGGTGTTGTAAATCAGTGCCAAGGAGGACAGGAAGAAGTGAACTTCCAGCATCAGTGCATTAAAGAAACTGCATACCAGGTGGCCAGATCATCTGAGGTCGGGAGTTCAAGACCAGCCTGACCAACATGGAGAAACCCTGTCTCTACTAAAAATACAAGCCAGGCGTGGTGGGGCATGCCTGTAATCCCAGCTACTTGGGAGGCTGAGACAGGACAATCCCTTAAACCTGGGAGGCAGAGGCTGCGGTGAGCCAAGATCGCGCCATTGCACTCCAGCCTGGGCAACAAGAGCGAAACTCCATCTCAAAAAAAAGAAAAAGAAAAAAAAAAAAGAAACTGCATATGCTTAGTGAGAAGGAGAATCCAGCATCAATATTAAATATCAAATAAATACAATGAGAGTGGGCTCGCCCTCCCTCCTTCACTCTCTTTTCCAATTTATTTATCCTTTCCTCCTATAAATGTTACAGCACTAGGTGGGGTGTGCTGGCTCACATCTGTAAACCCAACACTTTGGGAGGCCGAGGCAGGAGGATCCCTTGAGCCCAGGAGATCAAGGCTTAGTGAGCTCTGATCATGCCACTGTACTCTCATCTGGGTGACAGAGCAAGACTCTGTCTCGAGAAAATAAAAAGTAAATGTTATGGGATTGCTTGTATCATATTTGTTTCTGCAGTGAGTAATTATTTACATAATCATAGTAATCATATTCACAAAATCTTTGGTTTTGAATTTGAAATAGGAGAATCATGGAAATTTCAGATAGAGAACAAATGTAAATGCCTGCCACTCTAAGAGTCAGTAATACAGAAGACAAGCTGCAAAAAAGAAGAAAGAAATGAAGAGGTGCTAAGCCCTCCCCCGAAACCACCGTCTTTCAGACTGGGAGGTCCAAAGGTATGGTTTCAAGTTAATAAAGAAAGACTTAAGTTTATAAGCTAAAGCAATAAAGCTATTCAATTCAGATTGGAAAAATAAAAATGTGACTGGCAGAGACTGGGATGGGAAAGGGGAAAGACTCCACGTTCTTCCTGTCTTTCAAAGGAGAGGATGGAGAGATCCCATTTCAAGTGGATGCTCAAAACCACATAAGGTTGGGCACAGTGGCTCATGCCTGTAATCCCAGCACTTTGGGAGGCCAAGGTGTTCGGGGGCCAGGAAGGGGGGATTGCCTGAGCCCAGGAGTTCCAGGCCAGCCTGGGCAACAACAGGAAGGCCCCATCTCTACAAAATTAAAATGAATTTTAAAAAAAATCAAGTAAGCACTTTACTTGGAGTGATTTCATCCACCAGAATCACTGAGATGAAAAATGGCTTACAATGCTTGCCTCTGACATGGGGGGGGTATAGCTGCCAGCGTCTCTTTTACGTCTATCTACTTATATTTTGTTTTTTTATTATCCTATTCTTATATTACTTTCATTAGGTCAGGCCATAAAATCCTATGTAGGGCATAATCACAACTATATAAATATAATTACCTGGCCTACCTAGCCACATACATATATATTTATAGAGATATATAAAGTTCTTCAAAGGATATAAACCAAAATGTAAATACTAGTTATTGCTGAGTGATGAACTTACTGTTGTTGTATATTTAGTTGTTTAACCTCTCCACACTTAGTGACATGGGTCTATTTCATTTTTACAGCTAGAGAGAAATTAAAATGATTTTACAAATGAAAGAGCCTGGCTGGAATTTCCTCCACGTGGGAGTAAGGCCCCAGGAAGCCCTCAGACAGGACCAAGGCTGCCTGATGGCCACGGCTACAGTGACCTGCAGCCTCGCATGTGACCTGCTGTCTGCAGCCCAGGCCTCCAAAGAGAGCCTGGGTTGGAACCCTTTAAGGGCCCGTGTTAACAGCTGGCTGTGTCAGCCAGGACAGACATGTGCCTCCCATCCCAATTTTGATTTTGATTGGGACTGGCCCCCAGAGAACTGCGGAGGATTGCAAACCTTCAGGTAATTAGATGAACGCTCCTGCTGGAAGAAATCCTGCACCAGCTTCACAAGGATGCCGGCGCTGGCCTGCCGACAGGAATGCTTTTGGCAGGTGATTTTGAGTTGTTCTTTCTGAAAGTAATTACACAAAAAGTTCCACTGCTTGTTAAGGCTCCTTCTTAAGGCTGTTTTGATCTCTTTTAATTAATAAGTTGAATATGGAAGGATTTAATTGTGATGAATTTCTATGTAACTTCCTTCAAGATCCCCACGTAAAGTGGTCCTGCTAAGTCCACCATACACTTCTAGCTGCTCAGACACCTGTATCAAACCGAGAGCCTTAGATAGCTTTCTGCAAAGTTTGAGAGAATCCTGCTGGCTGAGGCCTCTCCCAAGACAGTGAGAGGTCAGGGATTATTTGATCTACGGGAAATAACTGCACACTGTACCCAACATTGATTGTTGAGAGTTCTCTAGAACAGCACTTTTAAGACTTTAGTAGCTTAGTTTGCTCAGGTTACCGTAACAAAAGACTACAGACCGGGTGGCTTAAACAACAGAAATTAATTTTCTTATAGCCTGAAGGCTGGATGTCTAAGATCAAGAGGTCAACATGGTCAGGTTCTGATGAGGACTCTCTTCCTGGCTTACAAATGGCCACCTTCTTGCTCTGTCCTCACATGGTCGGGGAGAGACAGAAAGAGGGAGAGAGGGCAAGCTCTCTGGTATCTCTACTTATAAGGGCACTAAATTCCATTATGAGGGACCCACCCTCAAGACATCATCTAAACTTAATTACCTCCTGAAGACTAAAGTTACCTTGCCCAAATTCCTATCTAAGGGGTCTAGGGAGTCATGCCCTACAAACCATAAACACTCATCAGATGGGTTTTATCTAACCTTGTATATCATGACTTACTTTCCAAACTGACACTGGTATAACATGACAAGACAAGGAAGAAAATCAAAAAATTTTACCCCAAAACATGTTTCTTTGCCATATTTTGAAATGGTCCTGCAAAGCTGTCCTTTGTGGGGGAAAATGTACATCTGTAAAGAATCTCTATTCACATAGCTAGATCTTTTTCTTCCAGGCCCTCCCAATCCTGAAGAGATTAAGTAAGAGTCTAGCAATTTTTTAAAGGTCTGAATAGAAAACATTTGTCATCTATCTATCTGTCTCTAACGGCAGCCACTATAAGCCTTCAGAAGAAGGTCTCCACAGTCTTTTATCTTAACCTAAACATTTCCTTTCTATGGAACCCAGGTCTTTAGACAAACTCAACCAATTGTCAATCAGAAGATGTTTAAATTTATGGTGTACTTGGTTTCTCCAGTCGCCCACCTGGCCTTCCAATCTGTACTTTCCTTCTTTTCTTTTCCTACTGTTCTAAAGCTTTTAAATAAACTCTCATTCCTGCTCTAAAAAAAAAAAGAAGAAAAAAAAAGAAAAGAAAAATAAAAAAGAAAATGTTTAAATTTACCTATAGCCTAGAAGCCCCCATTTTGAGTTATCCCCTCTTTCTGGACCAAACTATTATGTTTCTTAAATGTATTTGATTGATGTCTCATCCCTCCCTAATATGTATAAAACTAAGCTGTGCCCTGACCACCGTGGGCACCTGGTTCTCAGGACCTCTTGAGGGCTTTGTCTCGGGCCATGGTCACTCCTATTTGGCTCAGAATAAATCTTTTCAGGTATTTTACAGAGTCTGACTCTTCGTTGACACTCCCAAAACCCCATCTCCAGATAGCATCACACGGAAGAGAGGAAGAGCCTCAACATGTGAATTTGGGGTTGGGGGACACAGTTCAGTCCACAGCACTAACTAGGTCGACAGCAAATATGATTGAAGACAGACAAAGTCAGGCAGGGGCCCTAGCCAGACTTCTGTTTTTGGTTTTTGCTTTTTGTAATTTTTTTTAAACTCAAATTAGCCCTATCTCAGCAGAAGAGGCTTTTAAGAGATTCAAGCAGAAAGGTACAGGACCTCTGGAGATTGGCTTCATTTTGGCCAATTAACATAAAATGAATAGTATGTAAATTAGATTCATTCAATCCATCATTCAGATGGAAAGCCATTTGAAACTTACATGTTATTTTTGAGTTGACAGCATGAGAATGTTTGGAAATAAGACTACAGCACAGAGGACAAAGATTGCATTATTTTTTCCTGAGGTTTCTTCTCATTCTGCCATAAAACTGAGGGCACACCCTACGAAGGCTGAAGCCCGTCTGGCCGCAAGAGAGGTCAGTTCATTCACTCGGTCGCTCGTGCAGTGCAGTGGGCATTTAACGCATCTAATGGGCTGTGATCCTCGGATGGTATCAGAGCAGAAGTCACAGCCTGTGGCCTCGCAAAGCTTGCAGAATAGCTATGATATGATATTATCTGGGCAATGCGACTGCCTGAGAGCTACGCATATTCAAAGACAGCAGAGTAGGGACTAGAAGCAACCTCCTGGCTGAGCCTCTGGTGCAGATGCCGTGGGGAGGTGACGCTGGTCACAGACTTCCCAATGCAGACACAGACACTAGTGCCCTGCAGAGAGCAGCCGGCAACAGGGATGTCACCAGCAGGACACAAGATCATCCCAACAGCCGGGCAGAGGACAATGACTGAAAGACGGCTGTTGCCTCAGGACATCTGCTGGCAAGAGGAGGGTCCCAGACGACAAGAGAAGCAAAAGGCAGAGACAAAAAAAAAAAAATGAACACAACCTAACCCAAGAGGGTGAGTTCACCAGAAGGACATTTCGTGAGTCCTCTCACTCACTAACCTTCACAAAGACACGGTGATGGACAGAAATCTGCTACAAGAAATCAGAACTTTTCTTTGCTCAAGATGTGTAATAAACAAAACGACAGAAATCCACAAACTAGGGCTGGGTGCAGTGGCTCACACCTGTAATCCCAGGACTTTGGGGGGCCGAGGCAGGTGGATTGCTTGAGGTCAGGGGTTTGAGGCCATCCCCGCCAACATGGCAAAACCTCACCTCTACTAAAAATACAAAAATTAGCCAGGCATGGTGGTATACACCTGTAATTTCAGCTACTTGGGAGGCCAAGGCACAAAGATCATTTGAACCAGGGAGAAGGAGGTTGCAGTGAGCTGAGATTGCACCACTGCACTCCAGCCTGGGCCACAGAGTGAGATGCTGTCTGTGGGGGGGGGAGAGAGAGAGAGAGAGAGAGAGAGAGAGAGAGGAAAGAAAGGAAAGAAAGAAGAAATCCACAAAGTACCACCAAAGCTTGAGCTGCTTGGATGCAATGCCCTCCCAGTGTCAAGCCCAATGTCAGATATACAAGGAATATTTGAAAATGTTTGCTGAATGCACGAATGAATGAATGAATGAACGATATGAGGGATCCTGTCCCCCTGGGAACTGCAATGAAAACATTGCAGATGACATAAAATGATGAGTCCCCCAGAGCTACCATCCTCCCATGTCCTTCTGATGAACTCACACTCTTGGGTTAGGTTGTGTTCATTTTTTTTGGTCTCTGCCTTTTTGCTTCTCCTGTCAGCTGGGACCCTCCTCTTAGTTCCTTCCCGGAACAAAACACAACCTCAAGGTCGGTGGGGGCAGAACAATAAAAACTTGGGTGAAGAACTTTCATGGAGTGATAATGATTCTAGAAGCTTCCCTGGGGATCATTCCCATCTGGCATGTATGCAAGTACCAAAGGAAAATTTTGCATGAAATTCCATGCAACTAACTCATGCAGGAAAATAGTAAACATTTTTAGAGGGCTCACTATGTGCTAGGCAATTCTAGGCAATGTTAAGTAATGTCTCAGTTATACCTTATCCCCATTTTATAGATGGGGAAATGGAGCACAGGCCAATTAAATAACTGGTTCAAAACTGCAGAGTTAGTAAGTGGTAGACCAGGCAGTTTAGCTCCAGAGGCAACAGCTTGCACAAGCTCTATAGCCTGCCTTTTTCATTTTCTCACCTAAGCCAGGAACCTGGAGGGAGGCTCTACGGGAGGGAGACTATTCAGAACTCATCCTGAGCCAGATGGAGAAGACACAACTAAAGGCATTCATTTATCCTAGAAATCCATGCCGGTCCTGTTCATCTTTCTGAAGTCACATTCTGAGCCAGGGCCTCCACTCTTTGAAACATACACATCAGTCTGTGTGCAAATAAATCCACTGGCACCCAAGAAGGGACTCAAAAGGGTCCCAAGGAACTCAGGAATGGACCCCTCTCTTCTGATGGAGCACATGTCCCGTGCAAGGTCCTGTGGCCTGGAAACACAGCCCTGGCAGGTGTCAAAGGTGCTACAGAAAAGAATAGGGGAGGGGGGCTCACAAGGGTTACACGGGACTCAAGGAACGGCAACATGCGTGACCAAGGGAGGGAAGCCACCTTCAAGAGCCCTTGGCGGAGGGCATGGGAGGGAAGCTGATGAATCAGAAGTGGCAAGCAGGGAAGGGCAGGGAGAGGCAAAACAAGCACAAGTGCAAGGTCCCCCGCTGTGCACTGTCGTCTCCTGTCCCACAGCCGGCCAAGAAAGACAGCGCTGGACCACTTCCCACATTCTGCTCCAAGCCAAAGAGGTCCAAAAGCCAACCTCATTTAGTCATCTCTCTACTCTCTCCTGAAACGACCTTCCTTCATCACCAGGTCCAGGGAGATTTGCTGACTTTGAATCAGAAACTTAACCTGCGCTTCCCGCTTCAAGGCTATCCAGGGCCAGGGGCAAGCCTGGACAAACTCCGATGCCCTCCAAGGGGCCCTGCCAGCATTCTCTTCCCTGAGCACTGCACCCTGTTCACATCGGTCCGCCAGCATCCCCCAGGGATGCCCCCACACTGCCCTCCATGTCTTCATTCTCTGACTACTCATGGCTACTAGCTGACTGTTATAACGTCCTGATCAAGGACTTGCTCAGGAAGGAGGAGTTCTGCAACCCTTAAGTCTCTAGATATACAAAGAGAGGCAGCCTAGTAGATTGGTCTGGTTTTCAAGCCAAAAAGCCCCCTGACCTAGTCCTGGCTCTGAAAAACCCTAGACAGCACAATGCTACTCCATCTTAGTTTTGCCATGGATCAAATGGGAGTTGTAAGGTATCTACCTCATTGAGCCATTGTGAGGGTTAATTGATATGATCCAGAAGATACTTATCACAGAGGCTGATATGTGGTCAGAAGATAATGCATCCAGCTCTTGGCATTCGAGATACTACCTAATAACAATGGCAATGGCCTAGATGCAGCAGTGCTAATATCAGTAGACAAGGAACAGAGGGCAGAACAAAAGGAATCTTGGCTTCTGTGGTTATAATATTGACATCACCCTAGTGCCATTTAGATAATACCTTGGGTAGTGCCAGCTCTCAGCCATGTGCTGGCATGGTGTGGCGGTGGACACTTGATGCATCTGGTGACATCTACATCAAAACGTAAGAGCAGGCCAGGCATGGTGGCTCATGCCTATAATCCCAGCACTTTGGGAGGCCAAGATGAGTGGATCACCTGAGGCCGGGAGTTCGAGACCAGCCTGGTCAACATGATGAAACCCTATCTCTACAAAAAATACAAAATTAGCCGGGCATGGTGGTGGGCACCTGTAATCCCAGCAACTCAGGAGGCTGAGGCAGGAGAATCACTTGAACCCGGGAGGTGGAGGTTGCAGTGAGCCGAGATCACGCCACTGCACTCTGTCGCCAGCCTGGCGACAGAGCAAGACTCCGTCTTAAAAAAAAAAAAAAAAAAAAACAAAAATAAAGAAGAAGAAAATATATATATACGGTGGATCCTTAAACAATATGACATTGAAAGGCACGGGTGTACTTATGCATGGAATTTTTCCAGTTATGCCAAGTGTGCCTTTCTCTCCTGCATCCCTTCCCACCTCCTCCACCTCTTCCGACTCTGCCACCCCTTGGGGAACAAGACCAGCCCCTCCTCCTCCTCTTCAGTCTACTCAACGCAAAGATGATGAGGATGAAGACCTCTATGATGACCTACTTCCATTTAACGAATAGTAATAAATAGATTTTCTCTTCTATATGGTTTCCTTAATAACATTTTCTTTTACTAATAACATTTTATTTTACTTTACTGTAAGAACACAATATATAATATATCAAATACACAAAATATGTGTTAATTACCTGTTTACATTATTGGTAAGGCTTCCAGTCAACAATAGGCTATTAGTAGTTAAGTTTTGGGGGGAGTCAAAAGTTATGTGAATTTTTTACTGTGCAGAGGGTCAACACCCCAACCTTGCATTGTGGAAGGATCAACTGTATTTCTTTTTTCTTTTTTGTGTGTGTGTGTGTAAGACAAGGTCTCACTCTGTTGCCCAGGCTAGAGTCCAGTGGCTTGATCTCGGCTCACTGCAGCCTCAACCTCCCCGGCTCGAGCAATCCTCCCACCTCAGCCTCCCAAGTAGCTGGGACTACAGGCACATGCCACCACAACGCCTGGCTGAGATTTTTTTTTTTTTTTTTTTTTTTTTTGTAGAGATGGGGTTTTGCCATGTTGCCCAGGCTGGTCTCGAACTCCTGAGCTCAAGCGATCCACCTGCCTCAGCCTCCCAAACTGCTGAGATTACAGGCGTGAGCCACCACCGCGCCTGGCCATCACCTGTATTTCAAGCAAAGTAAGGTGATCTGTGAAGGGTTTGAATGCCACAACAAGGCTCAGACTTTGAAGAAAAATAGGAATGATCCAAAGAAACATGAAAGATCCAAGAAATGAGCATAGGAGAGTGATGGGAAAGAAGGAAGAGGAAAACAACAGTGGCTTCCAAGACCCAGTGGCAGAAGCAACCTGCCACAGGCGCCACTTCCAGCTGAGTAAGATCCATGTCCCCAAAGGATACTGTTGACATTTCTGGACATTGCTAAAAGCCACCTGCCCTAGACTACAAGAAGCATTCTGGTTTCAACAAGTCACTCCCAGGCTGGGCGCAGTGGCTCACACCTGTAATCCCAGCACTTTGAGAGGCTGAGGCCAGAGTATCACTTGATGTCAGGAGTTCGAGACCAGCCTAGCCAACATGGTGAAACCCTGTCTCTACTAAAAATACAAGAATTAGCAGGGTGTGGTGGTGCATATCTGTAATCCCAGCTACTCGGGAGGCTGAGGCAGGAGAATCACTTGAACCCAGCAGGCAGAGGTTGCAGTGAGCCATTGCAATCCAGCCTAGACAACAGAGTGAGACTTCATCTCAGAAAAAAAAAAAAAAAAAAAAAGTAAGTCACTTCCCTATAATATTTTGGATTTTGTTGTTCACCCCATGTTATACCTATAAGCCATGTGCCCCAGGACAGACAGCGCTGGGCCACTTTGCAGTTGAGGGGGCAGAAAATTGGGTTGCAGGTGAGCCATGTATACCTAGAGATCCTCGTGCTAGGAGATATTTTTTCTTTTGCAAATTCAAAATGTAACTTTGGAAAAGATGCCTCAGGTTCAGAAAATTCAGAAAGGACAAGTAAGTCAAAGAAAGAAGGACAATGGCATCATTGAAAAGGAAAACAAACAGTTATGACAAGTTGAAAGATTTGGGACAACTAGAAAAATAGTGACCACAAAGATCATGCTTATTTTCCTATTGAAAAAAATATGGATAATTTTAAAATAGAAGAGAGAATAAGGGAACATTTGCCCTATCATAATTTTTTTTTTTTGAGATACACAGTCTCATTCTGTCGCCCAGACTGGAGTACAGTGGTGCAATCTCGGCTCACTGCAACCTCCACCTCCCGGGTTCAAATGATTCTCCTGCCTCAGCCTCCCAAGTAGCTGGGACTACAGGCATATGCCACCATACCCGGCTAATTTTTGTGTTTTTAGTAGAGACAGGGTTTCACCATGTTGGCCAGGCTGGTCTCGAACTCCTGACCTCAGGTGATCCGCCCACCTCGGCCTCCCAAAGTGCTGGGATTACAGGTATGAGCCACTGCACCTTGCCAATCATAAAGTTACTAAAATTAAACCAGGGTGGCACTGGAAAAAGAATGGATGGGAGAATGGAGAAGAAACAAAAGATTTAGAGGTCAACCCAGATGAGTATGGTAATTCGGTACATAACAAAAACGACATTTCTAAATCAGTGAATGGATTATTTAGTAAGCATTATTGGGAAAATCGAAAAAACATTTGGAAAAAAATAACAATAAAGTTACATCCCTATATCCTACCATAGCCAAATTAATACTAGTTGTATTAAGAAAAAAAAAATTCTTTGAGACAGAGTATCACTGTGTCACCCAGGCTGAAGTGGAGTGATACAATCTCAGCTCACCGCAACCTATGGCTCCAGGGCTCAAGCGACAGCTCCCAACTCAGCCTCCAGAGTAGCTGGGACTATCGGTGCGTACCACCATGCCTGGCTCATTGTTTTGTACTTTTTGTAGAGATGGGGTCTCACTGTGTTGCCCAGGCTGGTGGTCTCAAACTCCTGGCTCAAGCAATCCTCCCACCTTGGCCTCCTAAAGTGCTGGGATTACAGGCATGAGGCACCGTGCCCAGCCTGGATTAAAAAATTTAATGATGGGACTATATATGAGACTTCTGGCTAATAATTGGCAAACTGAACTCATTTTCCCCTCTCTTTACCTAAACACTGCTAAAATAAGAACAAAGAACAGAGAGGCAAGGGAGATACTCCCCTGTAAACTACAAGGAAACAGAGGAAGGGAAGGGAGAGATTTCAAAGGAGATGTGGAAGGCACAAAGAAGAGGGAATGGTAACCACAGGGTGGACAAATTCTGTGCCTATTGTGGGTCTACACCACAAATGAGCCAGACAACAGGGCAGACAGACAGAGCCCCGTCCCTCACCCATGGAGTCAGCACATTGCCCCTATGCCTGTGTTCCTGGAAGCCTGCAGGCCAGCCTTGGCAGCAATGAATAAGAGGACACACCAGGCCCAGCACAGGGCTGGAGTGAGGTGTCGGTCGACTGAGGGCAAGGAGGGGGAGCCAGTCTATGCACAGAATCAAGGGGCCCTCTGCCACCATCCCCCTCCCTGACGGCAGAATTCCAGCAGCTGAGCCTACGCCTGATTCCTGCTTTCCAGCACTTTCCCAGGGCAGCAAGGGACAGCCACTTTGTGTAAAAAGCCATTTAATACTATTTGATTTCTAAGCTATGTGCAATACACTATGTTAACATATATATATACATATATATACATATACATATATACACATATATACACATATATATACACATATATACACATATATATACACACATACATAGATTTTTTTTTTTTGAGAGAGTCTCATTCTGTCACCCAGGCTGTAGTGCAGTGGCACAATTTTGGCTCACTGCAATCTCTGCCTCCCGAGTTCAAGTGATACTCCTACCTCAGCCTCCCGAGTAGCTGGAATACAAGTGCCCACCACCACACCTGGCTAATTTTTGTATTAGTAGAGACAGGGTTTCACCATATTGGCCAGGCTCAAACTCCTGACCTCCGGTGATCTGCCCGCCTTGTCTGCCCAAAGTGCTGGGATTACAGGCGTGAGCCACCGTGCCCGGCCATATTTTTTAATTTTTAAAAGAACGCAGAGGTAAGTATTTGTGTAATCTCAGGGATGGGGAGGAATTTTCTAAACATGATTCCAAAACTTAAATATTTAAAAAGAAATAATAAAACATTTTGTTAAAAAAAAAAAAACAAAAAAAACTATAGGCTGGGCACAGTGGCTCACACCTGTAAACCCAGCACTTTGGGAGGCCAAGGCTAGAGGATCACTTGAGGCCAGAGTTCAAGACCAGCCTCAGCACACAGTGAGACCCATCTCTACAAAAAAAAAAAAAAAATTAATTAGCTGGACATGACGGCACACACCTGTGGTCCCAGCTACTTGGCAGGCTGAGGCAGGAGGATCACTTAAGCTAGGGGTTCAAGGTGGCAGTGAGCTATGATCGCACCACTGCACCCCAGCCTAGGTGACAGAGTGAGACCCTGTAACTATAAAAATAATTTTTAATAATAAACACAAAGTTAAAAAGTAATACTAAAGAAATAAAGGGATAAAGAGCAAACATAGAAAATTTTGCAACATGTAATAAAGGCTACTATTCTTTCCACTACAATTCTTTAAAAAACATTTTTTAAAAAACCGTGACCAATGAACAGACATAAAACATCAATGTGCAATTCACAAAAGGAAAAATCAAGCAGCCAATAAGTATATGAAAACAAAACGTATGTGCTCACTTATAATCTCAGAAATCCAAGCTAAAACACCAACACAAAACCACTTTAGCTGTCAAATTTTGAAAAACAGAGGCCGAGGCGGGAAGATCACTTGAACCCGGGAGTTCGGGACCAGCCTGGAAAACACAGCAAGATCCTGTCTCTACAAAAATAAAAAAATTAGATGGTGTGGTGGTGGATGCCTGTAGTCCCAGCTACTCGGGAGGCTGAGAAGGGAGGATTGCTTCAGCCCAGGAGTTCGAGGCTGCAGTGAGCCATGACCATACCACTGTATTCCAGCCTGTGTGACACAGTGAGACCCTGTCTCTAAAAAAAAAAAAAATTTCAAAAAACAACGCCAATAGCAGACATTGGTAAGGATGGATAGAAATAAAGCCTCTTTTCATTGCTGCTGGAAATTAAAATAGGAAAAAGCTTGAAGAAAGTCTGCAAATTGTGGACCTGATAATTCCTCTTCTAAGAATTTCTCCGGCCGGGCGCGAATCATGCCTGTAATCCCAGCACTTTGGGAGGCTGAGGCAGGAGGATCACTTGAGGTCAAGAGCTCAAGACCAGCCTGGCCAACATGGTGAAACCCCGTCTCTACTAAAAAAAAATACAAAAACTAGCCAGGCATGGTGGCAGGCACCTGTAATTCCAGCTCCTCAGGAAGCTGAGGCAGGAGAATCGCTTGAACCCAGGAGGTGGAGTTTGCAGTGAGCTGAGATTGCACCACTGCACTCCAGCCCAGATGACAGATTATGTCTTTAAAAAAAAAGAAAGAAAGAAAAAAAAGAATTTGTCCTTAAAAAAATACTTACAGATGTGCAATATTTTTCATTAGTGAAATCGAAAACAACACGTGGCACACCCATTTGTGGACTATGATGAATTCGTTGAAAATGTTGAAGTGGGAGAATATGTAATATTAGGGTGGTGCAAAAGTAATTACGGTTTTTGCCATTGAAAGTAACGGCAAAAACCGCAATTACTTTTGCACCAACTTAACACAGAAACATTCACAGGATATTAAGTGAAAAAACAGTTCATTTAGGAATGGATGCTGCAACCCCTTCAGATAATAAAGAGGGGAATACAGAGTAAAGACACACAACATCCACACAAATGCAGACTCTGGGACATTTTAGCCTGAAACTGTCATCAATGATTACCTCTGGGGTCAGTGGGATTACGAGTGAATTTAATTTTCTTCTATTTGCTTATCTTTAAAAGTTTAACCACAAACCTTTTACTTATGCACTTAAAAGAATATTTTAGGCCGGGGGCAGTGTCTCATGCCTGAAACCCCAGCATTTTGGGAGGCCGAGGTGGGAGGATGAGAGGATTGCTTGAGTCCAGGAGTTCAAGACCAACCTGTAACAGCATAGTGAGACCCTGTTTCTACAAAAAACTTAGAAATCAGCTGTGCATGGTGTCACATGCGTGTAGTCCCAGCTATTCTGGAGGCTGAGGCAGGAGGATCACTTGAGCTCAGGAGTTCAAGGCTACAGTCAACTATGATGGCACCACTGCACTCCAGCCTGGGCGACAGAGCAAGACTGCCTCTCAAAAGAAAAATAAACAAATAAACGAAAGGAAAGGAAAGGAAAAAAAAAGGAAAGGAAAGGAAAGGAAGAAGGAAGGAAAGGAGAGGAGGAGGGAAGAGAGAGAGAGAAAGAGAGAGAGAGAAAGAGAGACACAGAAAGAGAGAGAGAGAGGGAGGGAGGAAGGGAGGGAGGGAGAAAAAGAAAGAAAGGGAAGGAGAAGGCAGGGAAGAAGGGAGCAGGGGAGGGAGGGAGGGAAGGAGGCAGGAGGGGAGGGAAGGAGGGAGGGAGGAAGAGAGAAAGAAAGAGAAGAGAAGGAAGGAAGGAGAGAGAAGGGGGGGACGGAGGGAGGGAGGAAGGGAAGGGAAGGAAGGAAGAAAAGGAGGGAAGGTGTTTCCAAATGAGAAAGCAAAAATGAGACAGCAGCAGTTTTCTCCTGGGGAAATCCCTGTTAGGTTGGTGAGTCTTACAAGCCATCATCCCACAGAGGATTTATTCCTAAACATTTCTACAATGAAGGCTGAGAGGATCTAATGTTGCAGTTTGGTACCACAACTGTTCCCACAACTCTGTTTGCTCTGCCTGGCTGGCCCCACCAGAGAACTGATGACAGCCAGCATCTGGTAGGATGGGACAGCTGGGCTGCAAACGCTGGAGACAGAACTGTGACCACAGGGCGAACTGGGCTGCTGCCACTCAGAGAAGAACCTGTGTGGCACCTGGACAGACCTGGCCTAGGAAGTCCCCCCCAGACTCAGAAAGGAGTGCTAGGCTGAGAGGAAAGAAAGGGCTGAGGTTAGGGATTTGAGGAGAACATTACTTCCAGTCTTTCTAAGAAAAAGAACTCAATGTCTCCCTCCAAGAGACACCAGCATGACACCGGCCCCAGAATTGGAGGCTCCAGCCCTGGTAAACACCGGGAATCCAAAGAATGTCCTCGCAACAGATGAAAAAGTAAGGACATGAATGAACTGGAAATACAGAAAAAAAGAATGTCAAACCACCCCACCCTTTAGGAAAAATATTTCACTCTGTGCAATAGATCAAATTCTACTTCCCAGTGATTTGCAAAACAGTATGGGACCTGAGTGTTATTTCTGATTGAGCGTCTATGGCTGCTCACAGGGACCCTTTTTCTCTGGTCTCACCTCCCTCTGTCAATAACCTGATCTGGAAATTTCACTCAAATTCATAAGGGGCATCCCTATTTCAAAGGACTCTACAACGTGAATTATTTGGTTTCAATGCAAATGATACTCAAGTCTTAAACATCTGTTCAGATATTCTTAAAGGGTCCCATTAAGAAACACCTTGATTTTACGTTATTTTCTCTTCTGCTAATTCTCTGAAGAATTCAAGGGACTGAAAGAAGTCGCTCATTTGACGCACTTTCATTCTTCTCCTACTACCAACCTCTCCAATAGTGTCTCAACTATTATCTCCCTCTTACTCTGGAGCAAAAAAATCACAGAGCAAGGGACAGAAGATCAGGATTCCTTGCAGAAGAACCACCTTGCAAACAGACACAAGCTTATTCTTTCCACATTGGTGTCCAGGAGTTATGATGACAGAGGATCAAATGTACAGCTAGCTCTCCACAGTATAGTTAGTCCTCCAATTAAACTTCATTTTTCTTTTGAGATGGTGTCTTGCTCTATTACCCAGGCTGGAGTGCAGTGGTGTGATCATAGCTCACTGCAGCCTCGAACTCCTGGGTTCAAGCAATCCTCCTGCCTCAGTCTCCTGAGTAGCTAGAACCACAGGCATGCACCACCATGTGTAGCTTTTTTTTTTTTTTTTTTTTTTTTTTTTGTAGAGACAGGGTCTCGCTATGTTGCCCAGACTAGTCTCAAACTCTTGGACTCAAGCAGTCCTCCCACCTCAGCCTCTGGAGTAGCTGGGATTTCAGGCATGTGTCAGGAATGGCTATTATTAAAAAGTCAAAAGAAAAAAAAAAAGATGCTGGCAAGGATGTGGAGAAAAAGAATGTTTATACACTATTAGTCTGTTAGTGTGAATACAAATGAGCACAACCTCTATGGAAAACAATATGAAGATTTCTCAAAGAACTGAAAAGAGAACTACATTTGATCCAACAATCCCACTACTGGGTATCTACCCAAAGGAAAAGAAATCATCTTATCAAAAAGAGATCTGCACCCATATGTTTATCCAAGCACTATTTGCAACAGCAAAGATAAAGAATCAACTTAAGTGTCCATCAATCGAGGACTGGATAAAGAAAATGTGGTATAGACATATATATTCTGTATTATTTCGTTTTCATGCTGCTGATAAACACATACCCGAGACTGGACAATTTACAAAAGAAAGAGGTTCCACAGACTCACGGTTCCACATGGCTGGGGAGGCCTCACAATCATGGCTGAGGGCAAGGAGGAGCAAGTCACATCTTACATGAATGGTGGCAGGCAAAGACAGAGAGCTTGTGCAGGGAAACTCCCTCTTTTAAAACCAAGAGACCTCATGAGACTTATTCGCTATCACGAGAACAGCATGGAAAAGATTCAATTACCCCATGATTCAACTACCTCCCACTGGGTCCCTCCCACAACATGTGGGAATTCAAAATGAGATTTGGGTGGGGACACAGCCAAACCATATCATATACACATACACACAATGGAATACTACTTAGCCATGAAAAAGAATGCAGTAGCACCATAGATGGAACAGGAGGCCATTATCTGTAAGTGAAATAAGTCAGAATACTATTTGGTTTCCAAGCTATGCACAATATACTATGTTAACAAATACATATATTTTTTAATTTTTAAAAGAACAGAGGTAAATCTGTGGTGAGGCTGGGGTGAGATGTCCACTGAAGGCAAGGGGGGTGGGCCTTGGGAGCTAAATAATGTGTACACACGGACATAGAGAGTGGAAACATAGACAATGGAGACTCAGAAAGGTAGGAGGGTGGGAGGGGATGAGAGATAAGAAATTACTTAATGGATACAATGTACACTATTCGGGCGATGGTTACACTAACAGCCCAGACTTCATCACTAGGCACAGCTTGGCCAACATGGTGAAACCCAGACTCTACTAAAAATACAAAAACAAATTAGCCAGGGCGTGAGACAGGAGAATCACTTGAACCCAGGAGGCAGAGGCTGCAGTGAGCTGAGATCGTGCCGTTACACTCCAGCCTGGACGACAGATCGAGATGACACAGCGAGACTCCATCTCATAAAAAAACAAAGAGCAGACTGTGGTCCTCTAAAAATCAGGCTGTAATACCAGGCAAGCAGGCAGAGAGGGAGGGCCAAGATCAAGCCAAGCTGCTGACCAGGGCTAGGACGGCGGGCTAGGACCCCAGCCTACGACCTTGCAAAACGGTAGAGCAATCCAGTACCATTCAGGCAAGGGTAAGTCCCAGGAAATCCAGTCCAGTGAGTCGAGCCTGAAGTGCGGGAGGATTCAGGGAGCTCTATCTGTTCCCCAGGTGCACATGCTCCCGGAGTGGCTCTTATTGGGGAAGCAAGAATGAGGTAACAAGTTTCGGGATGGAAGCAGAAAAGAGCCACGGTCCTGGGACCTAGGATGACATAAGCAAAGAAGTACTCTGCAGACACTTGTACAAGTTGAGCAATTAGAATTACAGAGGCAGCTGGAAGTGATGGCTCACGCCTGTAATCCCAACACTTTGGGAGGCCGCGGTGGTCGGATCAATTGAGGTCAGGAGTTCAAGACCAGCCCGGCCAACATGGCAAAACCCCATCTCTACTAAAAATACAAAAATTACCCAGGCATGGTGGCATGCACCTGTAATTCCAGCTACTCGGGAGCCTGAGACAGGAGAATTGCTTGAGCCAGGGAGGCGGAGGTTGCAGTGAGCCGAGACCACACCACTGCACTCTAGCCTGGGCGACAGAGCGAGACTCCATCTCAAAAAAAAAAAAAAAAAAAAAAAGAATCACAGAGGCAGCCTAACCTAGCAGGTTAAGAGCATGGCTTTTGAAGTCATGAGTCCAAACTCACTAGTCCACAGCTGTGTGACTTTCAGCCAGGTATTTAACTTCTCTGGGGTTAGGTGCCCTCATCCATAAAAACGTTATTGAAAAGATTAAATGAATTAACCTATGCCAAGTACTTAGAAAGCAGCACTTACATAACCATAAGCTGTAAGTATGCTGCCTCAATCTTTATGCTCACTTTCAGCTGCCCCCTAAGACTTCACCTATTCAATTTAAACACTTGATCTTCTAGGACATAATGCACACACCCTGAAAAAGCACTGTCTATTTGAGTCCTTGAGTTTCGCATTTATTGTCTTCATCTCAAGGCAGCTCACAAAGAGCCGGGCAGGAAACCGTCCCTGTCGACACTGACATGCTGAGACAGGTGACTTGGGTTGAGAAAGCAAGAAAAAAGGATCCAACGAAATACAACTTATTAGTCATCACGCGTTGAGCACATCACGGCTGGGTGATAAATGCCAAGAGCATCAATTATGAACTATTCTTACAACAAGCTGAACATATTCACCACAACACCAAGAAATCTATAGGTTACAAGTGTTCTCTATGGGTTTCAACGACAGGAGACAATATTTTGGGCGAAAATCGTAAACGTAATTGTTTTGCGTGAAGTGGGGCAGCCTACATCAGCGTCCCACCTGGAAACAAGCTGTTGAACATCTGTCAAGGTGTCAACTCCAACTGCAGAAGCAAAGAATTTCATTAAGCTTCTGTGTAGTTAACTAAAGTTGGTGAGGTGCCTGGAGGGAGGGGACGGAAAATCACAGGTATAATTAACTGTGACATCGCTGGAGTCACAGGTGCCTTTAACGTGACTATACCCGCAGTCTTTCTGGATAGCTCTGTCTCCTGATTCTCCCTTACCAAGAACAGCACAAAGTGTCATCTCTCTTGGCATCTTCCTGCCACGTCTGTCCTCCTGAGCAGACCTCCTGTTCTAGTGGTCTGTGACTCTAAACAAATCACCCTGGGTCCCAGCTTCCTCCACCACAAAACACAGTGGTTTAGACCAGCTGTCCCCAACATTTTTGGCACCAAGGACCAGTTTCGTGGAAGACAGTTTTTCCCATGGACCGGGGGCAGGAGAGGATGGTTTGGGGATGATTCAAGCACATTCCATTTATCGTGCACTTTATTTCTATTATTATTAGATTGTAATATACAATGAAATAATTCTACAACTCACCATCATGTAGAATCAGTGGGAGCCCTGAGCTTATTTTTCTGCAACTGGATGGTCCCATCCGGGGGTGCTGGGAGATAGTGACAGATCATCAGGCATTAGACTCTCATAAGGAGGTTGCAACCTAGATCCCTTGCATGCACAGTTCACAATAGGCTTCCTATGAGAATCTAACACTGCCGCTGATCTGACAGGAGGCGGAGCTCAGGTTTACGGTAATGTAAGCAATGGGGAGTGGCTGTAAATACAGAAGCAGCACCGCTCCCTTCCCCACCGCTCACCTCCTTCTGGGTAGCCTGGTTCCTAACAGGCCATGGACCAGTCAGTACCCATCCATGGCCAAGGGGTTGGGGACTTGTTTAGACTAGATAATTCCTAAGTTCCTTTCCATTTCTCCAAGCTTCCAATTCTGACACTATAAATTCTGACCAGGAGTGAAATAAACCAGGCACAGAAAGACAAACTTTGCATGTTCCCACCTATTTGTGGGAACTAAAAATTAAAACAATTGAACTCATAGAGATAGAGAGTAGAAGGATGGTTTCCAGAGGCTGGGAAGGGTAGTGGGGGAATGTGGGGGATGTGGGGATGGTTAATGGGTACAAAAAAATAGGAAGAATGAATAATACCCTAGTACTTGCTAGGACAACAGGGTAACTATAGTCAAAAATAATTTAATTTTAAATTTAAAAATTTAAAATCCCTTGTTCATAACACAAGGGATAAACGTTTGAGGGGATGGATATACCCCACTTACCCTGACATCATTATTACACACTGCATGCCTGTATCAAAATATCTCATGTACCCTATAAATATGTACCCACAAAAATCAAAAAAATTTTTAAATAAATAAATATCCTGGGTGGAGTGGGAACAGAAAAAGGACAGGGGAGGGGAGGGGAGGGGAAGGCACGCAAAAAAACCAATTTGTAATTCAAACCACACAGAAAAAAAAAAAAAAAATTCCTGACCAGGGACAGGAGAATATGCTAAATCTTGAAGGATAAATAAGTTTCATCCTGACAACTGGTTCTGAGAGGGACCCTGTAGAGAGGACTCAGAGTGTGCTGTGAGCCTTTGCAGTGAGTCTGTCTTGTTCTGAGGGGTGGGAAAGGCAGGAACCCAGTCCTTTGTTCTCTAACCCTGCCCTGGATGAACCCACGCTACCAGGCATCTCATGAAAAGGCAGTGATTCTGGAAGCCCTTCGTGTGAAGCTACGGATGTCAGGAAAATGCTTCTCTTAACTAGCATCTTGGTAGTCCCACTGTGGTCCACCCTATAGCAGTGGTGGCTGCAGCTTGTTGGAAATGCCTGCTCCACGGGCGATTGCCTGAGGTCAGGAGTTTGAGACCAGCCTGGCCAACATAGTGAAATCCCGCCTCTACTAAAAATATTTTAAAAATCAGCTGGGCATGCTGGCATGCACCTGTAATCCCAGCTACTCAGGAGGCCAAGGCAGGGGAATAGCTTGAACCTGGGAGGCAGAGGTTGCAGTGAGCTGAGATCACGCCACAGCACTCCAGCCTGGGGACAGAGCGAGACTCCATCTCAAAAAAAAAAAAATAAAAAATAAAGAGAACAAAAAGAGAAAGAAAAAAAGGGAAAAAAGAGTTGCCTTCCCCAAACTCAACGATCATAATTTGCAGTTTAGGCTGAGCACGGTGGCTCATGCCTGTAATCCCGGCACTTTGGGAGGCTGAGGTGGGTGGATTGCTTGAGTCCAAGATTTTGAGACTGGCCTGGGAAACATAGCGAAACCCCATCTGTACAAAAAACACAAAAATTAGCCGGGTGCTGTGGCACACGTCTATAGTCCCAGCTACTCGGGAGGCTGAGGCAGGAGGATCACTTAAGCCCAGGAGGTTGAGGCTGTGCCACTGCACTCCAGCCTGGGTGACAGAGTGAGACTCTGGGTTTTTTGTTTTGTTTTGTTTTTTTAAATGCAGTTCAACAAGATCCCCTGGTTGGCACATCCCTTGGAGAAATGGTGTCCGAGTGCCCTGGTTCGCAAAGTTGGCTGTACAGTGGAATCACCACTGCCTCCCAGGCCCCAGGAGACTCCTGGGATGTGATTAGAGCATTGGAATTTTTAAGCCTCCCCAGAGAATTTTAATGTGCAGCAAAGTTTGAGAACCACTGAATTAAAATCTCTGCTTCAGATTCTAGCACTCAAATCCAAGTTCTGGAGGGATTTCACCTCCTCCAGAAAGGTCTGTTTCCTGAAAAAGCATCACTGATAACCATCCTTTTCCAAGACCACAGCAGGGTCATCCCATCTCTGGAGTTATCATTTATGACGGGGTCACTGTCCCAATCATACCTGCCTCTTGCATTTACCTTCCCTCCTAATATTATTCCCCAATAACCTCCAAAATCTTTCCCTAGGAGTGGAAAGCTCATTTTCAGCTCTGGCTCTCTCTCTCTTTTTCCCTCCTTTTAAATGATGTAATTTATTTATTTATTTATTTATTTATTTATTTATTTATTTAGAGACAGAGTCTCCCTCTGTTGGCCAGGCTGGAGCTCAATGGGGTAACTTGGCTCACTGCAACCTCCGCCTCCCGGGTTCAAGTGATTCTCCTGCCTCAGCCTCCCGAGTAGCTGGGACTACAGATGTGTACCACCACACCCGGCTAATTTTTGTATTTTTTTGGTAGAGACAGGGTTTCACCCTGTTGGCCAGGCTGGTCTTGAACTCGTGACCTCAAGTGATCCACCCGCTTCAGCCTCCCAAAGAGCTGGGATTACAGGCATGAGCCACTGCTCTCAGTCTCAAATTTTTCCCTGTTGCCTACTACCCTTTGAGGGTTCCAGGGAGTTCTGTGCTGGGTTTTTGGAAGCTCGACAGATGCATTTATCTCTTTGGGTGTCGAGAATTAGAGAATTTCAGCGTTTACTTAAAGATTGCTGGGTGCACTGGCTCCTACCTCTAATCCCAGCACTTTTGAGAGGCCAAGGCAGGAGAATTGCTTAAGGGCAGGAGTTCAAGACCAGCCTGGGCAACATGGTGAAACCCCGTCTCTACAAAAAAATTTTAAAAGTAGCTGAGCTTGGTGGCAAACTTTGGTCCCAGCTACTCAGGAAGCTGAGGTGGGAAAATCATTTGAGCCCAGGAAGTTGAGGCTGCAGTGAGCCATGATTGTGACTCTGCACTCTAGTCTGGGTGATAGAGATTCTGTCTCTGAATAAATAAATGAAAATAATGCTGTCCGGGTGCAGTGGCTCATGCCTGTAATTCCAGCACTTTGGGAGGCCAAGGTGGGTGGATCACCTGAGGTCAAGAGTTCGAGACCAGCCTGGCCAACATAGGGAAACCCTGTCTCTACTAAAAATGCAAAACTGAGCCGG
Source organism: Homo sapiens (assembly GCF_000001405.40). Taxonomy (NCBI): domain Eukaryota; kingdom Metazoa; phylum Chordata; class Mammalia; order Primates; family Hominidae; genus Homo; species Homo sapiens. Next base: position 72,325,460 of record NC_000007.14, read on the forward strand.
GCGTGGTGGTGAGCACCAGTAATCCCAGCTACTTGGGAGGCTGAGGCACAAGAATCGCTTGAACCCAGGAGGCAGAGGTTACAGTGAGCCAAGATCACACCATTGCACTCCAGCCTGGACAACGAGATTGAAACTCTGTCTCGAAAATAAATAAATAAAACAAGAGTGAAACTCTGTCTCAAAAATAAATAAAATAAAAATAATGCAGGAACCAAGTCAGTTAGTTGCCTAGGTAAATAACTTGAGGCTTGGGTCTTGGCAGGAAAAGAAAACCACCCATCTCTGCTGAGGGCAGATGATCTATTGGTGACCTGCTCCCACCAAGTGACTCATGAAGGGAACGGATTGATGGCAACCCACAAAACAGGCTTGAAAATGCAATAACCTCGCAGAGACCTCTCTGCCGCTTGACATCTGGGCAAAAAATGTGATTTAACTGTTTTTTGGTGGGCTTTTTTAGAAGACAGGGTCTTGTTCTGTCACCCAGGCTGGAATGCAGTGGCACAATCTCAGCTCACTGCAACCTCCACCTCCCGGGTTCAAGCGATTCTCCTGCCTCAAGCCTTCTGAGTGGCCAGGATTACCGGTGCCCGCCACCACGCCTGGCTAAATTTTGTATTTTTAGTAGAGACGCAGTTTCACCATGTTGGCCAGGCTGGTCTCGAACTCCTGGCCTCCCGAGGTCCGCCTGCCTGGGCCTCCCAAAGTGCTGGGATTACAGGCGTGAGCCATCATGCCTGGCCTTAATTTAACTATTGAAAGTGGTTTTACAAACTCAGATCCTGATCGTCCTTGCACAAAGGTTGCTTGTCTTGGATAGGCACAGAAAGGATGAAGGCTTTAGCTAGTGGGTTACATACCTCTGGGTTTCCAAGTACTAAGCCGTGACCCTGTGCAACATCTCTGTGACCTGGCTACATCTCTGTTTCTTCATCTGTAAAATGGGAGAAATAAAGCAGATGACACCTACTAAGCACTAAGCTAGTTTGCCTGCTGAGATGGAATATGTGTTTATGTGTATGCATATAAAATGAATCATCAGCCACAGATCAGATTAAAAAGCAGAGCAACTGGTTTTCCGAACCAGCAGTAGGAATGCTGGAGGCTGAGACGCCACATCAGTGTTCAGTACAGATGTTTGAGGTTTTCTTACCAGGCTATAAAAATGTTTACACAGTAATTAGGCCTGTTATCAGTACACAAACAGATTACAATTTGCAGAATGAATGAACAGCTCAAAAACCCTCTCGGTTTTCATGAGGTTCGGAGCATTTTCCTAATTCTTGGGTTTACAAAAATAAATTCGGTTTCCAATAACAAGGAGCCACAGCTGAGTGTAGGGGAAAGGGCTCTGGGGTGTGAAATGAACTCTGTTTGACAGTGCACATGTCACTCAGTCTCTCTGACTGAGTCTCCCCATCTGTCAAATGAGCTAACCAAGGTTCCTCTTCTCCTTTAAATTCCATGGTTCTATTACTTTGCAGTCAATGTCTTCTAAACACATATTCATTCTTTTCACCACAAAAGGATATGTTTAGTTAATGATTTTTAAGGTAGTAATTCTGCTGAATCACATGAGACTCCAATCCAACACTATTCAGTCATATTGAGACTGAGTTTGTGGCAGTTAATTCCTGACAATGAAGCCCCCAAGCCCAGTCTGTAGGATGAGACCACAAGGTCAACTTGGGCTTTATGTGAACATCCAGCTCTTCCAGAACACATCAATGGTTCTGAGTAACACTTGATTGAGGCTGGGTGCAGTGGCTCACGCCTGTAATCCCAGCACTTTGGGAGGCTGAGGCGGGAGAATCACTTGAGGTCAGGAGTTTGACACCAGCCTGGCCAGTATGGTGAAACCCGTCTCTACTAAAAATACGAAAATTAGGTGTGGTGACACGTGCCTTTAGTCCCAGCTACTCAGGAGGCTGACGCAGGGGAATCCCTTGAATCCAGCAGGCGGAGGTTGCAGTGAGCTGAGATCACGGCACTGCACTCCAGCCTGGGCAACAGAGCAAGACTCTGTCTCAAAAATAAATAAATAAACGAACACTTCATTGAACGTTTTTCTTTTCCTGTTTTCAAAGAATAATACTTAGTTGTAACAAATATGACACCAAAATAATTAGCCAAGCTGTCGAATTTGCACTTCTACATTTTCCTATTGCCTAACTTTTGATAATGAAAAAGTGCACGCGATTTGTAATCGTGATACAAACTTTTGGGATCCAATGATGTTTGGGAAAGCAATAATGTTTAAATGTTCAGAAATAAGCTTTTAATGAATATTTAATTGCTCTATTCTTCATAAGTATAAATTATGCTTTCAGTAACACTCTGAATACTAAAAAGGCAAGGTTCAGTTCTTCCTAGTTATGTGTTCAAATTTCCTAATAATTTGTTTAAAAGGGGGAAAAAAAGGTCATCTTGGTTTCAACCTCTATGAGAAGAAACTTGGAGAGTAATTTAGAAGCAAAGTAACTTCTTACAGCAATACCTCAAATTCAACAAAATTTAGATGTATGTATTTGAAATGCATAGAAAAAAATCTAACAATATATGTACTTGAAATGTTAATGGTATTGAGAATGAGAGTGAAGAAAGGTGCCTTCCAAGTTCTATGTAACATTTCTGTATAGCTTTTAATTTCTTTTTTTAAAAAAAAAATGTTTACTTTCATCGCTAAAAAATGTCTTAAGCACAAAACAGAGCCACTTATTGGGCACCTTGTCAAAACATGTAATACAGTTTGGCTGTGTCCCCACCCAAATCTCACCTTGAATTGCAATAATACTCACGTATCAAGGGTGGGGCCAGGTGGAGATAATTGAATCATGGGGGTGGTTTCCCCCATACTGTTCTCATGGTAGTGAATAAGTCTGATGAGATTTCATGGTTTTACAAATGGGAGCTCCCCTACACAAGCTCTTTCCTGCCATCATGGAAGACATCCTCTTGCTCTTCCTTCATCTTCCGCCATGATTGTGAGGCCTCCCAGGCATGTGGTACTACTGTGAGTGCATCAAGCCTCTTTCCTTTATAAATTACCCAGTCTCAGGTATGTCTTTATTAGCAGTGTGAGAACAGACTAATACGATGAGCATCCTGTGTTTTGTCCCAACCAGGACCATGGGTTTTTGAGATTAAAACTCCCAAAATAAGATGGTAGGGGAAAGTGTTTTGTAGATATAGTCTCCCAACATTCTATTCAAGGCATTGGTGATCATCGGTGTCTACATTTATTTACTTTTGTTGAGACAGAGTCTCGCTCTGTTGCCCAGGCTGGAGTGCAGTGGCACAATCTCAGCTCACTGCAACCTCCGCCTCCTGGGTTCAAGCAATTCTCCTGCCTCAGCCTCCCAAGGAGCTGGGATTACAGGCACCCACCACCATGCCCAGCTAGTTTTTTATATTTTTAGTAGAGACGGGGTTTCGCCAGGTTGGCCAGGCTGGTCTTGAACTCCTGACCTCAGCTGATCCAACCATCTCGGCCTCCCAAAGTGCTGGGATTACAGGCGTAAGCCAACGTGCCCAGCCCGGTGTCTACATTTTAAAACAAACATTTTTCCGATTGTAAATGTGTGTTCATTTGCAAAACCATAAAATCATTCATAACGCCAACAGCTTTGGACAAGCATTGTTAACATTTTTGGTCCATTTATTTCCATTGTTCTTCTGTACCACGTTTTTAAACAAAACTGAAATCATACTATAATTGCAGTTTTGTTTGTATCCACACTTAACTGGTACGTTAGAAATCACCAAATTAAGGTCACCAAAGCATTTTCTCTCCATCTGTTACTGTTAAACACTACATTTTATTTTACACTCTGATGGATAAAGACTCACTTTATTGTACCACAGTAGTGCAGGCAGAATGGACAGCTGGAGACAGGATGATCTTTGGAAAATATAGACTAAGTCATATCATTCACCTGTTTAAAACCCCTCAGTGGCTTCTACTGAACTCAGTATCAAACCCAAACTCCACAGGGTGACCCTATATGAGCTAGCCCCCATCTCTCTGAACTCATCTCCTGCCACACCAGTCTCCTTCCTTCTCCTCTAATGAACCCAGTTCATTCCTGCTTTGAGACTTTTGCACTGGCTGTTCCCACACCCTGGAAGTTCTTCCGCAGATATTTCCCCACTTTATCCCTTCATGTCATTCTGGTATCAGCCTAAATAGAGCTCATCAGTGAGACCTTTCTTGGTTGGGCGCGGTGGCTCATGCCTGTAATCCCAGCACTTTGGGAGGCTGAGGCAGGTGGATCACCTGAGGTCAGGAGTTCGAGACCAGCGCGGCCAACATGGTGAGACCCCGTCACTACTAAAAATCCACAAATTAGCTGGGCGTGGTGCCACGCACCTGTAATTCCAGCTATTCAGGAGACTGAGGCAGGAGAATCGTTTGAATCCTGGAGGCAGAGCTTGCAGTGAGCCGAGATCGCGCCACTGCATTCCAGCCTGGGCAACAGAGCAAGACTCCGTCTCAAAAAATAAATAAATATAAATACATAAATAAATAAAAATAAAAATACAAAAATTAGGTCGGGCGCAGTGGCTTATACCTGTAATCCCAGCACTTTGGGAGGCTGAGGCAGGCGGATCACCTGAGGTGTCAGGAGTTCAAGACCAGCCTGGCCAACATGGTGAAACCCCGTCTCTACTAAAAATACAAAATTTATCTGGGCGTGGTGGCGGGCGCCTGTAATCCCAGCTACTCCGGATGCTGAGGCAGGAGAATTTCTTGAACCTCAGAGGTGGAGGGTGCAGGGAGTTGAGATCATGCCACTGCACTCCAGCCTGGGTGACACAGTGAGACTCCATCTCAAAAAATAAGAATAATGACACAAAAATTAGCTGGGTGTGGTGGTGTACGTCTGTAATCCCAGCTTCCCGGAAGGCTGAGGCAGAAGAATCACTTGAATCCAGTAAGCAGAGGCTGCAGGGAGCCAAGATCGTGCCACTGCACTCCAGCCTGGGCAACAGAGCAAGACTGTCTCCAAAAAAAAAAAAAAAAAAAAGAGAGAGAGACCTTTGTTGGCCATCCAATCTGAAGCAGTGCTTGCATCTGTCTCAATTATATCCTCCAATTTTATTTCCATATTTTTTATTGTGTCTTACACCACTAGACTATAAGGGTACCATCTCTGTCTGACGAATTCATCATTTTCCCCAGTACCTGAACCAGAGATGCTCAATACATTCTGGTTGGATGAATGAAAGCATTTTCAAAGAATCCAGATTTGTGGTGCATGAGATAAAGTAACCTACTTAAATAGGTCTTATTCACAGCAGCACAGTCCCTTAATGAGGCTTTTTAAAATAGATTGTCACCCTCTCCAATAGCCTGGTCATGGAGAGCTGCCCACAGCCCTGCCAGTGGGAAGGCAAACCAGTTATTTAGTCTTGCTCGGACTTCGATTTTACTTCTCCACCCTGTTACCTAAACCAGAAACCCAACAGTGACACCTTCCCTTTCTCCCACTTCCCCACCAATTAATAATCCTGCCAATTTTCCCTCCTATGGAAGACAAGCTCAACATCACTGTCACTGTCTTTTAGCAGAATCCTTCCAGTTTCCTTTCAGAAAACAATCTCTCCTGGCCGGGCACGGTGGCTCATACCTGTAATCCCAGCACTTTGGGAGGCCAAGGCAGGTAGATTACCTGAAGTCAGGAGTTCGAGACCAGCCTGGCCAATATGGTGAAACCCCGTCTCTACTAAAAATACAAAAATTAGCCGGGCATGGTGGCGGGAGCCCATAATCCCAGCTACTCAAGAGGCGGGGGCAGAAGAATCGCTTGAACCCAGGAGGCAGAAGTTGCAGTGAGCCGAGATCACGCCACTGCACTCCAGCCTGGGCAACAGAGCGAGACTCCATCAAAAAAAAGAAAGAAAAAAAAGAAAAAGAAAAAGGAGGAGGAAAACAGTCTCTCCCAATCCCAGTGACTTTTCAGAAACCTACCCCTAGATACAGGGACCCAAAACTATGCCAATCAGATATGTCCTCTGAGCATCTTGAATGCAGCAGAATGATACAGTAACAATAACGGAGGACAGGTGAGCCCAAAATTGGGGCTTAGCCTGGGAGGGTTCTTGGCTTTGCCCAGGAAAGAATTCAAGGGCAAGCCAGGGGTGTGAGACAGCAACTTTTTTTTCTAATAGTCACAGAATATCTATTTATTTACTTATTCATTTTATTTTTTTTCCAACTGTTACCTTGTTTTTTTTCCAAGTTTTATCTTAAGTTCAGAGGTACATGTGCAGGATGTGCAGGTTTGTTACACAGGTAAATGTGTACCATGGTGGTTTTCTGCACAGACCATCCCATCACCCAGGTATTAAGCCCAGAATCCATTAGGTATTCTTCCTGATGCTCTTCCTCCTCCCACCCTCCACCCTCTAACAGGCCCCAGTGTGTTTGTGCATCCCCATGGGTCCATATGTTCTCATCACTTAGCTTCCACTTATAAGTGAGAACATGCAGTATTTGATTTTCAGTTCCTGCGTTTGCCAAGGATAATGGCCTCCAGCTCCATCCATGTCCCTGCAAAGGACATGAACTCATCATTTTTTATGGCTGCATAGTATTCCATGGTGTATATGTACCACGTTTTCTTTATCCAGTCTATCACTGATGGGCATGTAAGATGATTCCATGTCTTTGCTATTGTCAATGGGAGACAGCAACTTTCATTGAAGCAGCAGTGTACAGCAGCAGCAGAGATACTCCTTGTAGAGCAGGGCTATTCCCTAGGCAATGTGTGCAAGGTAGCACCCCAGAAGCAGTGCTGCAGTCATATTTACACCCACTTTTAGTTACAGGCAAATTAAGGACAGTTTATGCAGAAATTTCTAGAAATAGGGTGGTAACTTCTGGGTGGTTGGGTCAGTGCCATGGAAAGGGGTGATAACGTCTCGGTGTTGCCATGGCAACAGTAAACTGACATGGCACATGTGTGGGTGTGTCTTATGGAGAGCTGCTTCCACCCCAGCCCTGTTTTAGCTGGTCCTCAATTTGGTCCAGCTACTTGGACCAAATTGAGCCCCACCTCCAAAGTTGAGTCCCACCTCCTACCTCAATAATAATAGAAAAGGTTGGTGATCATTTACTTCCATAGCATCCCCTGGGAGAGACCACAAGTCAATTCCTGCCACTGAGATCCCCTGGACTGCCTAATGCCTGAGTATTCCATGCCTGGTTCTTCAGGGATGTTCTTAATCCTGTGAGTTTCCATCAGTATTCTTAATGCGATCTTTATTGACGTTGTTAGCCAGACTTAGTTTCTGTTGCTTGCAACCCAAGGATCCTAACTGACAACTCTCCTGTTTGCCAAATTCATCCCATCTTCTCCATCCTCCCCACCATGGCCTCATCAGCCTTGTCCGGCTTTCAGAGCCAGCTTCCTCCCTGGTATCCATGTTTCTGGTCTTCTCAGTGCCAAATCCATTCACCACGAAGTCTCCAGCCACAACTGACCATGCCATCCTAACGGAGAAATGCTGAGTCCCTGGGTCCTGACTAAAGGCCCCCACCATCTATCATTCTGGTCACTTCTTTTGTACCTCCCTGTCTCAACCTTTAAGCACCAAGAACTCCAAACTACCAGCTGCTTCCTCATATTCTCCACGTGTTCTAATTTCTCAGACTTTCCCACCCTTTCCTCTGCACCAGAATACCCATGAAAAGCTAACCACGTCCTAATCATCCTTTAAACTCAGCTCAGACATCACCTCCACCCTTGCCTAGCTACCATCCATCTCTGTTCACAAATGTTCAACCCTAACACATGGTCTGGCCTCCCCACTAATCTGTGAATTTTTTGATGACAGGCACTGTGTCAACTTCATCTATCTATCCATACCACATAATAGGCACTGAATAAATGTTTGTTGAATGTTAAATGATTAAAAACTTAATTCACATTGAAAAACCCCAGGTTGGATGCAACAATGGTGTTTTCCTTTTCCTCCTTCCGAACCACATTTGGAATTATCCTCAAATTGAGCGTTCTGAGAAATCTGCCAATGTTCTGCTAATCTTGAAGGATGGTTTCATAGCTTAAGAGTCAGAACTCACACTGTTTTAACGAGCATCAGAGGCTGTTGCTGGTTGCACTGCTTAATGGTTCTCAATCGTGAAAGGACATTTCAGACACTCTGACTACACCAGCTGAAGTCCCAAGTGAACCTATACCAACATGGGTACAGAAAGGGAATATGCAGAAAAAAAAAAAAAAAAAGCTTACCATCAATCATCAAACCAGTCTGGGCTCAAACCAGTACAGGCACACGTGACAAAGAAAGGGTTTTGCTGTGGGATTCTCCTTCCACCCCAGACCAACTGCACAGACACAGCTCCTCCTGTGCCTCAGTTTCCTCACCAGGAATGAGGAATGAGCTGCTGACCTAGATTCACTCAACGAATATAGGGCACCCACTCTGTGTCTGACTCTAAACAAGTTACTGCAGGTCAAAGGTTCCCAAAATACTTTTCCTAAGGAAGCAATGTGGAAAGTGCCCCGCACATAGGATCGAAACCCAGCCTGTTAGCCTCAAACCGTAACTCTGCTTCTGACCTGCAAGCTTCACAGCCCCAGGAAAAGTGATTTCACTTCCCTTTGCATCAGTTTCCAAACACGAAGAATGAGGATGACATGAGCTCAAAGGTGTGAAAGGGTCTGGCACACAAGTAGGGTCTCAGAAATCTGAATTAAGAGGGTCTCCGAAGGCTTTAAACGTCCAAAGTCTATCAATTGGAATTTCTCTCGTAATGAGAACCAGTGCCCCCTTCTGACAACCAGCAAACACTGCATAGGTGGTCAATACAAGAATGTGGTAAAAGACACCACTGCACACACCACAACAGAAGGAAGGACCAGCCACAGATATCCCACCCTGGCTGGTGACCCTCAAGAGACCAGTTTCTATGAAAAAGAAATTTCTAAATGCGACCCCAGCCCTGCCCAATATTTATGAACGGATCAGAAGCTACCCACTGGAGAGATAAATGTAAAACTCAACAATGAACAGTTGTCATCCACCCCTCAACCTGTACCCCCCCTCCCCTTACAGAGGAAAGGGCATCATGTGTGTCAATCAAGTCTTGCCCATCGTTTCTCAACAGAAGCAGCTGAATTAAATTATTTTCGTTCTAAAAAGCCCTTATCCTGCACCCTAGCCGAAGGCCTGATTACTGGCAATAGTTGCTTTCAGAGTTCAGGGAAAGGTGACATCTTGGTGAACAATTCTAAGAGGATTTAGCTCTCCTCCAATAAAATATCGTGAGGATTGGATTTCCAAAGAGTTTTGTTTTCATTACTCCACTTGGATACACCCAGTAACCAACTTCACCATTGTAGAACAGCTTCTCAGTAAACAGCTTCATGCAGCTATTGCCATGAAAAACCCACACGTCTGCAGTGAACTCAACAAACAGAGCCATTCCACTGGTCTTCCACCAGGGCAGGCTACTCTGGAAACACAGCTCAGGGCATCCTTGGGGCTTTGGTAGAAGACCCCACCAACTGCCGGGGGAACTAGCAAAGTTATGCAGTTCCTGGAGCCCTGGAATGAATCCTAAACTGGGCGTGGTGACAGAACCACAAGGCCGAGAGGTCTGAGGTGACACCTGGACATGAGTACAGGTAGCAGATAAAAATCAAAACTCCACATTCTTCTTCCAACACCTCCTCCCACCCCACAAAAAATGAAATAAAACCACGAACAAGCCAAGAAGGAGAGCTGGAATGGGGCTTCTATGAAAAACACGTCCTGTTCTAGCCTCAAGACAATTTCACACCAAATGGCTTTAAATTCCTTTCCAAAGCTCTGATGCCCGAATTGAAAAATAATTTCCCTTTTTGAGCAAAAGTCATCAGTTAAAGAAGCAGAACCTGAAAATGCTAGGAGCTCATGAGTTCTATGTGCACGAATGTTGCGTGTGTCTCAACACACACAGCGCAGAAATCTACCCATTCTTTCTGAGAAGGTCATCCCAACTCTGTCGCAGAGGCTACTGTGGGTCACTCTAGAATGTAGTTATTATCACCACTAAACAGACTTCCCAGCCACACACAGCCGGCGCTAAGCTGCTATTCCCTGAGCCCAAAAAAGTCTCCTTTTTTGCAGAAAACCGGCTCAGGGCCTGGGGATGGCTGGCGCCCCAGTCTTGGCACTCAGGGAACTGCAGGCACCGCTTCACCCAGGAGCTACGGGCTTCGACCCAAATGGAAGAAAGGCGCCTTCCTCACACAAGCCTCGTCCAAGAAAAAAGAGCAGTGGGAAACGATGGTGGGCTGGTGGCCCGGGCGCACGTGGCCCAAGGCTAAGACGCAAGCCGATCCCCTCGGTGCACGCTCTGTACCCCCAGCCCGTCTGGATGGGGCGTCCCCCGCTCGCCCTCGCCCCAAGGGTGGCCCAGAACTACCTGCTGCTGCCTAGGCGCCCTCGGACCAAGTCTCGGGAAGTTCACTCCGCGCTGCGCTAGTCCGGAGAAACTAGGAACCCGAGTAAACCCAGACTGTCCGGGGAAGACGGATCCCACCCCCACCTGGGCGCCAGACCCATCCAGCTGCTTGGAGCTCAGAGACTAGGTCCCAGCCGGACTGCAGAGGCCTCTCTGGTTACCCCTTGCACCCTGGCGCCCCCGGACTCGGGGTGGGTGGCGGCGAGGAGCGTGCGCCCAGAAAGGCAAGCAGTCAGCGCTAGGGGCCGGAGGTGGAGAGAACCCTGCCTCCCGCCTCCCCCGATCGCCATGACTCCGGCTTCGCGAAGAGACCTGGTTGCCGCCGGGCGCTCCCACCTGGGCTGCGGTGCGGCTCCGAGTCCCCTGCCCTCCCTCCCCATCGCCCGGGCGCCTGCGGGCGGGGGCGCGCAGCCTGGTGGCCACTGGCGCCTGGGGGCTAGAAGAGCGGCTCCCAGCCTCCAGCCCGCACGGTGCCGGGACAGCCGAGTCCGCCGCGGCCCTTCCCTAGCCCCACGTCCCCAGGCAGGCGGCCAGGAGCCAGCTCCACGGAAGGCAAGGTGGCCGGCGCGGCCCCCAGCCCGCGGGGTGGGTGCCCCAGTGTCGGAGCCAACAGGTACGGGAGGCGCTGTCTGCCAACCATCTGCCCACTCTGAGCACCAGGGCCCGCGACAGCCCGGGGGTTTGGACACCCTAGAGAGAAGCGAGGACCGAGGGAAGAAGAAAAGAGAGCGCGCGCGCGGGTAAGCTAGGGAGCCGGCGGCGGCACTCACCTCTTGCTGGGCCGGGGCTCCGCAGCCCGGCAGCCGAGGCGCCTCCGCACAGCGCGGGGGGCTTCCTCCGAGGCCCGCAGGGAGGGGGCGGTGCGGAATGGATGCGCCGAGCGGGCAGCGCTCAGCCTCTCGCTCACACCCCCAGCAGGCAGCCGCGTCCCCGTGCCGGCATCCTCGCTGCCGCCGGCTCCCTCGGCGCCCCCGGGCCGCTCCCCACGCGCGCGCCGGGACCTGCACGAGCCCCCTCGTCGACTCGGAGCGCGATCTGGGCGCGTGCCTCCCTGTCCTTGTCCTCTGCTCTCGTCTGGGGACGTGTGCCCCGCACCCCCTGCACCGCGCGCTCCTCTACCCCTCCCGCTCCCGCTGGCCGCGCGGGTTCAGCCCATGTGCGCGGCTGCCTCGCTGCGCCCCGGAGCCCAGTGGCCGAGGCCCCGCTGGAGTTGCGCGCCCTAGAAACTCCATGCAGCTCCGGCCTCCTCCCCAGCTCCTCCCCAGCGGATCCCCCAGGGCCTTGCCGCCGACAGCACCACACTCCTCGCTCTGCCGGCGCCCGCGTTCAGGAGCCGGGCTTCTGGGCTCGCCTTGGCCGCCTGCGCCCCAGCTCCTCCGAGGGTCGGGGAGCCCCCACCCCCCAACCTCCGCCTCTCCAATGGCTCCCTCGGTTTCCAAGCAGCGCAACCTGAGGAACGCCTCGGCGCGCGCGCACTCACACTCGCGCGCACACACACACACACACACGCATGCACATGCACGGCACACACAGGCAGACACGCGGGGGGCGAGCAGGCGCTTGGCAGACGGTGCTCCTTCCTTCCCTTCCCAAAGAGGCTGCCCACGTTAACTCCGGCAAACTGCTGCTCCTCAGCACAGGACAACTCACCCTAGCGCCCGCCGCCTTCACTACTTCATCCCAGGTGCCCACACCCTAGATCCACGATTACACCTGAGCCCAGGGGGAAGGCGGGGCGCCGAAGTGGAGGGGCCAATGGCCGAAACTGCGGGGACCAGCATTCCGCGTGACCGCCCCTGGAGACGTCCAGGGAGGCACGGCTGCCGCAGGGCATCGCCCACCCACCAGCGATCCCACTCCTCCAGGGCCTGAGAACATGTGGTGTGGCCCCCACTTCTTCCAAGGTCATAGAATGGATCCGATGGGAAGGAGAGGGCGCTTGGGCAGAGGTGTGAGCTACAAATTCGCAGACTGTCTGCAACCTGCCCATGCGCTGACCTCTACTGAGTCTACGCCCAGACAGACCCCTGCCCCAGGTCTCAAGGGCAACGCATGTGCTTGGAGTCAGCAGTCACCTTTCCCAGTCCCCACCTGTCTGCCTCCCAAGAACTGACGGAATACACAGTGCAACCAAGGTTTGTCTTGGCAAGAAAAAGAAAGAAAGCAGCAAGGTGGGTCTCAGACTGTCCCGTAGACAGATTAGACGCTTGCCAGTTCCTTTCTGCTGCCCCCAAGGTTGTGCCAATAAAGAAAGAGCAACAAACCTGGCCAAAGCAGGCTAGTCCTTCCTTACAGCACCCTCCTCTCCCGGGTCCCCAGTTTCTTGTCCCCTCTTGGTGGCAAAGACTGCTCACCAGCTCAGATGTCTTCAATTCCCAGAACCAGAGAAAAGATACATGTGAAAAATTTCACACCAATCAGAACAAAAGCAGGCAATGCTGCTCTAAGCCTCTCATGCAAACAACTCAGCAATCACCTCTCCACTGTTTGGTTCAACTGCCAGGGAAGTTTGGGCGTTTTTGTCAGCCAGCAGCACAGTGTGTGTGTGTGTGTGTGTGTGTGTGTGTGTGTGTGTGTGTGTGTGTGTGTGTGTGTCTCACCTGGGTGTGGTTTCAGAGTCCCTGAGGCACTCATTGTGGGTGCCACGCCTTTAGCATTTAGCATTTCCTAACCTGTATTATTACTATCTTGTATAGACCCTACTTCCCTAGTAATCTTTTTTAAATATGTTTTTGTTATTTTTATAGGTACATGGTAGGTGTACATATTTATGGGGTACATGAGATGTTTTGTTACAGGCATGCAATGTGAAATAAGCTCATCATGGAGAACCGGGTAGCATTCCCTCAAACATTCATCCTTTGAGTTACAAACAGTCCAATTACACTCTAAGTTATTGTAAAATATGAGTTATTGACTATAGTCACTGTGTTGTGCTATCAAATAATAGGTCTTATTCATTCTAACTTGTTTTTTTTTTTTTAACCTATTAACCATCCCTACCTACCCAACCTCCTCACCCCCCACCCAGCCCCCCTCACCCTTCCCAACCTCTGGTAACCACTGGTAGATTCTCTATGTCCATGAGTTCAATTGTTTTGATTTTTAGATCCCATAAATAAGTGAAAACATGTGATGTTTGTCTTTCTGTGCCGGGTTTATTTTACTTAACATAATGATCTCCACTTCCATCCATGTAGTTACAAATCACTGGATCTCATTCTTTTTTATGGCTGAATAGTGCTCCATTGTGTACATGTCCCACATTTTCTTTATTCATTTGTTGATGGACACATGGGTTGCTTCCAAATCTTAACTATTATAAACAGTGCTGCAACAAACATCAGAATGCAGATACCTCTTCGATATACTAATTTCTTTTCTTTGGGGTATATACTCAGCAGTGGGATTGCTGGATCATATGCTCCCTAGCAATCTTATAACTGAGATGTAACAGGTACCACTCTTAAGGACTTGCTGAGTACCCCTCCCCTACCCCAGCATGAAAACACAGAAAAATCCTGAGTTCCTTCAAAGAAACTCCAGGTACCTAGCTAGCCCTGAGAAGTAAACCAGCAACTTGATAAGCAAGAAGGTAATTTTAGCTTAAAACAATAGCCAAGGAAGTTAAGAGTCAGGAAATGTTTTTGTTCCCTGTATCAGTCTGTTCTTATGCTGCTAATAAAGACATACCTAAGACTGGGTAATATACAAAGGAAAGAGGTTTAATGGACTCACAGTTCCACATGGCTGGGGAGGCCTCACAGTCATGGCAGAAGGTAAAGGAGAAGCAAAGGCACATCTTACATGGCAGCAAGCAAGAGAGCTTGTGCAGGGGGAACTCCCATTGATAAAACCATCAGATCTCGTGAGACTTATTCACTATCATGAGAGCAGTATGGGGGAGACCTGTGCCCATGATTCAATTTCCTCCCAACAGATCCCTCCCACAACACATGGGAATTATGGGAGCTACAAGTCAAGATGAGATTTGGGTGGGGACACAGTCAAACCATTCCCTATAGTCTATCATTCCCTATAGAATCTAAACATAACATCTTAGTGTCCTTCAGTTGTTTTTCAGAAACCTGGACCCCCATTAAACTGATCGACTAGCACATAGACCTTGGATGAGAGGGAACTGAGGACTAAACTCTAACTGTGGTTCTTGTTCTAAATTTCTTCCTGAAGGGTCTGGAGGAAGCCACACCTACAGGCCAGAGTGAACATTCTTTTCTGCAAACCCCGTATTTTTAGACAAAGCTTTACCTCCTTAACTAATCACAAATCAGAAAATCTTTGAACTCACTTATGACATTTGTAGAGATGGGATCTCCCTATGTTGCCCAGGCTGGTCTCAAACTCCTGGCCTCAAGTAATCCTCCCACCCCCACCTTCCAAAGTATTGGGATTACTAGTCCCAATGTGAGCCCATGTGGGCCTCTGCTCCCAGATGTCTGCTTTTTTAAGTCAAACCAAATGTAGAGCTTTCATGGATTGATTTATGGCTTTGCCTGTAGCCTCTGCCTCCCACCTTTAAAAATCCTTTCCTGTAAGCCAACTGGGTGGTTGGGACTTAAGCATGAGCTGCCTGATTCCTCTTGGTTGGTGCCCTGCAAATACATGCCTTCCCTTCTCCTGCTGCAAAACCTTGATGCGGATAGCTGGTCTTACTGCACTGGGTGAGCAGCCCAGTGACATGCTTGAGCCACTGGTTGAGTTTTATGTACCTAGTTCAGAGATGCGCATAGAAGGTGATATGGTTTGGCTGTGTCCCCTCCCAAATCACATACTGTATTCCCATAATTCCCACATGTTGTGGGAGGGACCTGGTGGGAGATAATTGAACCATGGGGGCGGTTTCTCCCATTCCATTTTCATGGTAGTGAGTAAGTCTCACAAGATCTGATGGTTTTATAAGGGGAAACCCCTTTCACTTGGCTCTCTCTCTCTCATCTGCTGCCATGTGAGATGTGTCTGTGCCTTTGGCCTTCCCCCGTGATTGTGAGGCCTCCCCAGCCATGTGGAACTATGAGTCCATTAAATCTTTCTTTTGTAAATTACCCAGTCTCAGCTATGTCTTTATCAGCAATGTGAAAACGAATTCATACAGAAGGTATTATATTTACAGGGGTTTCCACAATGGGTCGCAGGCAGATGAACAGAGTTGACAGGATCTCCATAAGATCTTTCCCTTTGATCCCTTAGTTTGGATGAATGCTGCATCATCTAACAATCTGTTGCCTCTGTAAGCAATTATTCTGACACTTTCTAGATGACAACCATGTCACCAAAGTGCCTTGGTAGGGCCAAGCACGGTGGCTGAAGCCTGTAATCCCAGCACTTTGGGAAGCCGAGGCGGGTGGATCACTTGAGGTCAGGGGTTCGACACCAGCCTGGCCAACATGGTGAAACCACGCCTCTACTAAAAATACAAAAATTAGCTAGGCATGGTGGTGGATGCCTGTAATCCCAGCTACTTTGGAGGCTGAGGCACAAGAATCGCTTGAACCTGGGAGGCAGAGGTTGCAGTGAGCCGAGATTGTGCTACTGCACTCCAGTCTGGGCAACAGAGCGAGACTCAGTCTCAAAAAACAAAAAAACAGACAAACAAACAAATGCCTTGGTAAGTGTAGAGATACACACATGAAGTTCCTGGTAAAATGTGGGGGCCTCCCACATAACCAGAGTGGGAAACATTTGGCCAAAGCTCTCATTCTGCCCTCCCTTCCTGCCTGCGTAAATTTGGGCAAGTTGTTTACTCTCTCTGAATCTCATTGCCCTCATCTATAAAATGGGGATAATCAGAGTGTCTATTCCATAAGGCTTTGAGAAAATTAAATGTGACTATGTGAAATAGCAGTTCACTCAGTTAACCTGGCTCCAGGCATAGAGTAAGCTTTCAATAAATGTTGGCTGTTGTTACAAGTGAATAGTCAACACAAACACAAATCAAAGACCTTACTTTGGGAGGAAAAAAAAAATCAAGGATCTCTTGCCTTAGGACACTAAGCTCAGCGAGCCTCAGAAGTAGAGAAGGCTAGGCAGTGGCTCACACTTGTAATACCGATACTTTGGAAGGTCTAGGTGGGAGGATTACTGGAGGTTGGGAATTTGAGACCAGCCAGCCTGGGCAACATAGGGAGACCCCATCTCTACAAAAAATGATTTGCAAAATTAGCCAGGTGTGGTAGCATGTGCCTGTAGTCCTAACTACTCAGGAGGCTAAGGCAGAGGATGGTTTGAGCCCAGGAGTTCGAGATTACAGTGAACTGTGGTCACACCACTGCACTCCAACTTGGGTGAAAGACCAAGACTTTGTCTCAAAAAAAAAAAAAAAAAATCAGAAACACAAAGAACTAGAGAAGCTGGATGGCAGACTTCTGCAGTTTCTTGGTCTTCCCCAGCTATGACCATTTTGAGACCTCCATATTAAGGTGGTTGCAGGTTTACAGGCCCTGGCACTTTTGCTCCAACTTTTATTCAATATATGTGGTCAAAATGTGTCAGCTCCTTCCTATGAAAATACCAAAGAAAATCTTTTACCAATTACCGGGATGGAGGCTAAACTCAACATGGAACAAAATGAACAGGAAGGACTTCTCCTTATCGTGCATTTGTAGCTGGATTTAGCATAAGTTCTCTCTCTAACCTAGAATAGTACAGCCCTCCAGGAAACAGTGAGGAGTCAATTTCAACTTCCTTCTACCACCTGCCTCTAGCTTTGGGATTCAGAGTTACACAAATCAGACACCAAGACAAGTGCTACCTTACCAGTGATAATCCTCCGGTAAATATCCCCTTCCCTTATCTTTTTTATTTTACCATCAGTAAATATATCTACTTCAAGTGCCCAAGACACCCAAGGGTAGAGGGTGATGAAAAGATTCATTGCACTCTGAATAGAAATAGGTAGAAGTAGAAAAAAAAAATCATTCAAAAAATACATGTTGGAAGGTAAAATTTTTCATGTCTTCCATCAAAGTATGGAATCCAGGATTCACTAAATTCTTTACAACACACATTCTCTCCTGTGTGGCTAGGGGTTTGCCACAAACTTTGCAGTGGTTTGCTTTGCAGTAATCGATAACCAGGACAAAATTTGGTATCTGGAAGGAGAGTGCTGCTGTAACAATAACTTAAAATACTGGCTTTGGGATTGAGCAATGGGAAAAAGCTATAACTGCCTCGAAAGACTATTAATGAGAGTTGCAAGGACCTTTGGAAAACTCTTGGAGGAAACATGAAGGGGCACAGGAAGGGCTTATTGGAAGCTGGAGAAAAGAACGCCTGAGTCACGTCCCAGCAGAACAGTTAGCAAAATTGCTGCCTGTCAATGGTCAGCTGGGTGCGGTGGCTCACGCCTGTAATCCCAGGCCGACGCGGGTGGATCACTTGAGGTCAGGACTTTGAGACTAGCCTGGTCAACATGGTGAAACTCTGTTTCTACTGTAAATACAAAAAATTAGCCAGGCATGGTGGCGCATGCCTGTAATCCCAGCTACTCGGAAGACTGAGGCAGGAGAATTGCCTGAACCCAGGAGGCAGAGGTTGCAATGAGCTGAGATCAGCCACTGCACTCCAGCATGGGTGACAGAGCGAGATTCTGTCTCAAAAAAAAAAAAAATCAATATAACCAATGGCAAGGATACCTAATGACCTCATGGATCTGACTAGGGTGATTTCCAAGTGGAAAAACAGAAAATGCCAGCTGGATTTTTCCAGATGCCTATGAGAAAAGGTAAGCAGAGACAGGTTAATTGAAGAAGAAGCTATTCCAGTTTTTTAGCAGAATTGAGATGGAATAGCAAGGAACCAGGGTTTGCTGAGTTAGAAAGGATTACTGTTTCTCTGCTGGGTTAGAAAGGACTACTGTTTCTCATTGTGGTGTCTCCAGGCGAAACCTTTCAAATCTAGGGCGGTAAAATCTGGTTTCTGGGAAAGATGGACTCAAGGATGGGGCTGTAATATCCTTTGTTAAGGCCTCAGACATATTTAAGGGGATGCCCAAAAGGGCTTCTACATGTCTTAAAGACACTGCCTCACTCAGCAGCTTTGCAGGAGACTAAAGATAAAGAAAGGTCTATTTTTTTTTATTTTTTAATTTCATTTATTTATGTATTTATTTAGAGACAGAGTCTCACTCTGTTATCCAGGCTTGAGTGCAGTGGCTTGATTTCAGAAAGGAAGAGAGAGACAGGGAGAAAAAGAGAGGTTCCGGGCCTGTCTGCAGCTACTCAAGCCCCTGCTGTGAGCGTCTTCCCAGAGAAGGCTACAGATTCTGTTGGAGAGAGACAAGCCACCCCCACCATGGGCTATCTGAATTCCCAATCCACAGAACCACAAGAGGCAGTCATAAATTTTTGTTTTAAGAAACTTCGTTTGGGGATGAATTTTTGTTATGCAGCAATAAATAACCAGAAAAATTAAATTTACTAAATTAGAAAAATGTCAAAAAATATGTTGTAAAGTGAAAAAAGTTAATGGCAAAATAACATGTATGGTGCCACTTTTGAAAAAGAAAACTTTGTATATGGGATCCGTGTACACATATGTGCACAGAATATAATTCCAATGCTTTCTGTTAACTAACTCTGGAGAACAAGTATTGAGGGGATAAATATATATATATATTTATTTATATATTCTATTTATATGTAAATATATATTTATGTATTTTATGTATATATAAATTTAAATATATATTTATATTTTTTTATTTATATAAATATATATTTTATTTATGTATATAATTATTTACATTTTTATTTATATATGCTTATTATATAAATGGCTTTTTATAAATGGAATATAAATGGCTTTTTGCTTTTTCGAAAAAATTTTCAAAACGTATATTAACCAGCCAAAAAAATGAAATCCAGGTTAAATATTATACATTAAAAAATATAAGTATATATAGCATATATTTATATAACACATAAATATATAAATAGCATATATTTATATCATATATAAATGTATATGTGAACATATATTTATTCATATATGAATTGTTTTATGTGGTATTTATATTTATATATAAATATTTATAAAAATAATGATATATAATACATTATATATGTACAATATAATGGCACATGTTATATATTATATCGTATGTACTGTTATATTCATGCATGTTATGTATAATTATACATGTTATATAATTATGTTATACGAAATTACATAATATATGTATTAGATACTATTATACAATGCCAAAAGAAAAGAACATCTTACAGATCTTAAGAGCATCACAGGCATAGAAGGAAAAGGAAACCTTGGAAAGTGGAGGCGTCATTGTGCTCCATTGTCCCCTTAAAGGCATTCATTCACCTGTGTTTGAAACTGCACATGGTGAATGGTTTAAAAAAAAAAATAGCAAGAGAAGGAAAGAAAGAAGAAAGTGGAAGGAAAGAAAGAGAAGGAAGGAAGGAAGGAGAAAGAAAAAAGGAAAAGGGAAGGAAGGAAAGAAAGAAGAGAAAGGAAAGAAAGGAAGGAGGGAAAGAGAGAAAGACAAAAAGACAAAAGAAAGAGAGGGAAGGGAAGGGAAGGGAGAGAGGGAGAGAGGAAGGGAGGGAGGAAGGAAATGAGGAAGGGAGGGAAGGAGGAAGGAAAGAAGAAAGGGAGGGAGGGAGGGAAGGGAAGGAAAGGAAGAAAAAGCAAGGGAGGAAGGAACCAAGCAGCAGGAAGGAGAATTCTTGGGAAATTGGAGTCTATAACCTCCCTAGGAGGAGGGGCACTGATAAACACCCCAGGGTTTCAGTTGAACCTTTTGAAATACTACATGCATTAAGATTAAGGGCAAACCAAAAGCCTTTGGAGAATCAAGTTCGGCCTTAAATTATCTCAATAATTGATTAGCCAAAAATGATCTTTACGTACCCTAAACGCCTGCCGCATGAAAAGTTAAATCTCTCTGAGAGAGAACAAATGTATAGCCACTATAATTTTTTAAATATAACGTGGCATTTAAGCAAAAATCAACAGGCATGTCCGGAAAAAGAACCGAATTAAGAAAAAATAAAGAGAAACAGCAGACAATAGGAAAATCAAACATAGGAAATTCAGATACTGGATTTATATAAAACAGACATTAAAACAATTGTATAGATGTTTAAGAAAATGAATGACAAGATAAATTCACCGGTGAATAGCTAAAGTCTATTTATTCTTAATTTCTTTCTAATTCAATAATTTAACTTTTACTTTTTATTAAAGTGATCCATAATTTTTAAAGGTCAAATGGTAATTTGTTATGCAGAAATAGAATTTAAAAATAAACATCAAACAGTTCCAAAAGGTCAATTGCGCAAAATGGTGTTCTCTCTTTCCTCCTCCTCCATTCCTTTTTCCCAAAGATAACCACTTTCAACTAGTCAGTTACCTCTTTGGATAATTATATCCATATTTCTAAGTAAGTGATTTTTAAAAAAATATTTATTTTCTTTTCTGATTAAAACACCTAACTGAAGGATGAAGATGTAATACTCTTACTTGTTTCTCCAATCCACACACATACATTCTGTCCTGATTCTCCCATATATAATTTTTAATTTGATCTCCATTCAGTTAAAATTTATTTATTATTTATTTATTTGAAACGAAATTTCACTCTGTCACCCAGGCTGGAGTCCAGTGGCACGATCTCGGCTCACTGCAACCTCCACCTCCCAGGTTCAAGCGATTCTCCTGCCTCAGCCTCCCGAGTAGTTGGGGTTACAGGTGCCCACCACCAAGCCCAGCTAATTTTGTGTATTTTTAGTAGAGACGGGGCTTCACATGTTGGACAGGCTGGTCTCGAACTCCTGACCTCAAGTGATCCACCCGCCTTGGCCTCCCAAAGTGTGGGATTACAGGTGTGAGCTGCAGCGCCCGGCCAAAATTTGTTTATTTTTAACACAGAATAAAGTAGCAATTCTGGAACCCATCAAAAAATAAAGAAAATGCACTCAATAGATGTGGTTAAAGCAAATTGGACACAGTAGAAGAGATTAGCGAACTTTAAAGAGGTCAGTAAAAAATATCCTGCTAATGTGTGAGAAGGAAAAGTGGGAATAGAGAAAAGAGAGTAAGAGAGGATTAGAGCACAGCGAATTGTCAAACATGTAACTGAAGTTTGAAAAGGAAAGGGGAGAAAGAATGGGGTGGATGCAATGCTGGCTGAGAATTTTCCAAAACCAATAAAGACATTAAGCCACAGATTCAGGAAGTCCTATAAACTCCGAATAGGATACGTGCAATGAAATCCACATGAAAGCAATCATCATTACATTTCTAAAACCCAAAGACAATTTTTTTTCTTTTTTTTTTTCCTTTTTTCTTTTTTTTGAGACGGAGTTCCCCTCTTTTTGCCCAGGCTGGAGTGCAATGCCGTGATCTCAGCTCACTGCAGCGATCTCAGCTCACTGCAGCCTCTGCCTCCCGGGTTCAAGCGATTCTCCTGCCTCAGCCTCCTGAGTAGCTGGGATTACAGGCATGTGCCATCATGCCTGGCTAATTTTGTATTTTTAGTAGAGACGGGGTTTCTCTATGTCGGTCAGGCTGGTCTCCAACTCCCGACCTCAGGTGATGCGCCAGCCTCGGCCTCCCAAAGTGCTGGGGTTACAGGGGTGAGCCACCAAGCCCGGCCAAGACAAAATAATAAAAGCAGCCAGGCCCCCTCTCCTTCACACACACATACACCTTTCAAAGAACAATTTGCCGGACAGACAACTTGTTAACAAACGTAATAAAAGCTAGTACAACTTACAATCATTGGTATCATCTTTGGTGCACTAAAAGAAAATAGCTATCCACTAAATTCTGAATGCAGTGAACATGCCCACTAAAAAGAAAACGGACCAATTTTTGCTTCTATGTTACTAGGTTGGTGCAAAAGTAATTGCAGTTTTTGCCATTGAAAGTAATGGCAGTAGGGCGAGGTGGCTCATGCTTATAATCCCAGCACTTTGGGAGGCTGAGGAGGGTGGATCACTTGAGAGGTCAGGAGTTTGAGACCAGCCTGGCCAACATGCTGAGACCCTGTCTCTACTAAAAATGCAAAAATTATCCAGGCATGGTAGCAGGTGCCCATAATCCCAGCTACTTGGGAGGCTGAGGCAAGAAAATTGCTTGAACCTAGGAAGCGAAGGTTGCAGTGAGCTGAGATCACTCCAGCCTGGACAACAGAGCGAGATTCTGTCTCAAAGAAAAAAAAGAAACTAACGGCAAAAACCTCAATTATGTTTGCATCAACATAGTAAGTTAGTTTCCTTCCCACTATTAACAATTAGAAACTAAACAAATGTACAAATTAAGTGTTTTCTGTAATTGGACAGCAGATAGTACAGGGCTGTGATCCACGTGAGAAGAGGTACAAATTACGTGTGTCCTGCAACTGCCCAGCTTTCTACCTGGAGATCGTTTCTGTATCGCTGCAGAGGAAAAGGAAGCCAAACAGAACACAGGGGTCTCACTAAATTGAGGGATCAGAGTTCATGAAGGCTTAGGTAGCTAGATTTTGTGGGGCAGAGAACTGGAGAGGAGAAGGCAACACAGATAGAAAGGTGGAAATTTTTTATAACGATTTAAGTTCCTAGTTGACAACTAAGATGTGCATAAAGAGACAAATCCCATGCCGCTAGGCAGAGAACAGTTAGTGGAGAGTTGTTAAGTCGAACAATTTCTAGACGTAAGAAAGAACTGGAAAATAGGCAAGTTCTGATGATCCTGAGTGAGAAAACTCATTGAACACCCGGCGGGTACAATACAGCCCATATGGATTGCCCCTTCCTGGTAGCAGGAATAAACTAGCTCTAGAATAACAGCTATTTAAGACTTGACCTAACAAAGCTTAAGAGCAAACATCAAATGGATCAAGGTGATTCCCAAGTTACTAATCCAATGCCTAGCAAAGAAACTTCAAAACTCTTCAAAGGACAAAAGCAAAATTCAGAAACTCAACAACATAACACCCACAGTGTCCATGGAAACAGAAGGAAAAATAACAATGGCAATGGAATCTGCAGAAAGGGGCTTTCGAGCAGCTATTAGGATGTTCAAGGATTTAAAGGAAATTGTGAACAATAAAGGAAGGCATGCAAACTAAAAAAAGAAGCAAATAAAATTGTAGTGCTGAAAAATGTATACTTAATGTGAAAAAGCTATTTGAGGGCTTAACATAACATTAGGTATTGTAGAAAAATAAGTGAGTTTGAAAAAATAGAAACTGAAGCAGAGAAAGAATGCTGGCTAAAAAAATCTTAAAATCTTTGATGGCAGGTGGGACAATATCAAGCTACCTAACATATGTTCGATTTTAATACCTAAAGCGAGAGAAAAAGAGAGAGACTGTAAACACGCGTGCTTGTGTGTGTGTGTGTGTGTGTGTGTGTGTGTGTGTGTGTGTTGGGAAGGTTAAACAGAAAAAAGTATTTGAATAAATAGTGGCTAATATTTCCCAATTTGATAAAAGCCTAAATATACAGCTCCACATGACAGAATTTACTGCAAGAAAGATAAATACAAAAAATGCACACCAAGGTACCTTATAATCAAATTGCTGAAAACCAATGATAGAGAAAAATCTTAAAGTATCCAGAAGAAAAAAAACATTATAGCAGGAGAACAAAGAGAAGATGTAATACTAACTTCTTTTAAGGAACAATACAAGCCAAAAGACAATGGAACATTTTTAATGTGCTGAAATTGAAAACAAAAACAAAAATACTGAGAATTGTCATGACGGTTTTGACTTGCATGTCTCTAACAATTAGTGATGCTGAGCTTATTTTCAAATGCTTATTGGTCATGTATATGTCTTCTTTTGAAAACTGCCTGTTTGTGTCCTTTGCCCACTTTGTTATGGGGTTGTCTGCTTTTTGCTTGTTAATTTAAGCACCTTATAGATTCTGGATATTAGCCCTTTGATAGATGCGTATTTTACAAATATTTTCTCCCAATTCTGTTGGTTGTCTGTTTACTTTGTTAGTTTCTCTTCCTTTGCAGATGCTCTTTAGTTGAATTAGGTCCCATTTGTCAATATTTGTTTTTGTTATTGCTTTTGGCATCTTTGTCATTAAATCTTTGTCAGGATCTACGTCCAGAATGGTATCTTCTAGGTTTCCTTCAAGGGTTTTTATAGGCCCATAAACCCTTTAGGTTTTATGTTTAAGCCTTCAATCCAGCTAGAATTGATTTTTGCATATGTTAAAAGGAAGGGGTCCAGTTTCAATCTACTGCTTTGGCTAGCCAGTTATGCCAGTAATATTTATTGAAAAGGGACTCCTTCAACTGTGGAAAGCAGTTTGGAGATTACTCAAAGAACTCAGAACAGAACAAGCACTTCACCCAGCAATCCACTGGGTATATACCCAAAGGAATATGAATCGTTCTACCATAAAGTCCTTTGCATACATGTGTTCATCACAGCACTATTCACAATAGTAAAGATATGGAATGAACCTAAGTACCCAGCAATGCTAGACTGGATAAAGAAAACGTGGCACATACACACCATGGAATACTACTCAGCCATAAAAAAGAATGAGATCATGTCTTTTGCACAACAGGGATAGAGCTGGAGGCCATTATCCTAAGCAATTTAATGCAGAACAGAAAACCAAATACTGCATGTTTTCACTTATAAGTGGGAGCTAAACATTGAGTACATATGGACACGAGGAAGAGAACAACAGACACCAGGGCCTATTTGAGGGTGGAGCAGGAGGAAGTTGAGGATCAGAAAACTACCTACCAGATACTATGCTTATTACCTGGGTAATGAAATAATCTGTACACTAAATCCTTGCAAGACTCAATTTACCTATATAACAAACTTGCACATGTACCCCTGAAACAAAAGTAAAAGTTAAAAAAAAATAAATAAAAAAAATACTGAGAATTTCCTAATCAGCAAAAATATCCTCTGAATTTAAAGGTGATGGCTGGGTGAGGTGGCTCACGCCTGTAATCCCAGCACTTTGGGAGGCCAAGGTGGGTGGATCACCTGAGGTCAGGAGTTCAAGACCAGCCTGACCAACATGGTGAAACCCCATCTCTACTAAAAACACAAAAATGAGCTGGGCGTGGTGGCAGGCACCTATAAACCCAGCTACTCGGGAGGCTGAAGCAGGAGAATCACTGGAACCCGGGAGGTGGAGGTTGCAGTGAGCCAAGATCACGCCATTGCACTGGGTGACAAAGTGAGACTGTCTCAAAAAAATAAACAAATAAATAAATTTTTTAATTTTAAAAAATAAAGGTGAAATAAAGAGTTTTTCAGATAAACAGTAAAATAATTTATAGGCCAGGAACAGTGGTTCATGCCTGTAATCCTAGCCC
The DNA here is from genome assembly GCF_000001405.40 of Homo sapiens. NCBI lineage: Eukaryota > Metazoa > Chordata > Mammalia > Primates > Hominidae > Homo > Homo sapiens. Next base: position 72,351,258 of record NC_000007.14, read on the forward strand.
TTTGGGAGGCTGAGGCAGGAGGATCACTTGAGCCCAGGAGTTCAAGACCAGCCTTGGCAACCTAGCAAGACCCTGTCTCTATTCGAGAATTTATAGCCATCAGGCTGAAGTAAATGACAACAGAAACTTAGGAATGATAAGTCCTGGGAATGGAAAATATGTGAATAAAAATAAAAAGTTTGTCATTATTTTTAACTTTCTTTAAAAGGTAGTTTACTGTTTAAGACAAAAATATTACCCAATGCATTTATGGGATTTATAAGACATGTATAAGTAAAACATGTACGACAGCTACAGCACAAAGGGAGTAAGGAAATGGAAATATACTATTAAAAGATAGTCAATTTATCCATGAAGTGGTATAGTATCATTTGATATCACACTGTTATATTTGAAGGTGCACATTGTTAAACCCCAGAACACAAAGAGATACAGCAAATAAGCCAATAGAGAATAAATACAATATTTGAAAAATAATCAATACCAGAAAAGTCATGAAAAGGGAAAAACGAACAAAGAACAGATGAAACAAAAAAGAAATAGCAAGATGGTACATTTACACCTAAATATATTGTGAATTGCATTTAATTTAAAGAGTGTGAACCACTACCAAATTTGGCCATATTAAATTTATAGAGCACTATATTAACATAATCTTTTCAAGTGCCTTTTGAATGTTCATAAAAGATAGACTCTGTATCTTGTGCCACAAAATAATTCTCAGTACTTTGGTATTTTAAGCCAGGTGTGGTGGCTCATGCCTGTAATCCCAGCACTTTGGGAAGCCAAGGCAGGCAGATCACTTGAGGTCAGGCAGGAGAATCATTTGAACCCAGGAGGTGGAGGTTGCAGTGAGCTGGGATTGCACCACTGCACTCCAGCCTGGGTGACACAGCGAGACTCCGTCTCAAAACAAACAAACAAACAAAAAAAACCACTTTGAGATTTTAAAGTTATCCCAACTCTACTAAAAGTACCAAAATTAGCCAGGCGTGGTGGCACATGCCTGTAGTCCCAGCTACTTGTGAGGCTGAGGCAGGAGAATCGCTTGAACCTGGGAGGCAGAGGTTGCAGTGAGACACTATTGTGCCATTGCACTCCAGCCTGGGTGACAGAGTGAGACTCTGTCTCAAAAAAAAAAAAAAAAAAAACTTTGAGATTTTAAAGTTATCAAAATCATACAGAAAACATTCTATAACCATAACGGAATTAAATTAGAAATCAGTAATAAGAAGACACCTTAAAAATTCCCCAAGATTTTACAAGTAAAAAACAGTTTTGCATAATGCGTATGTCAAAGAATAATCACAAAGGAAGTTTAAAAATATTTTGAACTAAATGAAATGAAAGCACAAGGTATTGAAATTGGTGAGATCAGCTAAAACAGTGCTTACAAGGAAAATTATAGCTTAAAATGTTTACTTTACAAAAAGATGAAAGGTTTAAAGCCAATGTTTTAAGATTCTAACTTAAAAAGCTAAAAAGAGAAGAACAAATTAAGTTGAAAGAAAATAGAAGAAAGGAAAAAGGATGGGGAAATCAAATTTAAAAATGGACAGAAAAATGAAATAAAACATCATAAAATTAATAAACCTGTAGCTAACTAGATTTGAAAATATGGCAAAAACACCAAGTACCAAGATCAGGAATCAGTATAGATCCTAACGATATAAAAAAGAATAACAAGGGAATATTATAAAGCAATGTTATGACAAAAAATGGACAATTTAAACAAAAGAGAAAAATTCTTTTAAGAAACACAAATTACCAAAATAGACCCATGGAGATATAAAAAATCTGAATATTCCTATATCTTTTAAAGAAACTGAATTCATAATTAACCTCCTATGCCCTCAAAACATAAACAAATTCCTCTGTGCCCAGATGGTTTCTCTGGTGAATTCTAACATTTAATGAAGCGCTAATACCAATCTCATAAAATGCTTTCATAAAATAGAGAGCGGGAACACAGCTCAACTCATTTTATGAGGCTACTGTCTCTCTGTTATCAAAATCAAATACAGGCAATACCAAAACAGAAAATGAAAATAAATGCAAAAAAAGCCTTAACATATATTAGCAAGCCAAATCCAGCAATATATAAAAAGGATAAGACATCTTGACAAGGTGGAGTTTTTTTAAGTCATACAAAATTAGTCTAAATCTTAAATTCTAAAAGATGAATCAATTTAATTTATCCTATTTATAGAAGAAAAAATTACAATCATCCTAATGCATTCATGAAGAGTGTTTGGCAAAATTCAACACCTATTCTCCATGAAAACTTAGAAAGTTTGGAATAAAAGGGAACTTTTTCATCCTGCTAAGGGGTACTACAAAAAAACCTACAGCTAACATCACACAAAATGGTTAAAAACTGAATGCTTTCCCTGTAAAATCAGGAAAAGGGCTTCTATTGAACATTTGTTGGAGGCTCCAGCCAGTGAAATAAGTCAATAAAAAGACAGAAAATGCATCCCGATTGGTAAGTAAGAAGTAAAATTGTTTTTATTGAAAAGCAACATGATTGTGTAAATTAAAAAATAAGGGTATTTGAATGAAAGTGACCTTAACAAGGTCACAGAATACAAGGTCAATGCCAACAATAAACAACTGAAAAATGAAATTTTAAAAATAGCTCCATTCAGGCCGGGCGTAGTGGCTCACACCTGTAATCCCAGCACTTTGGGAGGCCAAAGTGGGTGGATCACCTGAAGTCAGAAGTTCGAGACCAGCCTGGCCAACATGGTGAAATCCCATCTCTACTAAAAATACAAAAATTAGCCAGGCGTGGTGGTGGGCCCCTCTAATCCCAGCTACTCGGGAGGCTGAGGCAAGAGAATCACTTGAACCCAAGAGGGGGAGGTTGCAGTGAAACGAAATTGTGCCACTGCACTCCAGCCTGGGTGACAGAGCAAGACTCCATCTCAAGAAAAAGTCCCATTCACAATAATATCAAAACCATGAAATATTATGGATAAGCTTAACAAAATAAGTGTAAGTTCTGTATACTAAAAACCTCAAAACATTGCTGAGAGAGATTAAAGAAGACCAAAAATAAATGGAGACCTATACCATGTTAATGGATTAGAGGTTTGATAATTTTAAGATGTCAATTCTCTCCAAATTGATCTACAGGTTCAGCATCATCAATATCCTAATAAGCTGTTTTGCAAAATTTGACAAGCTGGTTTAAAAATTTATATATGTATGCAAAGGACATAGAATAGCCAAAACCATTTTTTCAGAGAAGTTGGAAAGACTTTCTTTCCAACTGATTTCAAGACTTAACTATAAAGCTAATCAAGAGAGTGTGGTTTTGGCACAAGGATAGATGTATAGAGCAAAGGAACAGAAATGATTAGGAATAGACTCACTTGCGTGTGACCAATTAGTTTTTCACAAAGGTGCCAAATTAATTCAAATTAATTAATTTAATGAGGATAGTCTTTTCATCCAGTTCTGCTGGAATAACTGGATATTCATGTGGAAATAAATGAACTTTGATACTTTATTTACCCTATAGGCAAAGATTAACTCCGAATGGATCGTAGACCTAAAAGATAAAGCCGCAAAACTTTTAAAGAAAACCCAGGAGAAAATTTTTGAGAACTTGAGTAAGCAAAAATTTCTTTTTTTTTTTCTTTTCTTTTTTTTTTTAATTTCCCTTGAGACAGGGTCTCGCTTTGTCGCCAAAGCTGGAGTGCAGTGGCACAATCACAGCTCACTGCATCCTCCACCTCCCGGGCTCAAGCCATCCTCTCAACTCAGCCCCGGAATAGCTGGGACTACAGGCTTGCGCCACCATGCCCGGCTAATTTTTGTATTTTTTATAGAGACAGACTCTCAGCATTTGCCCAGGCTGGTCTCAAACTCCCATGCTCAAGTGATCCGCCCACCTCGGTCTCCCAAAGTGCTGCGATTACAGGCGTGAGCCAACGTGCTCAGCCAAAAACTGCTTAACGAGGATACAAAAGGCACAAATTGGCCGGCCGCTGTGGCTAACACCTATAATCTCAGCACTTGGGGAGGCCAAAGCGGGCGGACCACTTGAGGCCAGGAGTTCAAGACCAGCCTGGCCAACATGGTGAAAACCCATCTCTACTAAAAATACAAAAATTAGCTAGGCGTGGTGGCGCACGCCTGTAATCCCAGCTACTCAGGAGGCTGAGACAGGAGAATTGCTTGAACCCAGGAGACAGAGGTGGCAGTGAGCCGGGATTACACCACTGCACTCCAGCCTGGGCAACAGAGTGAGACTGTCTCAAAAACAAAATGGAACAAAAACAAAACAAAACAACAGAAAGCCCAAGTCATAAAAGAAAAATTTGATCATTTTGATTTCATCAAATTTTAAATCTTATGCTTCTGAAAAATTCATTTTTGGTAAAATGAATAGACAAGTCACAGGCAGGCAAAAATTATTCATAATACATATCCATTATTTCATTCTTATGAAATTCTAGAACAGAAAAAAACAATCTGTAGTGACAGAAATTAAATGGGTGGATTCCTGGGGCTGAGTGGTTGACTCCATCAGAGTACAAGGGCACAGTTTAGGTTGAAGGAAATGTTTATGTCTTAATTATGGTGATGGTTACAAAGGTTTATACATTTTGTCAAACTCATCAAAGTGTACATTTTAAATGGGTGCATTTTATTATATGTAAATTATCCTCAATAAAGTTGATTTGAAAAGAAAGAAGAAAATGAAGCCTTAAAAAAAATTATGGTTGTACAAAAGGAAGATAAATGTTTGAGGTGACTGATTTGCTAGTTACTCTGATTTGATCATTACACATTGTATACATGTATCAAAATATTACACTGTATCCCATAGATATGCACAATTATTCTGTGTTCATTTAAAATGATAATTTAAAAGTTAAAGATTGTGGTTAAAATTTTGTAAAAGGAAAGAATTGCTATAGTGAGCTATTCAGACAGAAAAAGATATGGTTTCAAATGGAGGAACAGAGATGAAAGGGTAAGGAGCACTGGAAATACCAAATATGTAGGTAAATCTGAATAACTATTGTATTTTAATCTAATAATAATAAATGCTAATAATGTTTGGTAGTTTCTTAAATCCACGAAGAAGTAAAATACATGAAAACAATTGCACAAAATGTAGGAATGGGGTAAACAGAGTTAAAGTGTTCTAAGGTCCTTGCAACTTTAGATACAACTTGTATTAAAGTGATAAATGTACTAATTTAGGATATATACCAGTGGGTCAAGGATACACACTGCGGTCTCTAGGGATATCACTAAAATAATAATAAAAGAATGTAAAACTAACAAGGACGACTAAAATTGTATAATAAGTGCCAATCTCCCTGAAAGATGGAACATTTCAAAAATTGGATACACCTAATAATATAGGCTCAAAATATATAAAGCAAAACCTACAAAATTAAAAGCAATTATTATTGTGTATTATTAGCTCAATCTGATTGACATAGTAAATAATCAAAGAACTAGAAGAACGCAAATTACAACATAAGAGAAGAAAATCAAAATATATTAGCTAAAAACTGTAAATTAGGAAAATGAGTATATTATTTAGTCTGGGCATGTTGAAACGGATCTGATTAAACATAGCTGCTTCAGGGCAGTGAGAAAGCTTAGAGCAATATATTAGTGCTTGTCAACGTATGTCTTGCTCTAAAACCAACACTTCTAAGCTTTGGTTTTGCTTTGGTTTTGTTTTGTTTTGTTTTTAATTCAGGGCAAGAAGTGGAGACTTCCAGGAAACATGACGGTGTTAACTGGACATTTTTTAAAACCTCCTCCCTGAAACCTACAAAAACCAACAAAGGAACTAATGATTAAAATGAAAACCAAACTGAAACTTAGAGACAGCCTTAACCTTTCCCTATGAATGCCAAGGAATACTTGCCAGATAGAATACAACTTGAACCAAAATGAAATATGATGCTGGAGTTTGGCCACAATTCCTGTGCTTCGGAACCAACGCAGTGCTGTGGGCCCAAGAGCCTTGCTAACACAAACCCCCCGACCCCAAGCTGAGATCTGGCGATGTGGTTGGACTCGGAATGAGAAAGGTTCCTCCTGCACCACAGATCAGCTCCAGCGGAGAGGCCTCGTGGGACCAGGTACTGCCAATGTTAATGAGTCCCAGCTTTTTTATGGTGAAACAAAGGGATTCGATTGGAAATAAAGCAAATTTCTTATCAAAGAAGAAAATTAAAGGTAGAGAAAAGTGTGTGCTGATACCACCCCCAACCCATCCCTAATCAAATCTCAGGGCTGCCTTGATCTTACCATGAGCATCATGAATGAGGTTTTTGAATGCTTTTAAATACACAAATGAGACTCACGTCAAATCAACGGAATCAGAATCTACAAAAGCGAGGCCCAGACAACAGTAGTTGAAAAAACTCCCCATTATGAGATAACATGTTTAGCCTAATCAATAGGCAAAATTTAAAAGTATTTATAACAACCCAATGTTGGCAGAGGTAAAAAGAAATAAACATGTTTATAGGAATTCTGAAGAAAATGGTCATGGGGTAAGAAACTTTTATTTTATATATTTATATATATTTTTATATATTTATATATATTTATATTTATATATATGTGTGTTTTTTTTTAGATGGAGTCCCCAGCTCCCAGGCTCAAGGGATTCTCTTGCATCAGCCTCCTGAGTAGCTAGGATTACTGGCACACACCACCATGCCTGGCTAATTTTTTTGTATTTTTAGTAGAGATGGGGTTTTGTATTTAAGAGGCAGAATCTCACTGTCTCCCAGGCAGGAGTGCAATGATGCAATCATAACTCACTGCAGCCTCAAACTCCTGAGCTCAAGTGATCCTCCCACCTCAGCATCCCAAAGTGCCGGGGTTATAGGTGTGCACCACCATGCCTAACTAATTTTTTAATCTTTTTCTGGAGACAGTGTCTCACTATGTTGCCCAGGCACTGGTCTCAAATGCCTGGCCTCACGTGACCCTTGAGCCTTGGCCTCCCAAAGTGCTAGGATTATAGGTGTGAGCCACTACCACGCCTAGCCTTGGATCACAAATTTTCACGTGGAGTGATATCCACTAGTGTAACACTCTGGATCTCTATATTTCCTCGCTCACTTCTCTGATTAGTAAATGGAGAAAGGAAAAGGACTGTTAGATACAATCCTCTTGTTCTCTCTCCTCAGCTCTCCCTTCCCGCAGAGAGCACTGACTTTGACATTGTACTTAGCCATCACTCCCTGTGGCTGGCCAAGTGGTACATGTCCTAATTCTGGGTGCAACATACCAGAACTGGCACTGTGATCCCCGTCAACCTGACCCCAACTTCGGAGAGAGAAGAAAAGCGCAATTTGTGAATTCCCCTCAAGCCCATCGGGGCAAAGTCAACAAAGATAGATGTAAAAATAACATTGGCGGCCAGGCGCGGTGGCTCACACCTGTAATTCCAGCACTTTGGGAGGCGGAGGCAAGCAGATCACGAGGTTAGGAGTTCGAGACAAGCGTGGCCAACATGGTGAAACTCCGTCTCTACTAAAAATACAAAAATTAGCTGGGCATGGTGGCGGGCACCTATAATGCCTGTAATCCCAGCTACTCGGTAGGCTGAGGCAGGAGAATCGTTTGAACCCAGGAGGCGGAGGTTGCAGTGAGGTGAGGTCGTGTCACTGCACTCCAGCTCCAGCCTGGCTGACAAGGTGAGACTCTACCTCAAAAAAAAAAAAAAATTACATTGGGTGCTACCAACACCACAAACCTGCCACCTCATCACAGTGCATCCTTTTTTCTTCTTCCCCATGAAGAGGCCCTGCATCTCTTCCTGCCAAAGGCCAGGCCCTCCGCTGTGCTTCGTAGGATACTATTCCTCCCCATTTTCTAGGAACCCTGCACTAGATCTCATACCCTTTATCTGTGGATTTTACTTTGCTAATTAGCATAACGCTCTATTTTAGAAGCCAGACCATGTCAGAGTCACTCTTGGCACCTTCCTCCTCCCCGACCGCGTTCTCAATCCATTTCTGAGTCCCATCACACGGTTCAATATTCCAATGTGAAAAACAATATTCAATAACACATCTCCCTCCCCGTTTCGTCTTCCAGATCCTCCGATCTCCTACAGGGCAAGTATTGTAACTTTCTTGCGTTTCTTTCCAGAGATATTTTACATATATCTGCTGCTTCTTTATACAAATGCTAACACACTGTACACATTGTTCTCTACCTTTCTTTTTCACTTGACAAGGTACTACTTTTAGGTCACATGTACATATAGTGAGGTATAGGATATGCAGGCACCACGTGCCTCCTGGTATGACACAGTGAAGATAACAACACATGTATGCACTATTCCTGACAAAAAAGAATAACCTGATTCCAATCATGAGAAAACCTCATACAAACTCAATCAAGTGGAGGAACCTTGTGAAAGTTGACCTGGATTGGGGCCGGGAAAGATGGCTCACGCCTGTAATCTCAGCACTTTGGGAGGCTGAGGCGAGAGGATCACAAGGTCAGGAGTTCAAGACCATCCTGCTGAACACGGTGAATCCCCGTCTCTACTAAAAATACAAAAAAAATTAGCCGGACGTGGTGGCGGGCGCCTGTAGTCCCAGCTACTCAGGAGGCTGAGGCAGGAGAACGGCATGAACCCAGGAGGCGGAGCTTGCAGTGAGCCAAAATCACGCCACTGCACTCCAGCTTGGGTGACAGAGTGAGACTCCATCTCAAAAAAAAAAAAAAACCAAAGTTGACCTGGATTCTGCAAAAATGTGAATGTCCCAAAATACATAAAAAGAAGCTAAGAAATTCTTACAGCTTAAAGACCTGGCAGCGAAATAGAATGTCCAACTCATGGTCGAATCTTGGTTTTAAAACAAACTATAAAGGACATTATTGCAACAAACTGGGAAATTTGATTTTGGCCTCCATTTACTTTATTAGTGTTAAGCTTCCTGGATACAATAAGTATATTGTGGTCACACAGGAAAATGTAATTGTCTTTGTGAAATATCTGCTAAATATTTAATGGTGAAGTCTGTTGTGATGTTTTCCATTTATTTCTACCTAATATTCAAATGGTTCAAGAGAGAGTAGAGAAAAGGAAAAGAAGAAACAAATGTGCAGGATATACGGCTGTTTTTGGTACTATTTTTACAATGTCTCTAGTTTTGAAATTTTTTTATTTAAAAAAATCAGAGAAAGATTGAAGACATCACACATGTTTATAGATGCATACAAAAAAATGGGTTTCATAAAAGCCAAACTGGCAACATTGGATGTCAATCACCTTGGAGGGGTGGAATGAAACGATAGCATTAGATAGAGAAATAAATACTGTAACACTTTTTCTTTTCTATTTTTTTTTTATTATACTTTAAGTTCTAGGGTACACGTGCACAACGTGCAGATTTGTTACATATGTATGTATACATATGTAACATGTAACAAACCTGCACGTTGTGCACGTGTACCCTAGAACTTAAAAGTATAATTTTGAGACAGAGTCTCCCCTCTGTCACCCAGGCTGAAGTGCAATGGCATCATCTCAGCTCACTGCAACCTCCGCCTCCCGGATTCAAGCAATTCTCATGCCTCAGCTTCCTACATAGCTGAGATTACAGGTGCACACTACCATGCCGGGTTAATTTCTGTTTTTATTAGAGACAGGGTTTCATCCTGTTGGCCAGGCTGGTCTCGAACTCCTGACCTCAAGTGATCTGCCTGCCTTGGGCTCCAAAAGTGCTGGGATTACAGGCATGAGCCACCGCACACAGCCTAACATTTCTTATTCTATTTCATTCTGCCTTGTTGGCATTTGTTGCAATGAGAATGTACTACTTTTCATTTTTTGTACCAAAAAAATAAGCTTACATTTTGTAATTTAAATTCTCCACAGGTTATTCATGCACAAATCAAGATGAAGCATCAAATATCTCCAAATATCCCCAACTCTCCAGCCCCACGCCTGGAGACGCCCTGGATTTCCCCAGATCCAAAGGCCAAGCCTCCAGAGCCTTGGTCCCTGGGGCTGGATGCTAAGTATTTTGAATACCACCTACTATGAAATCCATTAATAAGTAAAATTGATGTGAAATAAAAACGAGTTCAGACCAGGTGTGATGATGTGCACCTGTAGTCCCAGCTACTCAGGAGGCTGAGGCAGGAGCATCGCTTGAACCCAGGAGTTTGAGGCTACAGTGAGCTATGATGGCACCACTGCACTCCAGCCTGGGTGACAGAGCAAGACCCTGTCTCTAAAAAACAAACAAACAAAACAAAGAATTCATCTTTAACTCCAGAGATTAATTTGTACATGTAAATGTTTTATAAAAGTTTACCATAATATCATACACTGGACCAAATGATACCACGTTTACATTCACTTGATCGCATCACTTACCAGAAGTTTACCAGGTTACCACACTCTGGACTCAGGAAATGCCAACTGAGTAGTGGGGAGAACAAGGAGAAAGAAGTAAAAAGAACGGAAAGGAATAATCTATTTCTTGATCTTTCAGAGCAAAGGTTCAATAGAAACTGCTTGATTTCAAATAGAAACTGTTTGATTTCAAGGTAAGTTTAAGTGAAAAACATCAGCTTAAGCACGTAAAGTTATAAATTAGTGGACATTATACATGTAATATCCATTACAAATCACCAAAGAGAAAAAAGATTTTAAGATCATATGACACATTTTTTTCTTACGCAGTTTTATTCATAATTTTTTTAATGCGAGTTCTAGATATACTCAGAACAGGATAAAAACAGGAGAGAAAATTTCCTCATTATCTTGGTAAATAGCATATATTGTGTAACCATAGTGCCATTTCTTCCTTGGACAGGTTTCTGTCATTAACAGAATACAGTATATGACAGTTTCTTAAGTATGTTAATTTTGAGGTCCAAATGAATAAAATATCCACGTCCAGGGTTAGCACAATTAAAGATGTTCACAGCTTCGTTCGTTGCTAACTGTGGAAGCATTATGGATCTTATGTCTACCAATTTGATGACTTTTGATAAGTGATACGCCCACATGGCCACCTCCCAGTGAAGATATAGAAGATTTCCACCATGTACAGTCGCAAGAGTTTTGTAGCTTACATATTTCTCAAGTCTGTTGACTTCTCTCCATGGCCAACAGAGCACTCTAAGTCTCCATCCTCTCTCTACCAGCTTCTCTGGTGGCTTACTAGGCATCACCCTAGGAGGGTGATCTTCTCAAAGCCTCATCTGGTCTGGGTACCACGCTATCTATAAAATACACTTCCTTCACTTCCTTTGATCTCCAGGTAAAGATGCAAATTCTTTCACAGATAATGATTCTCCATGGTGGCCTGGTTCCAGAGGCCTCTCATCTCACACTCTTTTACCGCAAGTTCTCTCTACCCCTCCACACAGCTGGCTGTCATTCTGTCCTGCCTGTGTGCCCAGTCCCTGCCACCCCCAGGATATTCCTCTGTGGCCCGTTGTCCTGGGGACTCTCCCCCTCCTGCAGCCTTTCTTCCTTTCTTCAAGGAAGAAATCGTACTCATCCTCTTGATCCCAGCCCAGCCATCACCTCCTCGGGCCAGCATCCATTTCCTGGTGTCTGCCCCGAGCAGCTCATATACATTTACCATATTCCGGTAAATGAAGCAGACTTCTAATGAGCAGAATCCTGGTTCCGTGTTTGCCCAGGCACCTGTCCCGTCACAGGCCAGCAGCCTGGCCCAGATATTACTTCATTGCAGGCAATTATAGACAAGGTAGAAGCACCTGGTTTTAAGGATGTTCTTTTTTTAATTTAACTTTTAAGTTCAGGGGGTACATGTGAAGATTTGTTATACAGGCAAACTTACGTCATGGGGGTCTGTCGTACAGATTATTTCATCACCCAGGTATTAAAAATATTAGTTATTTTTGCTGATCCTCTCCCTCCTCCCACCCTCCACCCTCTGATAGGCCCCAGTGTGTGTTGTTCCCTTCTGTGAGATTATGACACATTATTTTATTTTTTTATTTTTGAGACGAAGTCTCGCTCTGTTGCCTAGGCTGGAGTGCAGTGGCGTGATCTCGGCTCATTGCAACCTCCGCCTCCTGGGTTCAATCGATTCTCCGGCCTCAGCCTCCCAAGTAGCTGGGATTACAGGCAGGCACCACCATGTCCGGCTAATTTTTGTATTTTTAGTAGAGAAGGGGTTTCGCCATGTTGGCCAGGCTGGTCTCAAACCCCTGACCTCAGGTGATCTGCCTGCCTTGGCTGCCCATAGTGTTGGGATTACAGGTGTGAGCCACTGCACCTGGCCTAATTTTAAAAAGACAAATGCACATAAACTTACTTTTTTTACAGAAAAAAGTATCAGTCTAGGTTTTATACTTAATAGACACAAAATGTTGAAAGTGAAAGTACTGACAGCAGGCATTCATTGGTGGGAATATGTAGTAGCTAAATGTCTGTAACAGGCTACTTGCAACATATGGTTAAAAAAAACTTTTTTTTTTTTTTTTTTTTGAGAGGGAGTCTTGCTCTGTCACCCAGGCTGGAGTGCAGTGGCACAATCTCGGGCTCACTGCAACCCCCGCCTCCTGGGTTCAAGTGATTTGCAATTCTCTTGCCTCAGCCTCCCAAGTAGCTGCGATTACAGGCAGGCACCACCATGCCCAGCTAATTTTTGTATTTTCAGTAGAGAAGGGTTTTCACCACATTGGCCAGGCTGGTCTCAAACCCCTGACCTCAGGTGATCTGCCTGTCTCAGTCTCTCAAAGTGTTGGGATTACAGGCGTGAGCCACGGTGCCCGGCACAAAATGTGTTTTTAATTCAAAATTGCAGTAAAAAAAAAAAATACTTTACTATAATGGAGAAAATTTGAAAACTCTTCTAAGGGACACGAAAAGACACTTGAACAAAAGAAAACTTCAGTAGAGAAGCATACCTCATTACCAGATAAGAAAATACTTTTGTAAAGATGTCAGATCTCTCTAAATTAATTTCAAAATTCTAGGCAATCACAACAGAAATCCCAGTGAGATTTAGATTAGAATTTGATCAAACAATTCTAAAACTTGTAAGATTCAATATTTACAGAGTCAAAATAATTAATGGGGAAGAACTAGCTCTACCTGAGCTTAAATACATCATATATCTACAGGAATTACAACTATAGATGTATCTGTAATTGTCATACTAATTCTGGAGAAGAAATAAAAATGTTTATGATTTAGTATTTGTCTCTATACCTCCCTTTGAAATGTAGGAAGCTTCATAAGGAAAGGAGTTTTGTGTCTCTCTCTCTTTTAACTAATATAGCACAAATTCTTAGAAAAGTGCCTGGCAAAGTATTTGTTGGGTAAATAGATGAACAAAACACAGAATTATATTCTCAGTACGGAAACAGACAAACATAGATCCTCAGGAATTCTGAATATTGATAAAGTGTATTTCAAATTAGAAAAGAAACAACAGTGATAGTTAAGTGAGGTATGGGTGTGTTAATTAGCTTGATTTAATCATCCCACGTTGTATTCATATATCAAAACATCACACTGTGCCCCATAAATATATAAAATTGATTTGTTATTCAAAAGTAGTATTAGTATTCGAGATCAGCCTTGCCAACATAGTGAAACCTCGTCTCTACTAAAAACACAAAAATTAGCCGGACATGGTGGCACACACCTGCAATCCCAGCACTCTGGGAGGCCAAGGCAGGCGGATCACCTGAGGTCAGGAGTTTGGGATCAGCTTGGCCAACATGGTGAAACCCAGTCTCTACTAAAAATATAAAAATTAGCCGGGCGTGGTGGCACACACCTGCAATCCCAGCACTTTGGGAGGCCAAGGCAGGTGGATCACCTGAGGTCAGGAGTTCGAGATCAGCCTGGCCAGCATGGTGAAACCCAGTCTCTACTAAAAATACAAAAATTAGCCAGGCCTGGTGGCATATGACTGTAATCCCACCTACTCGGGAGGCTGAGGCAGGAGAATCACCTGAACCCAGGAGGGTTCAGCAAGACCCCATCTTTACAAAATTACATATAGATATGATAAAAAGTTGTGCCACTGCACTCCAGCCTGGGTGACAGAGCAAGACCTTGTCTCAAAAGAAGAAAAAAATAATAATTATATCTTCAGTATGTACAGAACTTATAAATCAGTGGGGAAAACAACAATAAACAACTAGCAAAGTGCATAAAATGAGAAATACGTTTTCTAAAAAATGTTTATTTTTTGAATAGGGTCTGGCTTTTGTCACCCAGGCTGGAGTGCAGTGGTGTAGCCTCAACCTCCTGGGCCCAAGCGATCCTCCTACCTTAAACTCCTATGTAGCTGGGACTATAGATGCATGCCACCACTCCCTGCAAATTTTTTAAATTTTTTTGTAGACACAGGGTCTTGCTATGTTGCCCAGGCTGGTCCCAACTTCTGAGCCCAAGGGATCATCCCACATCAGCCTCCCAAAGTGCTGGGATTACAGGTGTGAGCAACTATGCCTGACCTAAAAGGTGTGTAAGATCACGAATAATCAAAGAAACATTATCTAATGCAAAGATGTGAAATTATTCTACCATATTGGCAAAGCTTAAAAGTATAGGGAAAATTCAGTGTGAGTGAGAGTATATGAAAACGTACCCTCTCGCCCAGTTGGTTAAATTCTAAATTATACTTCATCATTTCAAGAAGGAAATTGGACAAGTATCAAAGTTTTAAATGCACATGGGCATACCCTTGGATTCACTAAATCCAATTCTAAGTATTTATCCTAAAATGATAATCAGTCAATTGCATAAAGACATGTTTATAAGGATGTGGAATAAAGCATTGCTCATATTATGAAAAATGAGAAGTACAAGAAATGTCTATTGATGAGTGACTAAAGTATGGTACATTCCTATAATGAATACTATTTTTTATCTTTTTTATTTTATTTTTAATTTTTTATTTTATTTTATTTATTTTTGAGACAGAGTCCCACTCTTTCACCCAGGCTGGAGTGCAGTGGCGCCATCTCAGCTCAATGCAACCTCCACCTCCCAGGTTCAAGTGATTCTCCTGCCTCAGCCTCCCAAGTAGCTGGGATTACAGGTGCACACACCACCATGCCCAGCTAATTTTTATATTTTTAGTAGAGATGGGGTTTCACCATGTTGGCCAAGCTGGTCTCGAACTCCTGACCTCAGGTGATCCACCTGCCTCGGCCTCCCAAAGTGCTGGCATTACAGGCATGAGCTACAGCGCCTGATGTATTTTTTTTCTTTCCAAAAATTTCAATAGCTGTTGGGGTACAAGTAGTTTTTGGGTGCATGGATGAATTTTTAGTGCTGAATTCTGAGATTTTAGTGCACCAGTCATCTGAGCAATGTACATTGTACCTAATATGTAGTTTTTTAGCCCTGGCCCCCTTCCATCCTCCCACTTCTGAGTCTCTAAAGTTCACATATAATGAATATTATTAATTGACATGAAAAAAGTCTCACTTGTTTAATGACTAAAGCAGGTTTCAAAATAGTTTGTCCATTATGATAACCATTTATTCAAAGTTGCATCTAAATTGCATGTATATGACCTGGCAGTTTCTTTCTCAGGGATATAACCAACAAAAAAAAAGGTGTTGACATGCTCACAAAAGACATGCACTAGAATATTTATAGCAGCACTATCGAGAATAGCCCCAAGCTGGAAACCACACAAAAGCCCATCAACAATAAAATGGATAAATAAATTATGATATATTTACACAAAGGGAAAGAATATACCACAACAATAGTGAATAAATGACAACCTTCTACAACCACATGGATGAACCTCACAAATATAATGTTGAGTCAAAGACGACAGATAAGGTAGAAAGCATGCTTCATGATTATATTTTAATAATAAAAAAAAACAGGCAAAAGAAACCTATGTCATTAGAAGTCAGAATACTAGTTAACTTGGGTTGGTGGAAGCAGGTTGGGACTAGAAGCAGATACAATGATAGCATCTGGGGTCACACCTGTAATCCAAACACTTTGGGAGGCTGAGGCAGGAGGACTGCTTGAGGCCAGGAGTTCGAGAATAACCTGGGCAACACAGCAAGGCCCTGTCTCTACAAAAATAAAAAATTAGCTGGGAGTGTTGGCATGCACCTGTACTCCCAGCTACTCACTCAGAAGGCTGAGGTGGGAGGATTGCTTCAGCCCAGGAATTTGAGACCAGCCTGGGCAACAAAGTGAGCTCCTGTCTCTGCAAAAATAAATTGAAAAATTAACGGTGTGGTGGTGCATGCCTGTGATCCCAGCTACTTGGAAGGCTGAGACAGGAGGATGGCTTGGGCACAGTATTTCAAGGTTACAGAAGCCTATGATTGCACTGCCACACTCCAGCCTGGATGGCAGAGCAAGACCCTGTCTCTACAAATAAAAATAAAAATAAAAATTAGCCAGGTCTCTACAAATAAAAATAAAAATAAAAATTAGCCAGGTTTGGTGGCACACGCCTGTGGTCCCAGCTATTCAGGAAGCTGAGGCAAGGGGATCGCTTGAGCCCACGAGTTCCAGGCTGGAAGAAGCTCCGATTGCACCAATGCACTCCAGCCCAGGTGACAGAGCAAGACCTTGTCTGTTAAAAATATATATATAGGCCGGGTCCAGTGGCTCACACCTGTAATAACAACACTTTGGGAGGCCGAGGCGGATGGATCACCAGGCCAGGAGATTGAGACCATCCTGGCTAGCACAGTAAAACCCCGTCTCTACTAAAAACACAAAAAATTATCTGGGCATGGTGGCAGGCAGCTACTCAGGAGGCTGAGGCAGAAGAATGGCATGAACCCGGGAGGCAGAGCTTGCAGTGAGCCGAGACTGCGCCACTGCACTCCAGCATGGGCGACAAAGCGAAGACTCCGTCTCAAAAAATACATATCTGTATCTATATCTATGTGTGTGTATATATATATGTGTATATATGTGTATCTGTATATATATATGTGTGTGTATATATATCTATGTGCGTGATATATATATCTAGGATGCTAGTAATGTTCTGTTAACTGTTAACTGAGTGCTGGTAACGTAGATATATTCAGTTTGTGGAAAGCTGTACACTTGTGATTTGTGCACTTTTTACATATATACACAAAGGGCATACATGCACAGAAAGCACATAAGATGGCAGGAAGGATGTCGGCAGAAATATTAATATTGGTGCCACATAGAAATGGGATTCTGCACGACTTTGGCTTCTTTTTGTGTGTATCATTCAAATTTTCCCAATTGAGTGTGTGATAAATTTATATACAAGAAAATACAAAGGAGAAATGAAAATGTCTACTGAACATTCAACTCAAGAAATAAGAAAAATCATCAAAAATGAAAAAGGAGAATGAATAAAGTAACAAAGATATGAGCTACAAAACCATCAGATCATACGGAGGTCATCTGAAAGTGATTGATACGCTTTCTCCCAAATGACCATTAAAGAACTCATGAATTTACACAAGACGACAAAGTGAAAAATGACACTTCAACCATAAGCCAAAGCCAAAGTCCTAGTGAAATTTCTGCTGATTTCACCATCACAGAGAATGGTTTGAAACCCTTTTTTTTTTTTTTTTTTTTTTTGAGACAGAATCTCACACTGTTGCCCAGGCTGGAGTGCAGCGGCACAATCTCAGTTCACTGCAACCTCCACCTACTGGGTTCAAGCGATTCTCCTGCCTCAGCCTCCCAAGTAGCTGGGATTACAGGCACCCGCCACCACGCCCAGCTAATTTTTGTATTTTTAGTAGAAACGGGGTTTCACCATGTTGGCCAGGCTGATCTCGAACTCCTGACCTCAAGTGATCTGCCCACCTCTGCCTCCTAAAGTGCTGTGATTACAGGCATGAGCCACTGCACCCAGCCTGAAAACTCATTTTAAAAACAGATGTATTGAAATCTTACTGACACACAATAAGGTTCATGTAAAGTGTACAATTTATAAGTTGATAAGTTTTATACCTGTATACACCTGTGAAACCATCGCCACAATCAACATGGTAAACACGTACATTACGCAAAGTGTTATATACATATAAAATATATATATTTATATATTTATAAATATTTATAATATATATAATTTATAAATATTATAAATATTTATTTTTTTGTTGTTGTTGTTTGTTTTTGAGATGGAGTTTCACTCTTGTTGTCCAGGCTGGAGTGCAGTGGCAATCCCTGCTCACCTCAGCCTCTGCCTCCCAGGTTCAAGCAATTCTCCTGCCTCAGCCTCCCGAGTAGCTGGGATTACAGGCATGCACCACCACAACTGGCTAATTTTGTATTTTTAGTAGAGACGGGGTTTCTCCATGTTGGTCAGGCTTGTCTTCAACTGCTGACCTCAGGTGATCCACCCACCTCGGCCTCCCAAAGTGCTGGGATTACAAGCGTAATCTCTCCCTTCCATTTCCTCATTCTCTCCTTTCACTCGTAAGAATTACCATAGTTTGCATTTCCTAGAAGTTTATAGAAGTAGAACTGTCCTATATGTACTTTTGTTGTCTGGCTTCATCTCAGCATAATTATTCTGAAATTCACCCATGTTGTGTCTAGGAATGGTTTTCTGAGTCGTATTCCATTGTATGAATACACCACAATTTGTTAATCCACTAACCTATTGATGGACATTTAACATGCTTTCAGTTTCTCACTATCATAAATAAAGCTGCAATTAGTAGTCATGTTTGAGTCTTTCTATGAATATATGCTTTTATTTATTTTGGTTAAATACCTAGAAATGTAATGTACATCATACAAAAAATGTATGTGTGTTATTTTTAAAACCACCAAACACCGTTAATACAAAATAGTTGTACCATTTTACATTCCCATCAGTCATGCATGAGAGTTCCAATGACTCTACATTGTCACCAGAACTTGGTACAGTCATTTTAACTTCAGACATTTTAAAAAGTATGTAATGACATCTCATTGTAGTTCTCATTTACATTTCCCTAATGATCAATGATGTTGAATATCTTCTCAGATGCTTATTTGCCATCTGTATATCTTTTTTGCTGTATATATTTTACCTATTTTTTATCTTGTGCTCATGTCTTTTACCCATCTTTAAATTGGTAGTCTGTTTCCTTATTATTAAATTTCAAAAGCTCTTCATATGCTTTAGATATAAGTCCTTTATAAGACATGTGATTGACTTTGGGAGGCTGAGGCAGGCGGATCACGAGGTCAGGAGATCGAGACCATCCTGGCTAACACGGTAAAACCCCGTCTCTAATAAAAACACAAAAAATTAGCCAGCTGTGGTGGCACATGCCTGTAGTCCCAGCTACTTGGGAGGCAGAGGCAGGAGAACGGTGTGAACCCGGGAGGCGGAGCTTAGAAGGGTGAGCCGAGATCACGCCACTGCACTCCAGCTTGGGTGACAGAGCGAGACTCCGTCTCAAAAAAAAAAAAAAAAGTAAAATTAATATAGGCAATTGACAAATTTTTTTTCTGAGTTCATGGCTTTTCTTTTCATTCTCTCAACAGTGTCTTTCAAAGAGAGAGCTCTTGGCTGGGCATGGGCTCATGCCTATAATCCCAGCACTTTGGGAGGCCAAGGCAGTGGATTACTTGAGGTTAGGAGTTTGAGACCAGCCAGGCCAACATGGTGAAGCCGCATCTCTACTAAAAATACAAAAAAATTAGCGGGTTGTGGTGGCATGTGCCTGTAATTCCAGCCACTTGAGAGGCTGAGGCATGAGAATCACTTGAACCCGGGACGTGGAGGTTGCAGTAAGCCAAGATCACCCCACAGAACTCCAACTTTGGTGACAGAGCAAAATTAAGTCTCAAAAAAAAAAAAAAAAAAAGAGAGGGCTCTTAATTTTGATAAAGTCTGGTATATTAATTTGTTCTTATTAATAATGCTTTTGGTGTCCTATTTTTAAAAATTTGCCTAACCTAGGGTTGCAAAGGTTTTCTTCTGTATTTCCTTCCAGAATTTTTATGATATCATGCTTTACATTTAAGTCTGTGATCCATTTTGAATTAAGTTTTGTGAGATCTAAGGATTGAAGTATGTATGTTTGCATGTATGCATATGATATGGTCAGGCTGTGTCCCTACCCAAATCTCATCTTGAATTGTAGTGCCCTTAATCCCCTAAACATGTTGTGGAAGAGACCAGGTGGGAGGTAATTAAATCATGGGAGCACTTACCCTCATGCTGTTCCCATGATAGTGAGTTCTCATGAGATCTGATGGTTTTATAAAAGGATTTTCCCCCTTTTGCTTGGCACTTCTCCTTCCTGCCATCATGTGAAGAAGGACGTGTTTGCTTCCCCTTCCACAGTGATTGTTTCCTGAGGCCTCCCCAGACATGTGGAACTGTGAGTCAGTTAACCTCTTTACTTTATAAATTACCCAGTCTTGGGCAGTTCTTTATAGCAGCATAAGAATGGACTAATGTAGCATGTATGTATGCATGTATGTGTTATGTATTATGCATGCATGTATTCCATATGGATAACTAATAGTTTCACCAGGTTTCACTGATAAAACTATGCTTTCTCCACTGAATTGCCTTTGCATCTTAGTCCAGGAATCAATTCAGTAGTCTTCCATTTCTGGGTAAGATAAAGTAAGCATGTTCCACCCTTGCTCTCCCCATGAATGCAGTGATAAAATCAGGGCAGAATGCATGGAGCAGCTATTCGAGAACTCTGAACATATACACTAACAGGTAGATTGGGAAAGATGAAAATTCACTAAACAACCAAACTGGTACTGAGTTTACCATTTCCTCCTTCTGGCATTTCTGAGATTGAATTCAATATCGCCTGAAAGTTGAACGTAGGTATTAGCAAAACAGGGAAGGCTCCAGGAGACACCTCTCATTCTGGCTTGATGAAAGGATACATGGTTTCCTAATACTCAGAATGTGAAAATCCCCTATGATTATTTCTTTCTTTTCCTTTTCTCTATCATCTTGCACCTCAGCCCCCAAATAATTCATAACAGCAGAAGCAGTCATGGTGGTGGGGACAGTAGGAACCTCAAACTCTGAGGAAGGAGAGCCTTACTCTCCAGTAAGATAATATGTGGTCCCAAATGGATGGGAAAAACTTCTGTTGCTTTTTCTGTGTTTCTGCCCTCTGTCTGCTTGGCCCCAACACAACTGTAGTTGCAGAAAGCATGCAGCAGATTGGGGTTAACTAAAGCTGCAACTTTCTAGCTGGAGAGCCAACAAAGGGAGTACCAAGAAAATGGAAAGTACTGATAAGATCATGGATAGGGAAAAGTTTGCTAAAGTAACTACTTTGAGTTGTTTATAAATATTTGGGCTCAATTTCATGAGTATATTGATTCAATCCTAATCAATCTATAAACTTTGAGAACTGAACAATGGAGTAGACAATAGCTTTGGTGCCAAACTAGTCACTGGCGTCACACACAGGGGACAGATCTGAATAGCAATGCAAAAGCTTTGGAAATTAACTGAAATTGGAACCATAACCAACATAAAATTGGTCAGAACTTGAGGCCTGGATCCAACCAGACTGATCGCCTACTAAAATAAAACCAAAAAAATTCTACATTATCCATGACCCTGAATCACGTAACAAAATACTCAAAATGTCAAGGATACAACTCTAAATTCCCAAAATACAATGAACCAAGAAAATCCAAATATGTTTGGGTGAAGGTAACCAACACATGGGATGCCAAAATGACATGGATGTTGGAATTATCTGGCAAATTATCTGGCAAAAAGGTAGCTACCATAAAATGCTCCAAAAAGCAATGGAGAACACTTTTGAAAAGAACAGGAAAACAGAAAGTCTCAGCAAAGAAGTAGAAGATACGAAGAATGACCATGTGGAAATTTTAGAACTTAAAAATACAATAACCAAAATTTAAAAAACACACTTAACCAGCTTTGCATGACATAACCGAAGAAAGAGCCAGAGAATGTGAACATAGACCTATACAAATCACGCAATCTGAACAACACAGGAAAAAAAGGAAGTTTGGGAAAAAATGTGCACAGAGCCTCAGGGGCCTGTGGAAAAATTCCAATACTATTTGTGTAATTACAGTCCCAAAGGACAGAAAAAACATATGATGCAGAAAAAATATTTTAAGACATAATGGCTGAAAACTTTTCAAATTTTGCAAAATGCAGACAGTCTCCAAATTAAAATGGTCTGACTTAGGATTTTTTGACTTCAAAATGGTGCAAAATCAATACTCAGTCAATAGAAACCATACTTTCAGTACCCATACAACCATTCTGTTTTTCACTTTCAGGACAGTATTCAATAAACTACATGAGATATTCAACACTTTATTATAAAATAGGCTTGTGTTAGGTGATTTTTCCCAACTATAGGCTAATATAAGTTTTCTGAAGATATTTTAGGTAAACTAGGCTAAGTTATGATGTTTGGTAGGTTAGGTATATTACATGCATTTTCAACCTAAAGATCCTTTCAACTTAAGGTTGGTTTATCAGGATGTAACTCCATCATAAGTCAAGAAGCGTCTGTATGTAAATCTATGGATTCAGTAAGCTCATAGAATCAGAAACAGAGTAAGTCCCAAGAAACTCACATGAAGACACATCATAAACTGATGAGAATTAAGATAGAAAAACATCTTGAAAGTAAACAGAAAAATGATGCATTGCTTGTAGAAAAGCAATGATTCACAGAACTGTGGATTTCTCACGTGGAATCATGAAGGCCAGATGGAAGTGGAAAAATATTTTGAAAGTGCTGAAAGGAAAGAATATTAAACCAAGAACTCTATATCCAGTGGAAATATCCTTCAGGAATGAAGGTGAAATAAAGACATTCTCACATGCAAGGAAACAAAGAGAATTTCTTGCCAGTGGACCTGCTCTAAAACAATTGCTAAACGAGGTTTTTCAGACAGAAGGTGAATGATACAGAAAGGAAACCTGAAACCTTGGGGAATGAAGAAAAACAAAATAAAAGGAAATATCTAGGTGAATTTAATAGACTATTCTTCTATTGAAATGTTTAGCAGGCTGGGTGCAGTGGCTCACGCCTATAATCCCAGCACTTTGGGAGGCCGAGGCAGACAGATCACCTGAGGTCAGGAGCTCAATCCCAGCCTGGCCAACAGGGCAAAACCCCGTCTCTACTAAAAATACAAAAGTTAACCGGGTGTGGTGGAGGGCGCCTGTAATCTCAGCTATTCAGGAGGCTGAGGAAGGAGAATAGCTTGAACCTGGGGGAGGCAGAGGTTGCAGTGAGCCAAGATTGTGCCACAGCACTCCAGTCTGGGTGACAGAGAGACACTCTGTCTCCAAAAAAAAAAAAAAAAGGAAAAAAAAGAAAAAAAAAACAGAAAACTAGAAATACAAAGGCACTTTCTCAACCTTATAAAGGACATCTGCACCAAACTTCAAACAAACTTAGAGCTAGCATCATTTTAATGAAAGATGAATGCTTTACCCCTAAGATCAGGAACAAGGAAATGGTATCCCCTTTCCAATTATATCCAAAATTGTTCTGGAGATTTAAGCCAGTGCAATAAATTTCCTCATGTATCACCTTCTCCTAAGCATGAGGTTATTTAACGTTTTGTTTGAAATTATTACCACATATTTTGCTCAAATGAAAACCTGTAAATAGCTCAACCTCTCAATTTCAATTTTACCTGAATACTACTGGGATCATCTGTAAACACTGTGATTTTTATACATTCAAGCGCTTTTTACATATAAATATGGATCTAATTTTCCCTGTATGTTAAAAAATCAATAAAAATTAGTTATTTATACTTACAAAAACTTAAAAAATATAAAAAAGGCATCCAGATTGGAAAAAAAGATTGTCTTTATTTACAGATGACATGGTAGTTGTATTAATTTGTTATTGCTGCATAAAAAATTACCACCATCAGTGGCTTAAACACGCATTGTCTTGTAGTTTGTCTAGGGCAAAAGTCTTGGTGTGGCCCAGCTGGCTCTTTTCTCACGGTCTCAAAAAGCTGAAATAAAAATGTTCAGTGAGCTCTATTCTCATCTGGAGGCTTGACCAGAAAAAAGAATCTGCTTTCAATGGGGTGGCTCACACCTGTAATTCCAGCACTTTGGGAGGCCAAAGCAGGAAGATTGCTTGAGCCCAGGAGTTTGAGAACAGCCTGGGCAACATAGTAAGACCCTGGCTCTGCAAAAAAATAAAACAGATTAGTCAAGTGTGGTGGTGCACACCTGTAGTTCCAGCTACTCATGAGGCTGAGGTGGGGAGAATTACTTGAGTTCTGGAGGTCGAGGCTGCAGTGAGCTGTGACTGCACCACTGTACTCCACCCTGGCAAAACAGCAAAACCCTGCCTCCAGGAAAAAAAAAAAAAAGAAAAGGAAAAAATAAAAGAATCTGCTTTCAAAAGCATAATACAAAATTAGGCACATATAAAAATATAGACTTTAAACATTTTGAGACAGTGTCTTGCTATATTGCCCAGGCTGGTCTTGAACTCCTGGCCTCAAGCAATCCTCCTGCCTTGGCCTCCCAAAGCACTGAGATTACAAGCATGACTCACTGTGCCTGGTCTAAAATATATAATTTTACTTCTTTTTAAGTATATAATTGTTTGTTAGTATATTTACCATGTTGTATAACTATTACAACTATCTGATACTAGAACATTTCCACCACCCCAAACAGAAACCTCATTCTTCCCATTTTCCCCTTCTCCCCATCCCAAACACTTATCTACATTTCACCTTGATGGGTTTGCCTATTCTAGATATATCTCATAATTAGAATCATACCATATACAGCCTTCTGTGTCCAGTTTCTTTGCCTAGCATAATGTTTTTAAGGTTTAGCCATATTTGTATTTTATTCCTTTAGTTGGCTAGTTAATATCCACTTTATGGATTATATCATCTTCTGTTTATCCATTCATCAGTTGATGGACATTTGGGTTGTATTCAATTTTTAACTATTGTCAATAATTCTGCTACAAGCATTTATATACAAGTATTTGTGTGAACATGTGTTTTCAATTCTTTTGTGTATATATCTAGGAGTGGAACTGCTGGATCCTATGGTAACTCTATGTTTACCCTTTGAGGAATGCCAAGTTGTTTTCCAAAGTGACATCATTTTACAGTACAATGCAAAAGGTTTACAATGTCTCCGCATCCTTTCTGAAACTTGTTGCTGTTGTTATCACCAACCTAGTGGGTTTTGATATTATTGTGGTTTTGATTTGTATTTCTCTAATGACAGATGACTGAGCATCTTTCATGTGCTTACTGACTACTTGTGTATCTTCTTTGGAGAAATATCTACTCTAATTATTTGTCCTTTTTTAATTTAGCTGTTTGTCTTTTTGTTGAATTGTGCAAGTTCTTTATATTCTCTACATTTGACCATTATAATGTACTTTACTTGCAAATATTTTATCCCATTCTGTGGGTTATCTTTTCACTTTCTTGATGGTGTCATTTGATTCACATACGTTTTAGATTTTGATGAAATCCAATTTATCTATTTCTTATTTTGTTGCTTGGACTTTCTGATTCACATTTAGGAAATTGCTGCCTAACCCAAGTCATGAGATTTACACCTGTTTCCCTCTAACAATTGTAACTTTAGCTCTGGCATTTGAAGTTAATTTTTGTATATGTTATGAAGTAGGTATCCAACTTTCTGTATTTTTGCATGTGGACATTCAGTTGTCTCAACATTATTTGTTGAAAAGACTGTTCTTTCCTCCATTGAATGGCCTTGGCACCCTTGTCAAAAATCAATTGACCAAAATGTATATAGGTTTTCTTTTTGGACTCTCAATTCTATTCCATGGCATATATTTTTATACTTATGCCAGTGCCACACTGTTTTGACTACTGTAGCCTTGTAGTAAGTTTTGAAATCAGAAAGTGAGTCCTCCAACGTTTTTCTCCTTTTTCAGATTGTCTAGTCATGGTTCCCTGAATTTCCATATGAATATTAAGATTAGCTTGTTTATTTTTGCACAAAGGCAGTTAGAATTTTGACAGGAGTTGCATTGAGTCTGCAGGTCAATTTGGGGACTCTTGTCTTTAGCTTTTTTTTAGATATATTTTCCTTCAGCTTTTTAAACATTTTACACATAGCTGATTAAAGTCTTTGTCTAGTAAGTTCACCATCTGGACTTCCTGAAGGGTAATTTCTGTTGATTGCTTTTTTACTCTTTGGGTAATATGGGCCACACTTTCGTGTGTGTGTGTGTGTGTGTGTGTGTGTGTGTGTGTGTTTGCATGTATTATAATTTTTTATTGAATGCTGAACATTTTTTTGACTATTATAAAGGAATAATTATGGAAATTAGATCGCCCTTGCTTAGGGGTTTGTTGTTGATGCTTATTTTAGTTATTGTTTGTTTGTTTAGCAACTTCTCTGAACTAATTTTGTAAAGTCTGTATTATTTGTCGTATGTGGGCATTGACAACTTTGTTCAGTTAGCTTAGTGGTCAGCTAATGAGTGGACTGAAATTTCCTTAAACTTATGAAACCCCAAATTTCCCAGTCTTTCCAGAAGAGCTCTGTTAGGTTTCTCCAACACTCAGTCAAGAAGTTGACAAGTGTGACATAGTCTTCACTTTCTACCTGCGTAGAAGCTGAAGGTCAGCAGAGGTGAGCACTTAGGGCCTCCTCAGGTCCTTCCTGGGCATACTCACAGCTCTGGGAATGAGTGTTAACTTCTAAATTCCCAGGAATATATTGGAGTTTTTCAAAGCCTGCCCCTCCCCCTGCCCCCATTTCCCCCAAAGCATTTTATTTCCCAGCCATTCGTCCTGAACTTTTTGATTAGTCTGTTGTTTGCTTCAACTGTTATCCATTGGCTTAAACAGCAGGAACTAAGTCATTTGCCTGCAAATGTTTTCAACTAACAACCCCTGGTAGTGGTTTCAGCACTGGGTGATTTCCAAGTTAGATGAGAAAAAGTCAAGCCTTTTGAGCTATTTTTTTCAAGGGAGCCATCAGACAAGCTAAAACAAATACTTACATTTTTTTGTGAATGAGGTTTATTCTATTACCAGTACTGGACATGTGGGCTATCATTTCAAGGCTATCACTTATCTGGGGAGCAGAGAATAGGGAAAATTAACATTCCACAAAGCTGCTTGTTCTGTTCTCACCAAAATTCAGCCATTTTTCTTGAATAAGTGCTTCCTGGGTTGCTGCCAGCTTTTGACTAGTTTCCAGAGTTCCAACAAGTTGATTCTGACCATTTTTTCAGGATTTTTTAATGGCTTTTATGGAAACACAGAATTTTAGAGTTCCCAATCTGCCACTTTCACTGATGTCACTCTCTAGTTAATCACTTCAAGTAGAATGTAAAAATCTTACCGGCACGTAAGTCCTTTTATTCTCTTCTTTTATACTGTAGTCGTCTTACACATTACTTTCATATACCTTAGAATCTCCATTAGGTAATGTTATAATTTTTATTTCCATCTGCCAAGTTTTTTTTTTTTTGAGACGGAATCTCAAAATACAAATATAACATCTTTTTCTGTATTTTTAGTAGAGACGAAGTTTCACCATGTTGGCCAGGCTGGTCTTGAACTCCTGACCTCAAGTGATCTGCCTGCCTCCGCCTCCCAAAGTGCTGCAATTACAGGCATGAGCCACTGCGCCCAGCCTGTATCCTACTTTTCTGAAAGTTTTTCTTTTTAAGCCAGGAATGAATGTTGGATTTTGTTAAATGCTTTTTCCGCATCTAACAAGATGATCATGTGGGTTTCCTTAGTCTGTTATGGTGAATTATGTTGTTTGATTTTAGAATGTTAAACCAACTTTCCATTTCTGAGATAAACGTTCACTTGGTTGTGTTGGATTATCCTTTTTATATAATATTTTTTCATTTGTCAAAATTTTGTAAAGAATATTTGTGGCTGTGTTCATAAGTTTTTGTATTTTTTTGAGACAGAGTCTTGCTCTGTCACACAAACTGGATTACAGTGGTGTGATCACAGCTCACTACAACCTCTAACTCCTGCCCTTAAGCAATCCTCCCACCACACCCTCCCAAAGTGCTGGGATTAGAGGTGTGAAGCACCACACCCGGCCAATTTATTCTCATTTTCTCTGATAATACAGTAATTTTTAAAGGATACATTAAAGGGTTAAACCCTAAATAAAGTATATCCAATTAATGGCAATGGTAATAGCTAACAGTTATAGGGTGCATACCAGACACCAGACTAAATGCTCTTCATGAATTATCTCAATTAATACAACAGATATACCAGAAAAGTCACTCAACCTCTACAAGCAGCACTACACTATTCATTATGTCGTTTCAAAATTTCAACTGACTATAGCTGGCAATTTCAAGCAATTATCAGCCATTCCCTGGTCACAGTGTTCATGACCCAGGTCAAATTTCACCTTGAAAACTCTTGCAAACACGTTCACAAAAATGTCCAACAGAGACAGGACACTCAATGAGGAGTTTTCTTCACACTGCTTGAAAGCATTCCTTATTTATTGCATGTTTCTCATTTCAGTCATGTTTTAGCATTCTATCTGTCTAATCCATCCATCCACCCCTAAGCAGCTGTGTAGCTGGTTCATCTCTTAATATGACTCTGATGTTAGGACTTAAAGCCTGCAGGGACCTGAAAATGACATGGCCACCTCCCAGGTGCATGAGAATATTTTTGGAGACTGCTGGCATCACATGCAACCTTCTCCCACTCACTCAACTTCACTCAACTTCTCTGTTTTAATTCACTACAACTCTTACCATGCAAGAAACCAAGTATGCCTGTCGGTCTATGTAATAGATGGAGAAGTATTATAAATAGGGTATTTGCTACTGAAACATAGTATGTGAAGAGCAGTGCAGATAGTTAGAAATAGTGCACATTGTTTTTTATTAATTTGATGAGTTCTCCAACAGAGTCAGAAAATCCAATAGTCAGACAAAGAGAAGATTCCACTTAGGTTCCACAGCCCCATGCCAGCTGGATACCAGTCAAGCCCCACAAATCAGCAAACGCCAAGCTTCAATGAAAATGAAAGAGTAAACATGGGGCCTATGAGAAGACACTGCAACACACAGGAAGGAAAACATTGTCCCAATTCTCAAAGAAAGAGCCTATTCCATCTTAAGAAACAGAGGTAGGCTGGGTGCAGTGGCTCATACCTATAATACCAACACTTTGAGAGGATCATTTGAAGCCAGGAGTTCCAGGCCTGCCTGGACAACATAGCAAGACCCCGTCTCTACGAAAAATATAAAAATTAGCTGAGCATGGTGGTGCGCATCTGTAGTTCCAGCTGCTCAGGAGGCTGAGGCAGGAGGATCGCTTGAGCCCATGACTTCTCATTTACCTGGGCGGTGACCGTGTCTGTTTTCAGTTCCCTGCAAGCTTCATGTCCTAGCATCAGAGTCATATTAAGAGAGAAACCAGCTAGACGGCTGCTCAGTGGGTTGGTGGATGGATGGATGGATGGATGGATACATACATTAGATTAGATAGATAGATAGATACATAGATACATAGATAGATAGTGTTAAAGTTTGCTTGAGCCCTGAGCCTCACCCAAGGCTGCAGTGAGCTATAAAGCCATGGCACTCCAGTCTCGGCAACAGAGCAAGACTCTGTCTCAAAAAGAAAAGAAACAAGTAAATTTTAGAAACCATGTCGATGGGGTCACCCTAAAAGGATGCAGGAAGACATGGCCTTTGTGAGACTGGGGCAGATCACTGCAAAGAGAGCACAGCATAGTGACAGGGAAGCCACAAACAAGAAAATAAGGAGAGAGGAATGAAACATCCAGCAGCTGAATAAAAATGTACAACAGAGGCAATAAAGACTAGATGTTTTCCTGAAAAATAAACCAAAGTTTTGATATAAGAGAAAAACTAGAAGAGCTCTCCCAGAATGCAGACGGAAAGCACAAAGACATAAACATGTTGATAAATGTGTATTAAATTATGCAGAGCAAAGAATGAAGATGCAACCTAAGAATTATAGGTGTTCCTTGCTTTTACACTGTTGGTGAGAGTGTAAATTAGTTCAACCATTATGGAAGACAGTGTGGCGATTCCTCAAGGATCGAGAACCAGAAATACCATTTGACCCAGCAATCCTATTACTGGGTATATACCCAAAGGATTACAAATCATTCTACTATAAAGATACATGCACATGTATGTTTACTGCAGCACTATTTACATTAGCAAAGAGTTGGAACCAACCCAAATGCCCATGAATGGTAGACTGGATAAAGAAAATGTGGCACATATATACCACGAATACTATGCAGCCATAAAAAAGAATGAGTTCATTTGCAGGGGCATATGAGTCCTTCGCAGGGGCATAGTTGAGCTGGAAGCCATCATTTTCAGCAAACTAACACAGGAACAGAAACCCGAACACCCCGTGTTCTCACTCATAAGCGGGAGCTGAATAATGAGAACGTATGGAAACAGGGAGAGGAACATCACACACTGGGGCCTGTCAGGGGCATGGGGGCAAGGGGAGGGAGAGCATTAGGACAAATACCTAATGCATGCAGGGCTTAAAACCTAGATGACGGGTTGATAGGTGCAGCAAACCACCATGGCACATGTATACTTATGTAACCTGCACGTTCTGCACATGTATCCCAGAACTTAAAGTAAAATTTTAGAAAAAGAATTATAGATGCTCCAAGAAATAAGCCAAACCCATAGAAGAGAGGATATCATAAGAAAAATGCTTAAGAAGTTTTTTCCTGAACTGATTAAAGAGTAAGTATGAAGTTCAAAGTGGATCACAACTTGGCGAAATCAATGAGAAGAGACTCACAGGTAATAGTTAACATTTTTGAAATTTATGGGTGGAGGGGATAAAATCACTGCAATGTACAAACAAAACAAAAATGCAAGCCCCTTGGATGGACCCTAAGAGGAATCAAAGCTGCAAGTGTTGGAGTCAAGTCCTTCAGCTGATGGGAGCACTGTCCGTGGGCATTTCCAGCTGTGACCCAGTAATGGCTATATCCAGGGAGATTAGCAATAGGAATTTTTCTGTCAGTGCAAGACATTCATAGGAGAGGGCCATCTTGATGATGAACGATGAGAAAGGGAGAAAAATGACAGCCGTCAGGCAAGAAATAAAGAGAATCTGGGCTCACAGACATGGGAGAAACACCTCTGCAGAGTCTGGGAGGCTTAAGTTCCCAAAGAGTGAGTGACAGACTGTCAGAAAAATGCTTCCTGGTGACTGTTATTAGAATTGCATTTTTTTATTTCAATTTTTTTAGATTCAAAGGATACATGTGCAGGTTACATGGGTATATTGTGTAATGCTGAGGTTTGAGGTACAATTTTATCCATCACCCACGTAGTGAGCATAGTACCCAATAGGAAGTTTCTCAACCCTTCCCCACCTCCCTCCCTTTCTCCTCTAGTAGTCCTCAGTGTCTGTTTCTTCGGTCTTTATGTACACATGTACCCAATGTTTAGCTCCCACTTATACATGAGAACATGCAGTATTTGGATTTCTCCTTCTGCATTAGTTCAACCTAGCATGATAGTCTCCCAGGTGCACCCATGTTGCTGTAAAGGACAGGATTTCATTTTGTTTTTTGAGATGGAGTCTCACCATTGCCAGGCTGGAGTGCAGGAGTGCGATCTTGGCTCACTGCAACCTCCACCTCCCGGGTTCAAGCAATTCTCCTGCCTCAGCCTCCCAAGTAGCTGGGACTACAGGTGCACGCCTCTACGCCCAGCTAATTTTTGTATTTTTCTAGAGATGGGGTTTCACCATATTGGCCGGGATGGTCTCCATCTCTTGACCTCATGATCCACCCTCCTCGGCCTCCCAAAGTGCTGGGATTACGGGCATGAGCCACCCTGCCCAGCCAGGATTTTGTTCTTTTTTATGGCTGCATAGTATTCCATGGTGTATGTGTACCACATTTTCTTTATCCAAATCCACCGCTGATGAGCAGCTAGGTTGATTCCATGTCTTTGCTATTGTGAATAATGCTGCAATGAACGTAACGGTACATGTGTCTTCCTGGCAGAACAATTTATTTTCCCTTGGGTCTATATTCTGTAATGAGGCTGCGGGGTGAAAGGACACTTCTGCTTTTAGTTCTTTGAGAAATCTCCAAACTGCTTTCCACAGTGGTTGAACTAACTTGCATTCCCACCAAAAGTGTATGAGCGTTCCCTTTTCTCTGCAGCCTCATCAGCATGTTATTTTTTGACTTTTTAACTAGTGTGAGGAGGTATCTCATTATGGTTTTGATTTGCCTCTCTCTGGTGGTTAGTGATGTGGAGCATTTTTTCATGTTTGTTGGCTGCCTGCATGTCTAGGATGTAATCCCCAGAGAGCAGGCCCTATGGGATGCCGTCTTCACTTCTGTCCCCAGCAGCTGGCGCAGATGGTCCTTGTATAACTACAAGTATAGGACCCCATCTTACCTCTAAGGAAGTGTTCTGGGAAGGGACAGAGCAGGGAGTCTTTACAATGACGAAGAGAAACGTCCTGTCTGAAAATTTGTTCCTACCCAGTAAAGAGAATAAGCAATGATTTCACAGCTTATTTTCCAATCCATAGTGCAGCTAAGGGTGGAGGCATAGATGAGTTGGCCCTGTTGTCCCATTAGCATCACAATAATCCCCCTTTTTAAAATCTTACTTTAAGTTCTGGGATATCTGTGCAGAACATGCAGGTTTGTTACATAGGGATACATGTTGACCCAGCAATCCCATTACTGGGTATATACCCAAAGGATTATAAATCATTCTACTATAAAGACACGTGCACCCATATGTTTATTGCAGCACTATTTACAATAGCAAAGACTTGGAACCAACCCAAATGCCCATCAATAATAATCCCCATTTCTTATGCATAAATGCATTCCTGGATATGACTTGGAGGAAGGAGGCGGCAAAATGCTTTCTCCATTACTGGCAGGGGACATTTTTGCAGACTGTTGCCTTTAATAAAATAGTTTTTTTCCATTATGTGGACTTACATAAAACTGTCTCTGAGAAGTGTAGTTTTTCCTTGGGAGGTGAGTGAATGTCTGCAAGTGTGTGCATATTCTCTCCAATATCTACTCCTGGGGGATTAGAGGAACACAGAGAGAATAAAAAACGTATGTTGATTTCAACAAATGCTGCTGGAACAACTGAATGATCGTACACAAAGAAATGAACCTTTAAAAAGGTAAAGAAGAGAGGAAGAAAATGAACCTAAATATAGAACTTATACCTTTTTATTAATTTGGGTTAATGAAAATTAATTCAAAATGGGGCTTGGTGTTGTGTGCCTGTAATCCCAGCTACTCAAGAGGTTGACAGGGGAGGATTGCTTGAGCCTGGGAGTTCAAAGCTGCAGTATGCTATGTTGCATGTGTGATCAGCTACTGCACTCCAGCCTGGGCAACATAGTGAGACCCCGTCTCAAGAAAAAAAAAAGTAAAAGCAAAATGGATCATAGGCCTTAATGCAAAACACAAAACTATAAAACTTCTAGAAGAAAACACAGGAGAAAGTAGAGGTGACCTTGTGTTTGGTGGTGAGCTTTCAGATAAAACACCAAAAGCATTATCCCTGAAAGAAAAAAAAATTACTAGTTTGGACATTATTAATATTTAAAAAGATACTTTTAAGAGAATGAAAAGATGAACCACAAATTGGGAGAAAAATATTTGAGAACGCATATCTGATAAAGGACTTGTAGTCAAAATATACTAAGAAATCTTAAAACTCAAAAATGAAAAAAACAAAGAATCTCATGGGAAAAGTGGTCAAAAAATTTGAACATACTCCTCCGCAAGAAAAAATATACGGATGGCAAGTAAACATATGAAAAGATGCTCAACAGCGCTCGTCATAGAGAATTGAAAATTAAAACAAGATACCACTACACACATATTAGAATGACTAGAACATGTTTTAAAAGACAATAATAACTGCTAGCAAAAATGTGAAGCAACAAGAACTTTCTTGATGATGGGAATATAAAATGGTATAGTCACTTTGGGAGACAATTTAGAAGTTTCTTACAAGGCTAAACGTTAATCTTATCACATGATTCAGCAAACAGGGTCTCAGGTATTTACTCAACTCATTTGAAAACACTATGTCCACACAAAAATCTACATGCAAATGTTTATAGCAGCTTTATTCAGAATCACAGAAAGGTGGAAGCAATTAAGGTGTCCTTTAATAAGTGAACGGATAACAAACTGTGGTACATCTATGAAATGGAATATTATTCAGTTATAAAAAGAAATGCCATATTGATATGGTTTGGCTTCATGTCCCCACCCAAACCTCATCTCGAATTCTCATCCCCAGGTACCACAGGAAAATGGAATACTATTCAGTTATAAAAAAGAAATGCCATATTGATATGGTTTGGCTCTGTGTCCCCACCCAATGCTCATCTGGAATTCTTATCCCAAGCTGTCAAGGGAGTAACTTGGTGGTGATGACTGGATCATGGGGGTGGTTTCCCCCCTGCTGTTCTTGTGATAGTGACTGAGTTCTCATGAGATCGAATGGTTTAAAAGTGTGTGGCAGTTTCCTCATCACACGCTCTCTCCTGCTGCCATGTCAAGAAAGTCCTTGCTTCCCCTTCACCTTCCACCATGACTGTAACTTTCCTGAGGCCTCCCTGACCATGCAAAACTGTGAGTCAATTTAACCTTTTTTATTTATACATTACCCAGTCTTGGGTAGTTCTTTATAGCAGTGTAAAAACAACTAATACAAATTATCAAACCACAAAGACACGGATTGATCTTAAATTCATATATGTAAGTGAGAGAAGCCAGTTTGAAAAGGCTACCTACTGTATGCTTCCAATCACACAATATTCTGGAAAAGGCAAAACTATGAGGGATAAAGGGAAAGGTTGAAGAGGTGGAGCAGAGGCATTTTTCAGGGCAGTGAAACTATTTTGTATGGAACTGTAATTGTGGATACATGACAATATGTATTTGTCAAAACCCATCGAACTTTGGCACAAAGAATGAATCTTAATGCATGCAAATTTTAAAAAATGATCTAGGAGGTCCATGGAATCCCAGGATGGAATACAGAATGTGACAAATCAATCTGTGTTACAAATGGTATGACACAAACTCACTGAAGGGGTTCGGAGAAAAGTGCTGACTTAAGTAACTTTGGAAATGGCTGGGTTCTAGAAAACTCACTGCAAAGGAACTATACATAAGCGTTTTAGTTGATAAGGTTGTCTCCTATGGGTAAATTGGTTAACAATTCTGATATTACTGTACATGTAAACTAGACCTAAACAAGCAAATAAATGGTGGATGGTAGGAGCCAGATTGCAGTACTGAAGTGGGGGTTTCCAGTAAACAAGGGGAGAATTCTAGGATGACCATATAATAATAGCTTACAGTTGGAGACATCAGTGTAAACCTATGTGTTGTTAGTGTTTTTTAGAGATGGGTTATCACTCTTTCACCCAATCTGGAGTACAGTGGTGTAATCATAGCTCACTGCAACCCTGAACTCCTGGGCTCAAGAGATCCTCCTACCTCAGCATTCTGAGTAGCTGGGGCTACAGGGGCATGCCACCACACCTAGCTAATTTAAAAAAATAAATTTAAGGGGTCTTGTCACCTTGCCCTGGCTGGCCTTAACCCCATGTTTAGTTCAGTATAGATACAGATGGTTACATCTAGAAGTATAGATATGTGTACATACATAGTTTAGTATATATACATATATTTCATTATTCCGTCAGCTGAGGGGACCTAGAAATAACAATGCCTCAGTAGCAATACACAAGATGAGCCTGGAACATCTTTCAGTGCCAGAAAGAAAGTTCTCAAAACACAGGAGCTAACAGTTCCCAATGGCCAAGGGTGCAACACTTTGAGCAATAAAAGAAAAAAATTTGTACTGGATCATAACCCAAAGTATAAAATAAGTATCCATAAGTCCATACTTATGAAAATACATGATCAAACTAAGGAAGGGAGGGAGGGAGGGAGGGAAGGAAGGAAGGGAAGGAAGGGAAGGGAGGGGAGGGAGGGAGGGAGGAAGGGAGGAAGGGAGGAAGGGAGGGAGGGAGGGAGGGAGGGAGGGAGGGAGGCAGGCATCTCCCATATACAAGAATTCCATAATTTATAGGTAATCTGCTCTCATGGAGCAGGAGCATAACTCCTGTTTCTTAAGTGTAGTCTGTGCAGTGACTTTCTCCCAAAGGATACAGTACGGAAAGAGGGAAAAGTTGTAACTTCACGGTAGAGAAACCTGACAAACACACACTCCCTCCGCCCCGGGTGATCAAGGTCAACATCAACGGTGACAGTCATGTTGACAGTGTAAGCCTTTGATACAATGTGATGAAAATGGCCCTTCCCCTCTGTGATCTTCCTCCCCTACACCCATCACCCCAGTCTAATCATGAGAAAACCGTCAGATGAATCCCACTTGAGACAGTCTACAATATACATACCCAATACTTTTCAAAGCTGTCAGGATCATCGAAAATAAGAAAAGTCTGAGAAACTGTCACAGCCAAGGGGAACTAAGGAGACAGGACAAGTAAATGCACCATTGCCAGGCACAGAAGGACAAACACCACATGATCTCACCCACAGGTGATCTGAAAAGGTTGATCCCATAGAAGTTGAAAGTAGAACAGTGGTTACCAGAGGTTGGGGAGAATTGGGGGATAGGGGTAGGGAGAGGCTGGTTGGTATAGTCACAGTGAGATGAGAGGAATAAGTTGTGTTCTATTGCACAGTAAAGTGACTGTAATTAACAATAACATGTTGTATATTTCCAAAGAGTTACTAGGTTGGTGCAAAAGTAATTGTGGGTTTTGCCATTGACTTTTAATGGTGAAACGCAAAATTGCTTTTGCACCAACCTAGTAGAAGAAAGGACTTTTTAAAATGTTCTTCCAACAAAGAAATGATAAATGTTTGAAGTGATGAATATGCTAATTACCCTGATTTGATCAATACACAATCCACAAACGTGTAACATTACACTGTAACCCATAAATATGAGTTATTGTATCCATTAAAAAATAAAATACAATTTTTTAAAAAGGGGCACGTCCTTTCATCTTCCCAAGAGGTACTTCCTACCTCCTGTCCTGCCTGGACATGGTCTCAGGAGTCTTGGAGAGCAAGGAAAAATGCAAAAAAAACAAACAAAAAAGGTACCGTTATATCCTAAAATGAGATCCAAGCACAGAAAAAGGACATTAAGTACAAACCCGAGGAAATCTGCCTAAATCATGAGCCTTAATAATAATGTATCAAAGTGGTTCATTAACCGCAGCACATGTACCATACTTAAGTAAAATGCTAATGGGCGATACTGCGTGTTGGGGATATGGGCACTCTGTGCTATCTTTGCAATGTTTCTGCAAATTCAAAACCGTTCTAAAAAAAGTTTATTCTTAAAAAATTTATTCTCATATTGTCTCCCCCATCTGTGCCCTCTCCCTAAAAGATGGCCTAAAAATGCAGAGAGAGAGAGAGAATCATGGCTTAAGCATCCTGCTTGCTGATCCCACATACATGACCACAGACACCTGTTGGTCTCCAGGGGGATGTGTCTTGTCACCCGGTCGCAGGTGTGCACTGGCTGGCCAATAATCCTGAAGTTCAGAACTGGTGCATTTGGGCTCCTTCTAGTTGGTGCAATGCTTTCAGGATTCCTGGTATCTGCCCTGAGTGTTTGGGCTTCCTCTCAGCTCTGTGTGGCTGCAGATCGCTGGGTCTCTATTTTGCCCTCTCTCTAGACCTGGACCAGCAGGCCACGTCCATCCTCTGTTCTGGAAACACCCTGGCATCCAGCGCTTCCTTCAGTTACCATAAAGCTATTGAGTGAGACTCAGGAAAGCTACCTTGTTGCGCTCTCTACTCATTTAACTTGCAAGCAGTATTCTGAGCAGGTGCTCTGTCCGGTGGGCTCCCAAGGTCTCCATGGCGGGGCAACGCAGGAGCCCCTGTCCCTGGTATTCACATCAAACACCCCCTGGGGACCAATCCCAGAGAGAAGGATGCAGGAATTCTTCCAGTTCTCCTGCCTCTTTCTCATTTTGCCCTTCTCTTCTCCAACTTTGAATCAGAAAGTAGAAGTTTCCTTTACTTCTGTTTCATAGCCTCCTTCTTTCTGGCTCCATCCTCAAAATTAAGCCTTAAAAGTGTCCGAGGCATCGTCTTTACATTAGGAAAATAATTTTTAAGCCTTAAAAGTGTCAGAGGCATCTTCTTTACACTAGGAAAAGAATTCAAAAATCTGAGTCTTCCCTGTTAGGCTTTAATTTTGCAAGCTTTCACTGCCCGTGAAGCATGGTTTTAAAGTGTAACGTCTCCTTAAGAAGTCAAATGACTGTTGTTATCTTGCCCTGGGATAAAAAGTCTCTTGACTTAAGCTCAGTTGCAATCAAATACCAAGGGGCTGAGCTTGGTGGCTTGTGCCTGTAATCCCAACACTTTGGGAGGCTGAGGCAAGTGGATCACCTGAGGTCAGCAGTTCGAGACTAACCTGGCCAACATGGTGAAACCCTGTCTCTACTAAAAATACAAAATTAGCTAGGCACAGTGGTGCATGCCTGTAATCCCAGCTACTCGGGAGGCTGAGGCAGGAGAATCCCTTGAACCCGGGAGGCGGAGGTTGCAGTGAGCCAAGATCACGCCATTGCAGCCACTGCACTCCAGCCTGGGCAACAAGAGCAAAACCCCATCTAAAAAAAAAAAAGAAGAAAGAAAAGAAAAAAAAGGGGAGAATTAACAAGCACTAGTTTGATATTTGCCAAAATATTATTCCCATGGCTTACTGCTGGGGTAGTATGATGAGTTCTATGGGCTGGCTGGGTGGGAGACCAGGTTGGCTAAGGAGGGGTAGGACCTTTGCCCTGGGAAGACCTGAAAAAAGAAGCACTGGCTCTAAGAAATAAGGGGGATTGGGGCCGGGCACGGCGACTCACCCCTGTAATCCCAGCACTTTGGGAGGCCGAGGCGGGTGAATCATGAGGTCAGGAGTCCCAGACCAGCCTGGCCAACGTCGTGAAACACCACCTCTACTAAAAATACAAAAAAATTAGCGGGGCATGGTGGCAGGCACCTGTAATCTCAGCTACTCAGGAGGGTGAGGCAGGAGAATCACTTGAACCTGGGAGGCAGAGGTTGTAGTGAGCCGAGATCACGCCACTGCACTCTAGCCTGGGTGACAGTGCAAGACTCTGTCTAAAAAAGTAAAAATTAAAAAAATAAATGAGAGATTGGCTGCCCTGAGACAGTGAAACGTGGCTGAGAAACTCACCAGCCAGGGGGCCCAAGAATAGAATTCAAGAGGTCCACAAATTTGGATGGGAAAGAATATACCTTTATTTCCATTATCCTATAAATGAAATCTAGCATTTTCTTCAATTAGGAATGCAAGCCACAAGGCACCGTGGAATTAGCAATGCCCGACTGTGCCACTATTTTACTATCATGTTCCCACTGTCCCAATTACTTTGAAATGTTGTTTATGCTTACCCTAACAGCACTTCAAAATTATGATTATTATATCTACCAATAGCCCTTATTATTTAATACATCAACAAGGAAGCACATGTGTTATTATATCAACACATTTGTTCTGTTTAGTATTTTTGATACCATGCTTATGTATAATACATTTCCCTTTGTTGTTACCTCAAGTATTCTATTTTATGCATTTAGAAACATAATTCACAGGCCTCACCAGACTGCCAAAGGGATCCATGCACCAAAAGTACCCTTAAAATATATTTTTTTCTGACTCTAAGAAGATTTCTTTGTACATTGTAATTTTTCCTGACATTGAAATTCTCCAGTTACTCCCAAGCCTTCGGTAAAATCTGATTTATATACATATGCTGTGTGTTAATCGGCTTGTGGAGAATTGAGAGAGGATGGAGTAAAACAAATTTCACCCTCCCTACCCACCTCCCAACCGCAGAGGCTGGTGACTTGGTAGCAGCCACATATTGAAAGAAGATGGTAGATCCAGAGTCCCAGATGTAGACCCAAAGTGAAGCTGCAGAGGGCTAAGATGGTACAAAGCCCAGTTAGTTTAGGAAAAATGTTAAGAGATAAACACTCTTCAAACCTAATAATGATCAGAGGTATCCACAGGATCCTCAGATTGCTGGAAGGCATCTTATCTTGACTTCCCCTAGAATCCTACTTTTCCATTTCACCCAGCAAGACACCAGAAGATCCCAAAGAGGTGCACTGCTAGGACCAGGCAGCAAAAGGACCCAGCATGATGAAGAAGAAGTGTGGTAGTTTTAAAATATGGCCCCTGATATAATTTGGCTATGTCCCCACCCAAATCTCATCTTGAATTGTAGCTCCCATAATTCCCACATGCTGTGGGAGAGACCCAGTGGGAGATAATTGAATCATGGAGGGGGTTTCCCTCATACTGTTCTCGTGGTAGTGAGTAGGTCTCAAAAGATCTGATGGTTTAATAAATGGGAGTTCCCCTGCACAAGTTTTTTTGTTTTTTGTTTTTGTTTTTGTTTTTGCCTGCCACCATGTAAGACATGCCTTTCACCTTCTGCCATGATTGTGAGCCACACCCCCAGCCACATGGAACTGTGGGTCCATGAACCCTCTTTTGCTGTATAAATTACCCAGTCTCAGGTATGTCTTTATCAGCAGCATGAAAACAGACTAATACAGTCCCCAAATTCATTCAGCCTCCTTCTGTTGAGATGTGGTGTCTATGCCTCCACTCCCTGAATCTAAGAGGATTTGCACTGCTTTGACCCCTAGAGTATGGCAGAAGCAATAGCTTACAAGGTTAAGTCCTAAAATGCCAACCGGGTTCCATCTGTTTCTCTTGGAAGGCTCACTGAGATGCTCCCTTTTAGGATGCTCTTCTTACAACCCAGATACCAAGCTGTCAGAACACAAGCCACATGGCAAAACCATATGTAGATGCTCCCAGCTGAGCTAGTCCTTCAGCCATCCCATCCCAGGCACCTGACATGGAAGTGATCAAATAATGTCAGCCCCCAGCCATCTGCGTTTCTCCAACAGAGGTACCAGACATCTCGGAGCAGATACAAGCTGTCTCTACTGAATTCCTGACCTCGAGATTCCACAAGCGCAGGATGGTTGTTGGTTTATCCCCCCGAGTTTGGGGCGGTTTATTACAAAGCAATAGTAACTGGACTCAGAGACAAAAAGTTCAGGAAGAGGCTCCTGTACGGCCACATGGTTCATGGATGGAGAGCTGAACGGTGCTGATGGGAGAGACTGAGGAAGGGGCACATAGTGAAACAGGACTGAAGGTCAACTTGTGTCTCTCCAGTTCCCTTTGCACTGTGATGAGTAGAAATGACTTGTACCCAGAGTAGTACTGTCTCATACGGTCTGCTAACAGCAAGACTATTTAGGGCATGAACTCTATTGACTAATCCTCTCCCTTACCCCACTTTCTCAATAGGAGCAAAATCCTCAAATTAAAATTTGGTACAGGTCAATGCAGTGGCACATATCTGTAATCCCAGCAGTTTGGGAAGCCAAGGTGGGAGGATTGCTGGAGGCCAGAAGAATTCAAGACCAGCCTGGGCAACATAGCAAGACCCTGTTTAAATTAAAAAAGACCCTGTTTCATTAAAAAAAAAATTAATTAGCCAGACATGTTGGCATGTACCTGCTGTCCCAGCTACTTCGGAGGCTGAGGTGGGAGAACTGTTTGATCCCAGAAGTTCAAGGCTGCAATGAGCTATGATCTCACCACTACACTCCACCTGGGCAACACAGCAAGACTCTGTCACTTAAAAAAAAAATTAATACAAACACCAGGAGTGTGTTAGATGAATTCAGTCTCTCTCAGTGATTCCAATTTTTTCCATGAAAGGGTTTCTAATGAAGGACAATTACAGGGTCATAGCCCAAAGCAGCCCCGCCACAAGCAAGAACCATCTTTAAAGTCCAATATTTTTGCCTTAAAAACTAGCACTCCGGCTGGGCGCAGTGGCTCACACCTGTAATCCCAGCACATTGGGAGGCCGAGGCGTGTGGATCATGAGGCCAGATCAAGACCATCCTGGCTAACACGGTGAAACCCCATCTCTACTAAAAATACAAGAAATTAGCCGGGCATGGTGGCGGGCACCTGTAGTCCCAGCTACTCGGGAGGCTGAGGCAGGAGAATGGCGTGAACCTGGGAGGCAGAGCTTGCAGTGAGCCGAGATCGCGCCACTGCACTCCAGACTGGGAGAGAGAGCAAGACTCCGTCTCAAAAAACAAAACAAACAAAAAAACTAGCATTCTACACCATAACATATGAAGTATGTTTTTAACAGTACAATGTCTTAAACTACCTGTCATAAAGCAAGGAGGACACTGCATGAACATGTACTCTGTTGATCATCAGATGTCAGATGTACTCTGTCCCACAGCTGGGCCCCCCCCAGGCAAATGCCAAAAGAATAGGTATACAGAATTCTGATGCTCCAAAGCCCTTTTGAAGGAATCAGGTGCCTAGGAGTCGGCCATTTAGCTTATTGACCATAGAGCTTTTTTTTTTTTTTTTTTCTATTTTGAGACAGAGTCTCGCTCTGTCACCCAGGCTGCTGCACAGTGGCACAAGCTCAGCTCACTGCAATCTCCACTTCCCAGGCCCAAGCAATCCCTCTGCCTCAGCATCCTGAGTAGCTAGGATTACAGGCATGGGCCACCGTGCCTGGCCTCGGAGCACTCTTAAATATTTATCAGCATTGATGTTAATCATCAAGTTGTGGCATGTTTTATTAAAAGAATCACATAGGAAGTAAATGGATCCTGAGTGAACAGATTTCCAAGAGATGGGGTCAGCAAATCTCCAAGAAGATGAAAAAGTGATCAGAATTTCTTAGCTAAGATCATTGGTAATATGTATGGTGGAGTGCAGAATTTACACTTTGTGCATATAGAATTTTTTTCATCATGAAGACACTTCTCTTGATCCTGCACCCTCTCACTTCCTCAGGGACATGACTCAAGCACTTCCTTTCTGTCACCTCCTTCCCCTCCACTCTGGTGTCCTCGTCCTCAAAAGCCCTTCCCTTAGGTGAATTGGTATGGTAATTCTGGAGAGCAATTTGACAAAACCTAGCAAAAGAAAAAATGTACATGTTTTGACCCAGATGTTTCACTTCTAGAAAATGTAGCTTTAGCTATGCTTGCACAAGTTTGTAAGGATAAATGTTGCTCATACACAGATGCTCTCCAAAGCATTGCCTGTGAGAACAAAAACAGAGCATGACCTGAACAGACATCATTACGGGACTGGTCCAGTACATTGCAGTACAATAGAAAAGGATGCTGGTAATCAACTGTTGAGTGAAAAAAAAGT
The DNA here is from genome assembly GCF_000001405.40 of Homo sapiens. Lineage (NCBI taxonomy): Eukaryota > Metazoa > Chordata > Mammalia > Primates > Hominidae > Homo > Homo sapiens. The sequence goes on from NC_000007.14 coordinate 72,394,560, forward strand.
TGCATAGCAATGTGATCACATTCATAATAATAAACTGCATATTTTGATGTATATATGCTTATTTAATCTGAGTGTATGGCACAACTTCAGGGGTACCATTGACTTTTTTTTTTTTTTTTTGAGACACAGTCTCACTATGTTGCCCAGGCTGAAGTGCAGTGGCGCAATCGTAGCTCACTGCAGCCTTAAATTCCTGGGATCAAGCAATCCTCCCACCTCAGCCTGCTGAGTAGCTGAGACTACAAGGGTACCAACATGCCCGTTTTATTTTATTTTTTTGTAGAGATGGACTCTCACTAGATTGCCCGGGCTGGTCTCAAACTGCTGGACTCAAGTGATCCTCCCACCTCAGCCTCCCAAAGTGCTGGGATTACAGGCATGAGCCATCGTGCCCAGCCTACATTCTATTCTTGTCTTGTAAGTGAATGAATGGTACACATGGGAACTGCACATCTGCGTATGTGTGTCACCTGATGTGCCCCAGGAACGCCCTGAGCTTGCATGTATCCTAACACATAAACTCTATGGTAAGTACTAACCTACCTCCCCAAGACCCTGTAGACTGCATGAGGAAAGGATTATTCACCTTTTTATCTCCAACATGCAGCACTGTACCTGGCACACCAATGGCACTTGAATAAATAAGGGTGTGAGCATTCATGGGCCCCAGAATATGTCAGTTATCTATCATTTGCATTGATCTAAGAACTAGGCATGTCCCCGGGAGAGAAAATAAACACTTAATAGGTGGTTTCCAGGCTTTAGCAAACACATACACACACACGCTGCGCACGCGCGCGCACACACACACACACACATATCCAGGGTTCCAGGCTCAAACTGTATTTGGAAAAACTGAGATAAATGAAGATAAACCATTTTCTTGGCTGTAGGGCATCACTAAGATTTTAATTTGCATTGATACTCTCCAAGAGGCAGATACAGTATGGAGTATCATCCGAATTTTACTGACCATGAAGCACCTTTAGAGGAACATTTATTTATATTGATGTTCTGAGGATCATTCATCTGTAACAGGCTGCATTAGAAGAATCACAAAGGAAGTCAATGGATCCCAGGTGAAAGTCAGATTGCCAAGAGGTGGGGTCCAAGAATCTCCAGGAGGGTGAAAGAGTGATGAAAAGTTTCTTAGGTAAGATCATTTGAAACTCCCATTGGATGTCGAAAACCGAGAAGGAAAAGATTTGGTCAATGGAACAAGAGCAAGCAAAGCATGCTTGTTGAGCTGATAGCAGGGTGGCAAAAATCCTCCCCCTGGGGACTTCTGGGACCTTGGCAGGGATGTCAGGGAAGGAGCCCAGTGATCAGAATTCCAGGAGCTTCCTGAAAAGCTTCTGATTTAGGAGGTAGGACCTCCAAATATATATATTTTAACTCACCAGATACATTTTGACGTTGAGCTAAATTTTGAACTGGCCATTGCTTGACATCGCTCCTTCTGCTCTGACACTAGCTCTTGTTCCCTCCAGAATCTGATCAGCAAACTGATGGGAGCAGAGGCTACATTACATGAGGCGAGATTAAGAAGGAAGTCAGGCCGGGCACAGTGTCTCAAGCCTGTAATCCTAGCACTTGGGAAGCCAAGGCAGGCAGATCACTTAAAGTCAGGAGTTCGAGACCAGCCTGGTCAGCATGGTGAAACTCTTGTCTCTACTAAAAAAAAAAAAAAAAAAAAAAGAAAGAAAAAGAAAAATTAGCTGGGTTTGCTGGCAGGCACCTGTAATCCCAGCTACTCGGAATGCTAAGGCAGGAGAATCGCTTGGACCTGGGAGACAGAGGTTGTGGTGAGCCAAGATCATGCCACTGCACTCCAGCTTGGGTGACAAAAGGAGACTCTGTCTCAAAAAAAAAAAAAAAGGAAACAAAAAGTGGAGAAATAGAGCAATGTATGCAATTTTTCTTGGGGGAAGAAAGAAGACACTGGTGAATAGGACGGAGGAGGTATAATTGATGGAATAAGGTCTCTAAAGACAGTGTGTCGGGGAAGAGATATCTGAGCACATGTGGCAAGTGGTCCTTGGACTTGGGAAAGGACCGTCCTCTACTATAATGGGCAGAGAGGGGCAAAGACAGAGCTGAATGTAGAAAAGGTGACAGTTGGGTGGGTAGGGAGTTGAAGATGTTTCTGCCTGGGGTCTTTGTTTTAATTGTGAGGGAGAAGGTGACACCATTCTTAAGACAAGTGAGTCGGGGTTGAAATAGTCATGGAGACCTGACCACTAGAACCATGACTCACACTGAGAACTTCGTTGAGGTTGAAGGTTAGAAGTATATAGGATCATCTATCTGTGTCCCATATCCTTGTAGAATCTTTTAGTAGTAGTAGTAAAAGTAGTAGTAGAACTAGTAAGACAGGGTCTGTCTGTGTTGCCCAGGCTGGAGTGCAGTGGCATGATCATAATTCACTGCAGCCTCCAAATCCTGGGCTCAAGCAATCCTCCCCCCTCAGCCTCCAAAGTGGCTAGGACTACAGGCATCCACCACCGTGCCTGGTTAATTTTTTTTAGTTTTGCAGAGATGGAGTCTCACTATGTTGCCCAGGCTGGTCTCAAGCTCCTGGCCTCAAGCAATCCTCCTGCCTCAGCCATCCAAAGTGCTGGGATTACAATCATAAGCCATCATACTCAACCCATGTAGGATTTTACCCCGGAGCACTCCACATACTGAAGCAGAAGTAACAATAGAAAACAGCTGTCAGGGAGGATGCCAGAGAGAGGCAGGTTGCAGTGTAAGCACCCAGAGGGTCCACATTCTAGAAGATGACAAGATCAAGGTTGAGGCCACAGGAGTCAAAGTCAAGAGGATAGAAGGTCACAGGAGTTGAAGTTGAGGCAACAAGAGGTGAGAATGTTGCCTGGTCATCTCCATGCTCATTCATCTCCCCAGTATGATCAGGACTTGCAGCAGATATAAGAATGAATAAGCTGCTAGGGAATTCCAGGAGTGAAGGGGTGACTAGAAGAAAAGCAGGTCACAGCAATGAGGAAGAGGGAGTCAGGAAATGTGTTCCTCAATGGGGCAGAGATTTTTACACAATGGTTAGGAACAAGCACATGAAGGTCTACCAGTAGCCTCTTCAAGTGAAGGATCTCACTGCTCCTCTTGGGGGATCTTGGAGAGCACCCATTCTCTCTCACACACACACACACACACACACACACACACACACACCTTGCTCCAACCAAAGTGGGTCCTCTAAGTATTAGCCTACCCTTAGGACTTACTTTAGAAAAGCTTTTATGAGCAAAACAAAAAAAAATTAAACACCATTGATCATGCCTAGCCCTTCCATTATAAGCCAAGGATGAGCTTGATGAAGGTACCCACTGCTGCATCCTGCTAGCATGCCACGTGAGGTACACTCTCCCCTAAGACACAGCTCCTGGATGATGCATCCTTTTAGGGCCGATGAGTTCGGCACCACTGAAGTCCAGAAGAGCCAAGCATTGTGGGGAAGTAGGACCATTGGCCAGAGAAGGGCCATGATGGAAGCCCTTGGACACCTGTTAGGGACAGGGAAGAGAGGCAAGAAGAGGAGAAATAAAGATGGCAAGCAAAGAGGAGTCCAGCTGATGATTCCAATCTAGCAAGGAAGAGCAGCTCAGCGTCCAGGCAACAAAGGCTGAGTTCCTTCAGCCTCTCACTGTGCAGGACCTTCCGTCACAAGGAAGTTTACAGGTCTTGTTTATGTGTAGACTTTTTATAAGCTATTCAGAGCAGGGGTGGGAGGGAAAACTAGAGAGAAAAGTTCCCTTTGAATTTCCATTGCTTTCAGAGTCGGCAATTTAATGAGTCAGGCATTCTAAATTCCTTGCTTTGTCTACACGTTTTCATTTCAAAATACGAAAAAACACTTTGTTTGGAACATGAGTTATTTTTAGATCACATATCAATAGTGCACATCCACTTCTCCCCACATGAATAAAAAAGCTTCCTTTGGATTGGGCTGAAGCCACACCATAGTGGTAGGGTTATTTAGCTGGCATTTGTTGAAGCTACCTGGGCATCACTCTAGTCCCTGGAATCTGTCTTCTAGGTGGCATCATGGATGAGTCAGCTCTAGACCTGTTCCAAAGAGCTCCCAATCTCATAGTCTGGACAAGAAGTAAAGAAGTGAAGGATTTCACTGCTCCTCTTAGGGGTCCTGGGGGACACCCCATTATCCCAAATACATACGCACACACCTTGCTCCAACCAAAGTGGGTCCTCTGAGTATTAGCATTCCCCATATGACTTTAGAAAAGTTTCTATAAACAGAAACAAAAAAATTAAACACCATCGATCACACCCAACCCTTCCATTATAAGCCAAAGATGAGCTCAAGACCACACAGTGAATTGAGGGAGGTACCCACTGCTTCCTCCTGCTAGAGTGTCCTTTCAGACCTCCATGCCAAGGAGTCACCTTGACAGGCTAGAAAAAAGGTCAGGGCTTCCTTGCTTCACTCCCTTGTGAGAACTTTGAGAAAAAGGAGTAGAAGAGAAGGAGGTCACCATCTACAGGTCACCTCCTCCAGATGCATTGAGAAGCATGCTGACACCTTAGCAAAGACAGGAGCGGACAATCTAGGATCTTCTGCAGTAACGTAGGCTGACAAATGGGAGGACAATGGGCTGCAAGGCTGGCTGGCTGTGGGAAGGGTGGTGTCCCTACCTCTACAGTCCCCAGCCGGTTTTGTCTAACCTATTGCTTTTTTTTTTTTTTTTTTTGAGATGGAGTCTCACTCTGTCACCAGGCTGGAGTGCAGTGGCGCGATCTTGGCTCACTGCAACATCCGCCTCCCAGGTTCAAGCGATTCTCCTGCCTCAGCCTCCCGAGTAGCTGGGACTGTAAGCGCACACCACCACCCCCAGCTAATTTTTGTATTTTTAGTAGAGATAGGGCTTCACCATGTTGGCCAAGATGGTCTCGATCTCTTGACCTCGTGATCCACCCACCTCGGACTCCCAAAGTGCTGGGATTACAGGCATGAGCCACCGTGCCTGACCTAACCTATTGCTTTTGTTCCGTAAGTCACAGTTCACTAATTTGAGTCTTGTAGGGATCACCTTCTTAAAAAGCTCCAACTTAAGCCTTAATAGCAAATACTTTCCCAGCACTTCATGGAGAGTCAACTAACTCCAAGAATAAGACATACATCTAATAGCTCAAGGAACTGGAGGGATATAGCTTGGGTATTTGTCCCCTCCAAATCTCATGTTGGAATGTGATTCCGTGTTGGAGATGGGGCCTAGTGGGAGGTGTTTGGGTCATGCAGGCGGATGCCTCATGAATGCCTGGGCACCCTTCCTGTGATAATGAGTGAGTTCTCACTCTATTAGTTCATGCAAGAGCTAGTTGTTAAAAAGAGCCTGGCATCTCTCTTGTTCCCTCTCTCTCCATATGACATGCCTGCTCCCCCTTTGCGTTCCACTATGATTAGAACCTTCCTGAGGTCCTCAGCAGAAGCAGATTAGGCCATCCCCTTCTTGTACAGTCTGCAGAACCATGAGCCAAATAAACCTTTTTTTTAATCAATTACCCAATCTCAGGTATTCCTTTATAGCAGCACAAAACGGACTAATACATGGGGGTGAGGAGGCACCCCGCTTCTCTAGTCATTCCCCCTCCCCATCTTCTGTCCACCCATTTATAGTGGCAGCAGCTACGTTCATGCATCTGACCCTCTTCTCTTGGGCACTACTGATTTGATCTGGAGTGGACAGCAATGAGCTTGTTTCCCAGGGGATTTGGAATTGAGACCACACTGATTCCTCCATTTAATCACTGTCAAACAGATAGCTATTTGACAGGAATCATCTTCATATGGACAGAGAAACCCAAGAGACTTAGCTTTCTCAGATTTTCCACATCCTTCTAGGTCCTTGATGATGAGCTAAATTTTGAACCGGCCATTGCTTGGCATTGCTCCTTCTCTGACACTAGCTCTTGTTCCCTCCAGAATCTGATCAGTAAACTGATGGGAGCAGAGGCTACATTACATGAGGCGAGATTAAGAAGGAATCAAGGCCAGGCATCATGGTTCAAGCCTATAATCCCAGCACTTTGGGAGGCCAAGGCAGGTGTATCACTTGAGGTCAGGGGTTTGAGACCAGCCTGGTCAACATGGTGAAACCCCGTCTCCACGAAAAATATAAAATTAGCTGGGTTTGGTGGTGGCCACCTGTAATCCCAAAGCTGCACCTCTGGCCTTAGATTTCATGAGACCCACCCTCTGCCCACTCCCATGGATATCTCCCTAACATGTTTCCCTTTTTACTTCTGATAACTCTCCTGGGCTTCTGTCCCTTGCAACCAATATGGCTCTGGGAGGTGTGAAAGTGATCTGGAGATGGAAGATGAGACACATCAAGGAGACTCCTCTCTGCTTTCTAACTTCGCCTGCCCTGCCCACACTGTGCATAACCACTCAGGCCACTGCAGCGAGGAAACAGTGGTGGCTCTCTTTTGAGCATGCTTTGGGGTGAGAGGAGGGCCCTGGTGCCCGTTTTTGCTAAGGTGTCAACATGCTTCTCTCAATGTACCTGGAAAAGATGACCTATAGATGGGGACTGCATTCTCTTCTACTCCTTTCTCTCAAGGGTCTCACAATACCCAGGCAGTGCTTTACCTGAAGGAGGTTCCCAACCAAAGAACTGAAGGGCAGGAGGCAATGCACTCTGAGAGATAACATTACTGCTGAACCTAAGGGGAGAACACGTTCCTGATGGGCTGTGTTCTCACTCCCCTCCACATCCAACTCCCTGGAGCCAAGACCTTGACCACAGATCTCCCTCCTCTGGCCCCACCCGATCCCCTGCTTTTTGGCTTTCTCTCTCTCAGCCCACTGCACAAAGAAAATCTTTAAGGAATGTGTGGATACATCCCCAAGGAATAACAAAAACAGAAACATGTTCAGTGCGTGTGTGCGCGCACACAAATGTGTGACTGCAACAAGCCAGAAGGTGTAGAGACCCTTAGCCCCAGGGTCTAAAGGGAGTTCATGTTCAGCCCCAAAGGAGAAGCACATGCCTTGGGAGAAACTGATTCCTTGGGTCATCACTGTCCCCCAGAGGCAGGTGACACTCAACTGCCTAATTCACGCTGCTCGCAACTCTTGCCAAAAAATTCCAAATTCCCAAAATTCAGGAACAAATGAGGAAACATTTTTAATGTAACAGTGTGTTGAGCAAAAAGATTTGTCTGTTTGCTGTGTGATATCCTCAGATCTAGAGGTAGGCAAATATCCCTTTCCTCCGTCACACCAGCTTTCTGTAAGGCAGCCCTCCTAGGACTTACCAAAATGTTTCTCTTACTCAATTCTTACCTCCTTTTCTCAACATGCCCCACCCCCTTTTCCAGGGGAAGTGTTCAACATCCTTTCATTTATCCTAGGCTGGTAAAAGTCCAACCATGCCTGCCTTTGGTGGAAGGTCCTCTCCTGGAAGGGATGAGCTGGGATGGGGAGACCATCCCAAGATGATCTCTGACTCTAGCCAACCTTCCTTGCTCTTCCTTGCTCTGAGCCTGCCCTTCAGCATTTGTCATTTCCAGCTTTACATTGTCCTATTCCAGATGCTTCCTCAGAGGCTAAGAGAGTGGCTTCCCCAGTAGGTAAGCGTTCTCTTGGCCAGGGGTCTCATCAGCTCCTGCCCTTGACTTCTCAAATGTCAAGTTGTGTTGGAGAAGATTCTGAACAGAGTCTTGTAGCATCCTGTTCCTGGGTCCCACAGCCTAGCTCCCTGCTCATGGGAGAAACTGCTGAACATCAGGAGCTCTAGTCACCAAAAATACATCCACTTCCTTTTCTTCCCCACAAGCCTAACTCTAAACTCACTGCCCCCACCATATACACTTACAGTCGCCACTGGAAGCTGGTGGCTAAAGCTGGAGATCCCATTCTGAACAGCCTTAGGGAGACAATTTCAGGATGTACCCATTTATAGGACTCACCACAGACCAATTCCTTGATGCCAGCATCCACAAAGATCAAAATTGTGTTCTATACCAAACCACACCCAGAGTTGAAATTCCTCTTGAGTTTGTATAGCCATGAGGGTCTCCGAGGAAAAGAAAAAAGAGCAAGATCAAAAACCCAGGGAGGCCTGTGGCTTGGTAGCATAGAAAACTCCTCACCCCGAACTGACCGCATCAATGACCAGAGACAGACAGGGTAGCCTAGTGGTTAGGAGCATAATTTTTTGGTGGGGGATGGGGTGAGATTCAAAGACACTTGGGTAGGAATCCCAGGTTTGCCTTTGGCTGTGATCTCAGTCAAGCTGCCTGTTTGTGTTACTTTCCTCCTGTCGAAACGAGATTAACAATACCCTCATAAAATTATTTGAGAATTGATTGAAATTGTCTATGCAAAGCTCCCATTTTTATGCTAGTACATAGTCCACACTCTGTAAGTTGTATTTGTCATTGTTCACCTGAAAACAAGCATGTCCCTCCCCAAGAGTCAGTTTGCAAACCCATCCCTTCATCCCATCCACACATCTCAAATAGGCTCAAGAAAGGGGATAGAATCTCTGTACCCAGCCAGGACAGCTCTCCCAGGTGTCCATTTCATAGATTCTCCTCTCCAGCCTAGACACGCAGCAGCGGCAAAGCCTCCTGGACCCCGCGCCACCCCCTACCTGAGGGCTGCCAAACAATCTAGGTCCTTGGGTTTGGGGGAAGAAGACTTGCCAGGTGGGGAAGTCGGGGGCCTGGCTCCTCGGCGGCTCCTCTCCCCCTCCGAGGGCTCCTCCGTCCCCCTTTTTCTCATTCTCGGGCTTCCCCTCTCCGGGTTGCTCTGGCAGCCGCATCGGGGGTCCAGGGCGATGTTCTCAGAGAGAGTTAGAAGCTCATCAAAGGAACGTCAGCGAAGGCACTGAGACTCTGAAAGGAGTTGACAGAAACTTACAGCCTGCACAGTGCTGGGCGATTATTCTTCTCAAAGCCTGCCGCCTAAATAATTCACACCCTCCCTTCCGTGTTTACACAGGACAATGGTAGAAACACAATCCTGGCACAAGAAATATAATTACAGTTGAGACACATGTTTAGTTATTAATAAGGCCTCAATGTCACCAGAGGGTATTGCACAACAAGCCAATAATGGGCTTTTGGAGCCAACCTTAATATTTACAGGTATTTTTCCATTCGTACCCCCGTGGGCATTGCTGGAGTATGTGCAGTGTGGAGAAAGCTATAGCCGCCAAAGTGATTGCAACTTGCAAGGAAGCAAAACATCTTGCCAGCATCATTTGTTTCCTTGCTGCTGACACCAGGAAAGCCACAGAAACTAAATGGGGGACTGAGCTGGAAATCACCGTCTAACGGTGAAGGACTCTGGCCCAGCCTCCCAAACTTAGTCATGCTGTCGCAATCCCAGGGCAATACCCTCCTAACTTCCTTAAAGCATACAGCATCCAAGATGGCATCCCATTACCAGCTCCAGGGCAGACCTGCAACCCATGCATATGGAATCTCTAGGTCCACTTGATGTCACCAAGTGGCAACATCCTCTTTCTACCTCTCTCTGGTATCGTTACCACCTACTTGTCCCTTACAACTCAGCTCAGGTGTCACCTCTTCTGAAAAGTTGTCCTTGACCTGGCCCTCTCCCTTGGTTGGGTTAAGGCACCCCTCGTCTCTGCCTACTTCTACTGTCATTTGTCCACAATCTCCATCCCCTCCTCCCAACATTGTGTTGAGAAAAACCCCAGGCAGGGAAGAGCTCAGATGCACACTGTGTGGCATTTAGGCCCAGGCAGGGACAACCTTAAAATAATTGGTGCTCAATAAATATGTATTGAACACACAGTTAATCAATGTCAGTTCTCTTTGGTTTCATTGAAGGTAAAAACAAACAATAATAAAGACAAACAAAGACTCTCTTGAGATGTGAAGTTCAGAGAGTGTAAATGGAAGACGTTGGTGATGAAACCAACAAAGCCCCGGCCACCATGGATCAGGGCCCCATCTGAGAGAGTTGTACCCATAAGAACGTCTACACATTGCAGCAGGCAATGGCTTCTCGCAGAAACACACAGATGAGTCTCCATTTCTCACTACTTGGCCCCTGAACATTGTATCCTGGGAAGAGTCCCTCTGCCCTCTTTCTACTCTCTCGATTCTGGTGAGAGGTGCATGCTCATGCCTGGGAAGTGGTCTCCTATCAAAGTCAGCTCTTAGAAGATCAGGCTCAAAAAATGACTGTAGAAAGCAGGAAGAAGGCTTGAAGAGCTGTATGTGGATGGTGGACATTATTGTTGCAGGTTGTTGTAAATCTGCACGCACAGTACCCACTGAAAGTCAGCCTCAATCGGCTCAAATGAAAGAGGCTCAGCCCAAAGCCCTGTGAGTAACTCATCAGCTACTGGTGTGAATGAATGACGGACAGACACATAAACCAACTAGATGCTTTGTAATTTCCATCTGAACCAGAAACCCCCATGGTCTTAGCTCAGAGCTGGACCAGATGGTGTCTGGGTGCCCCAACCTCCGAGGTCTCTGGTTCCCCAATGGTTGTGGGATGGAGTTAAGCCCTCCATCCCACAGGAATGATGAGATACGACAGGAAGGGTGTTATGTCCTGCGATTGGGCCGGCACTTCCCAAGGGTTGGGATCTCAAAGACACCTTAAAGAGAGTAAGTGTCTCAAAGCAAGAAGTCACATCTCACCAAACAGCACATGTGCAACGCACCCATGCAACAGTACTTGGCCTCAAACACATACATGCACACACACACAACAGCACTGGTCTTCAGATGCGTGCTCACAGACCAGCCTTGTAACACTCATAGCCTAGGGATGATCTGAGACCCATCTAGCATAGCTTGGGAGGTCTCAGGAAACTTAACAATTATGGTGGAAGGCAAAGGGCAAACAGGCATGTCTTCACACGCCTGTTTCCTGAGACATATGCCCAGGAGCACTCACCCCCACACCCACATGGCTCCCACGCAACTTCACACAGCTGCACACTCTGTCCCCAGCAGCACACACCCGTACGCCGCTCTCTTACACATGCCTATGACTCATCTATTCACACACACTACAACGCCCACTTCCCCACACACGCGGCACATGCCGAAACTCTTGGAGACTTCTCTAGTTAGCTCGTTAAGTTAAACAGGAGAAGCAAGTGTGTCATTACAGTAGAAACGCAAAAAAAAAAAATGACATTTTATTTTCAGATATGCTTTTAGTTGCCATGGCAGTCCCCAGCACCATGGAAGTTGTGATTGGTGGTAAATGCATATTTCAAAAAGCAGTAATTAGCTCCCCATATGCAAAAACTTCTGAATATGTTGAGTCCCTTCTCTTGTCAGGTCCCCCCAGGCAGTGTGGACATCAGAGCAAGGCACCCAGATGAGAACTGTCGGGAGCTGATGGTCGCCAGGCTTCTGAGCCCAATACACTTAATGACCTGGAACCTGCCCACAGCTCAACAGGCGCACGGCACTGAAGGTGGCAGCTCCCCGTAAGGAACAATCGCTCCTGCTGCTCAGCTGGCTCTGGTGCCCTCACTGCGGCACTCGCGATGTGCCAGAGAAACACAAAGCCAGGGGACCCAAAATGGAGCTGGCTCCCATAGCCAGAAGCCGTCTCTCCAGAATTCCCCTCTCCCAGTCACAGCTGCCTGCTGGCGTAACGAGGGAAGCCAAGCAGCCCTGCACAAGCCGGACTAACCACCGTCGGCCAACTAATGAAGCACCCCATGTTGGCATCTGCACATAAGACAGACCTCCATCTTCCCCCAATTTAACTGGAAGCTTCTCCAAGACACAGGCACCTCCTGAGTCCTCACAGCCTTATGCATCTTGGGACCCAAGGTGCATTTCCCAATGAGCTTCCTTGTCCCCAAATTAACCGGTTATCTCATTTCCTGATGCGATTCCTAAGGGTGATTAATTTCCAGAATTTGTCCTCTAAAGTCCATTTGCTAATTGCCTTTACAATCGTCATCTGAAAGGTCAGCCGGAAGGAGCTGGATTTTTGAGCCCCAGTCTTGAAGTTAGATCTCTGGGCTAATTCCTAGACCCACATGAGGGTCCTTGTCAGCTTTTTTTTTTTTCTTTTTTAAGACGGAGTCTTGTTCTGTCACCCAGGCTGGAGTGCAGTAGCGTGATCCCTGCTCACTGCAGGCTCTGCCTCCCAGGTTCAAGCCATTCTCCTGCCTCAGCCTCCCAAATAACTGGGATTACAGGTGCACACCACCAGGCCTGGCTAATTTTTGTATTTTTAGTAGAGACGGGTTTCACCATCTTGGCCAGGCTGGTCTTGAACTTCTGACCTCAAGTGATCTGCCTGCCTCAGCCTCCCAAAGTGCTGGGATTACAGACATGAGCCACCGCGCCAGCCCCTTGTCAGCTTTTCATTCCAATAGGTGACCTACCCACTTCCTTTAGCACTGAAAATGCCCCTGGAACACTGCCCAGTCACTCTTTCAGGGCTCAGACCAGTAGGAGGCACTCTTATCCACCCAAAAAGTGATGTAGCCCTGGGTCTACGCTTTGAGTACTCTATCACCTGCATCACTTTTACCAACCCACAATATGCAGAGAATGGTGAAGTAATATTGTTAAGAACATCACTAATCAAATTAGACCATCCAGTTCAAATCCTGGCTGTGCCACTTAGGGGCTGTGTGACCTTGGGCAAGTGACTTAACCTCTCTGGGCTTCACTTTCCTGATCTGCAAAATGAACCTGATAATAACACCTACCTTTTAAAGTTATTGTAAAGTGTTAGGCACAGAGCAGGTGCTACATATGCTAGCCACCTGATACGGTTTGGATTTGTGTCCCCACCCAAATCTCATGTCAAACTGTAATCCCCAATGTTGGAGGTGGGGCCTGGTAACAGGTGACTGGATCACGGGGGTGTATTTTTCCCACTTTCATGCTGTTCTTGTGATACAGTTCTCATGAGATCTGGTTGTTGCAAGTGTGTGCAAACAACTTTGCTGCTTCCCTCCTCTCTTCTCCTCCTGCTCTGGCCATGTGAAGACATGCCTGTTTCCCCTTGGCCTTCCACCATAATTGTAAGTTTCCTGAGGCCTCCCCAGCCATGCTTCCTGTATAGCCTGCAGAACCGTGAGCCCATTAAACCCCTTTTCTTTGTAAATTACCCAGTCTCAGGGATTTCTTCAGAGCAGTGCAGTAACAGACTAATACACTATCATTCTCCATTTTTTCTTTTTGCACTAATACTGACTGAGCTTCTCAGCTCAGATGGGCGCTGGACTGGACACAGGGCCGGATGGAGGTGGGATGTGTGGAAATGAATCCACCACAGATGTAGCCTCACGGAGCTCAGAGAGTCAAGCTGGAAACTCAGACACAAACACACGGAACCGGGGAAGATTGTCCCTACTCCTTCAGTCTGGAGGATCAGCTTGTTCCTGAGAGTATCCAAGAAGGGAGACTTTGATTCTCCCCTTCTGTGGCACTAGGTATGCAAATATGCACTGTATGGCATTTAGGCGCAGGCAGGAGCAACCTTGAAATAATTGGTGTTCAATAAACATATATTGAACACACATTTAATCAATGCCAGTTCCCTTTGGTTCCATATTGACGTTAAAAACAAACCGTAGGCCTGGCATGGAGGCTCACATCTGTAATCCCAGCACTTTGGGAGGCCAAGGGGGGTGGATCACCCAAGGTCAGGAGTTTGAGCCCAGCCTGGCCAACATGGTGAAACCCCATCTCTATTAAAAAAAAAAAAAAAAAAAAATTAGTAGTGCGTGGTGGCTCACGCTTGTAGTCCCAGCTACTCAGGAGGGTAAGGCATGAAAGAGAATCACTTGAACCCGGGAGGTGGAGGTTGCAGTGAGCTGAGATCACGCCACTACACTCCAGCCTGGGCAACAGACTCGGTCTCAGAAAAAAATTAAACACACACACAGAGATAATAAAGACAAAGACTCTCTAGACGTGAAGGTCAGAGAGCGTAACTGGAATATGTTGGTGATGTTGGTGACAAAACCAACAAGGCCCTGGTCATCATGGATAATTTTTTGTATAAATTCATGGGATACAAGTGCAATTTTGTTACATGCAAGGATTGCATGGTGGTCATGAAAAGACATACAAATGACCACCAATTATTATCTTTTCCTTTTTTTTTTTTTTTTTTTGAGACAGGGTTGCACTCTGTCACCCAGGTTGGAGTGCAGAGGCGCAATCATAGCTCCCTGCAGCCTCAACCTCCCGGGCTCAAGTGATCCTGCCACCTCCAGTCCCCTCAGTAGCTGGGACTACAGGCGGGCACCATCACTCCTGGCTAATTTTTGTATTTTTTGTAGAGATGCAGTTTCACCATGTTGCCCAGGTTGGTCTCAAACTCTTGGGCTCAAGTAATCTACCCACCTCAGCCTCCCAAAGTGCTGGGATTGCAGGTGTGAGCCACCACACCTGGCCCCAAGTATACTTTTTTTGGGGCAGGGGGGCAGCGGTGGAACAGAGTCTTGCTCTGTGGCCCACACTAGACTGCAGTGGCACTATCTCAGCTTACTGCAACTTCCGCCTCCCGGATTCAAGAGATTCTCCTGACTCAGCCTCCCCAGTAGCTGGGATTACAGGCGCCCGCCACCGCTCCTGGCTAATTTTTGCATTTTTAGTAGAGACAGTGTTTCACCATCTTGGCCAGGCTGGTCTCCAAGTCCTGACCTCATGATCTACCCGCCTCGGCCTCCCAAAATGCTGGGATTACAGGCAGAAGCCACTGCACCTGGCCCAGCATACTCTTAAATGGACCTCTGTGCTTGTAACCCATGCACCAGATTGGTTGCTGAAGGCCACAGAGGCTGAAATGATGAGGTTGGCCAGTCCACTCAGACTGTATCCACATACCTCCCTTCCTCAGAGGCTGGCGCAGAGTATAATCTTAAACGGATCTCTGTGCCAGCCTCTGAGGAAGGAGGCATATGGATAGTCTGAGTGGACTGGCCAACCTCATTATTTCAGCGTCTGTGGCCTTCAGCAACCAATCTGGTGCATGGGTTACAAGCAGACTCAGCACACCAAAGTCTTTCATGGATTTGATCCCTTTCAAAGTATCTAAAATTCCAATCACTGGGAGCAAGATTGAGCTGAAAATCTAATGTTTGGGAATGGAGAGGGATGAACCTGCATTGTTTATGGGCATAAATAATTCATAAGCATGGGTTAAATGGTTTTTAGCCTCTGGGACCCCATGGAACAGTGGTTCCCAGGCTGTTACTCGAAGACCCAATTCAAAGAATCACCAAGGAACGTTCCCTCCCTTTTAACCACGTTGGGCATCAAGTTACAGTCTTTTCTTTTGCATCTTGTGGTCTCTGCTAGATTTTACAATTGTTGAGGGCCACATTATAATCAGTTTTTTCCCTGTAATGCTTGATAATGGTTTTCCCCTTGGTCCTTTCCTCTAAAACCCTGCAAAGATGCACCACATTTAACCCACAAAAAGAATTTATTTTTGTTATAACTGAACATAATTCTTTCTTGAAGATATCTTTTGGACAAAATGTTCCATTGTGCGGGTCATGCCATATGGTGTGTAATGGGGTACGAGTTGCTGACAAAAAAGACGACAGGGCAGAGTGTGAGCTCCAGCCTGCCCCAAAGCTAAGCCCTGCATTTGCTGGAACATGAGAGCCTGGAGCTCTTAAATATGTAAGAGAGGTTGTCAAATCTACTTAACTGCTTATGAGCAATGAAGTCTCATCACTGCACTTGTGTTACTGACTCTGCAAAGGTGATTGTTGGCCATCATTTTGAATATCTTACTACTAAGATGTATTCAAAAGCACAAAAAAGAAATCTAAAACTGCCAATCTAGGACGTAGAAAATGTCCATGGAATTCCTTGAAAGATGCAAAAGCGAAATCCTTCTACATGATGTAAAATCAAAGTTGTTTTCTCCCTATCTCTGCCCAAAACCAATTAGATATCACGGAAATAAAATATATACACAAGCAAAGCCAAAATTTTAAGTCCACATCTGAAAACTGAAATGAGCTTTTCAAATCAGCTCAATTCTTCTGCAAGTGAGACTTCTCAGGAGCCCTAATGTCCCTTCATGTCCTGGCTTAAATTCGCATAAGCAAAACACCCTAAACCCTGGTTCTTCAAAATGAAAACCAAGACCCTATGAACGGCTCACAATTAAATTAACATTGAAAATCAGAGTAAAATAGGGAACTATATATATTTCCTGAACATAAATACACACACCTCCGTATCAGCTCACGAGCCAGCACCCTACCTTCTTACTTTCCAAGAAGCACTAGAAACTTTATTGCTAAAATCAGAAAAAATACAAGGATGTTTACTATCTCTGCTACTATTAACACTGTATTGTAGGCATTAACCAACATGATTAGACAATTAGAGGCATAAGATGGGAAAAGAAATAAAGTTATTTTAAGGTGATATGATTATATGTATGGAAAATCCCAAAGAATTCATGAAAAAACGATTACAAATAATAGGTGAATTTAGTAAAGCATTAGAATAAGACCAACATACAGAATTTAACAGGACATGTGTAGAAACAGAAGATAATGTATGAGCAGAGCCTATTTATAAGAGCAAACATAAAGGTTTTACAGATTTGAAAAAAACTATCAAAAGGAAAAAGCAAAGCAATTCCTTAAAATAGAAAATGAACTGAAACATGCAAACACAACTGTATTTCAAGTTAATGGCTTAACTACAGAGAAAACCGTTTTTTTCAAGTTACTTTAGAACATAATATTTTGACTGAGCTTTCCACGTGAGACCTAAGTCTCAGGACAAAAAGAACCACAAAGAAATCATACAAAAGAGATTCATGTAACATCATTAGGAATCAAGATTTTCTATGTTAGAGAAAAGAGCTGTAAATATAACAATTTTAAGGTTAAGTAAAAACTCTGAAATCTAGTTTGAATAAAAATATCACTGTGAACTCAATTTATTTTTGTCTTTAAAAAAATATGGACGTATCAGTTGTGTCACTGAAAAGACGTCAAGGTAATAAAACTCAGGCAATGAGCACTCAAATTGTAGTCTCAAAATACCACTTCCGGCTAAGTAATCAGCTCCATGGGAGGAAATACGAAAAGTCTTGTCAGGCCTAAAAGTGGATAAGTTCTCAATGATGCCAAATGACAGAGAAACTAACTGGAAGACACAGCCAATCACCAAATATGGTACAACTCATTATCCTGAAAATTGACATGAATGTAATTGCTAAGGAATAAAGTAATTACTCTTTTAAAGTAATAAGAAAAGAACCAAACAATTGTCCTGCTTTTTCCATACAGATTATATTCCAGGATAACCAAATAGTTGATGAAGCAACTCTCTTTTAGAGAGGTATCATAAACCGATAAAGAAAAAATCATAGATTAAAACACCACCATAATCCGGAACTTGTCTCCAGACTATGAAAGTACCCAGATGGCTCCCAAACCTGGCCCAGCTGGGAACTGCATGCAGCTGAGCCCACCATGCTCTTTAGTTTCTGTGCCCACCTGTGTGCGGAATTTATTCCTTCTGCTGGGTTGTTGGTCTCGCCGACTTTAAGAATAAAACCACGGACCTCGCGGTGAGTGTTACAGCTCTTAAAGATGGCGCGTCCGGAGTCGTCTGCTCCTCCCGGTGGGCTTGCGGTCTTGCTGACTTCAAGAACGAAGACGCAGACCGCGGCCGTGAGCTTTAAAGGTGGCGCGGACCCAGAGTAAGCAGTAAGCTTTATTAAGAAGCAGGAAAGAAAAAAACACAAACTCAAGCGGATAGCACCCCAGCGAGCTTCCCCAGCGGGCTCGGGGAGCCAGCTTTTATTCTCTTATTCAGCCCTGCCCATGTCCTGCTGATTGGTCCATTTTACAGAGTGCTGATTGGTCCATTTTACAGAGTGCTGATTGGTCCATTTTACAGAGTGCTGATTGGTCCATTTTTACAGAATGCTGACTGGTGCATTTACAATCCTCTAGCTAGACACAGAGCACCGATTGGTGCATTTACAATCCTCTAGCTAGACAGAAAAGTTCTCCAAGTCCCCACTGACCCAGAAGCCCAGCTGGCTTCACCTCTCACACCCAGGGGCCACTGCTGGAGGAGCAGCCCCAGCCCTTGTCCCCTCACCCTTCCCCCATGGAACCTGCTTTGGGAAAAACAAACTGGAACAATAAAAATGCCCCACATTCCAAATCAAGCCCTTGTCAAAGTCCCTTGCTTTCAGCCCAGGAAGTTTCTAGAAGCAGTCAAGCCACAGGACAGAGAAATATCTGGTGGCCCAGCTCTCCCTGGAGAATCCATCTCCCACCTCCAAAAGGAAGCACCCAGACCATGGAGGCCACAGCCCCAGGCCTGGCTTTCCTGGTAGGATAATATTTAGGGTTACCCTCTTTCTCCTGGGGCAGCTGGTCTAGCTCCGAGAAGGTTCTCTGATGGCTGTGCTGGCTCACGCTAAGCCCACCTGGAGTAGGCCAGTGGCTGGTGGCCACCTTCAGACCTGGGCTCACCCGGGGGGTTTGCACTGATGGACGCCCTGGCAGAGATCACAGAGGCAGGTTCTGTTAGACACATATGCACACATACACTCTTACACGTATGCTCACTTACATGCTTACACATACACTCATATGTACACACTGACACTTGTGCCCACCCACTCACACACACACACTCATACACACATATACACTCACACACACCACACATACACACATATACATTCACACACACATGCACACACACACCACATGTACACACACACGTATACATACACACACTAACATACACTCACATCCACACATACATTTACATACACTCATCCACACACACCCACGAACATACTCATACATGCACACCACACATGCACATTCTTACACACACGTACACTCACATAGACTCACATACCACACATGGACACACGTGCATACTCATACCACACATGCTCACATAAGGACACAAACTCACACATCAGATACACTCATAAACACGCACACTCACAAGCTCATACATGCATGCACTCATGCACACCACACACACACTCATACATATACACACTAACACATGCACACATACATATATACACTCTCACTACACATACGCATATAAACTCACAGTTATGCACACACTCATACACATATACATTCACACTCACACTACACATACACATATACACTTACACTTATACACACACGCACAGCACATATGCACACACATACACATAACAAACACACTACACAGACACGCACCACTCGCAAACATTCCCACTTATGCATTCACATGCATGGCACATACACAAACATGCACACACATCACACACACTCGTATACACATGCACACACACACTCTTACATACATACACACGTACACACCGCACTCCCATACATGCACCCTCACATATACTCCCCCTTCCTTCTGTTTCCATGATGTCTGCTGTCTCCAAGGCTTTCTGTTTTTGAGTCCCCTGCTACAATTAAAATACTCCTGAGAGCAATTAAGCTTTGGCAGCTAATAACTTAATTACCCACTAATACCGTATCTTCCCATCACCCTCGCCAAGCAGGAGCAGTGAGGTATGAGACGGATTCACTCATTGGAGGCAGACCGTGGGAAGATCCAGGATCCTAGAGTTTGGCGGGAAGCTCAAGAGACCCATGCTGGAGCCAGAGGCCCATGGGCCTCCTTGAGTCCTGGGGCCGAATCCTTCGTTCTGTGCACCTACTACAGAGCAGTGTCCTTAACCAGGGCTTAAAATTATCTACCAACATGAAGAGTGACCTACAAAAGAAACTGACCTGATCAACCCCTAGTTCACAATTGGGTAGAGCGAGACAGAGAGGCTGAGTGGCTTCCCAGGGTCACACAGCTTCTCTTGCAGGCCAGTGCCTTCTTGATGCCAGACCAGGGGTCCTGGGATGGGTGGTGGCAAGACCCTCACACCAGCCTCCCTGAACTCACTCCCCACTCCACCCTAACACTAGCATGGCAGCACAGAACTTCCCAGAGACGTTACAGAACAGCAGAGATTGGAAGTCCAGTGTTGGCCCCCAGTCTGGATAATTCAAGCAAATGTTTGAAGGGAGGATGTCCTGAATTTGCCATAAGCTGTATTTCTCCCAGGACGACTGAGAAGCAGTATCTGTAGATGGGGGAACATGAGCTCTGTACCCCTCTCTGTTGCCAAGTTCATCCATTTCATGGCAATGGTTTCCTTCCATTTTTGTGACATGCTTGGATGGCCCAAGACTCCACTGGTCATTTAATTTCCCTTCCCAGCCCCCAAATATATATCCTGAATTCCACATATGCTATGGAGTGAATTGTGTCCCTCCTCCAAATCCTTACGTTGAAGCCCTCAACCCCAATGTGACTATATCTGAAGATAGGGGTTTGGGGAGGTCATTTTAAATGAGGTTTTAAGGGTGAAACCCTAATCCAATTGGACTGTGGCTTTATAAGAGGAAGAGAGGGATCTCTATCTCTGCCATGTGAGGACACAGCAAGAAGGCAGCTGTCTGCAAGCCAGGAAAGGAGTCCTCCCTAGAACCTGACCATGCTGGCACTTTGACCTTGGACTTCCAGCCTCCATAGCTGTGAGAAAATAACAGCTGTTAAGGTATAGTTTAAGCTCCCCACCCGCTAGTCTATGGTATTTTGTTATGGCAGCCTGAGCAGACTACTACAAGGTACCTAGATCTTTCTCCCTGTGGGAGCACCTGGGTCTAATTCATACCATTGTGTCATCCACTCCAGATGCACCTGTATTTTCTCCTTCTTATAAAACGGGGCATGCCAGCTCAAATGCCTACAGGGACCAGCAGTCATGCCAAGAGGCAAAGACCACGAGGAAGTGGCTCCCTTTGTGCAAGGCGGTAGCCACGACTCATCACCCATCCATTGTTGCTATGAGTGAGTATGGCCCGGCATTGCCAGATGTCATGATTTAAAGAGGAGCTGGAAATCCAGATTGTTAATAAATCAGCTGATTTTTTAAATGCTGGCAACAACTTCTAAGTTTCAAAACACTTTGGGAGAAAACCAACACACAAGTAACACAAGAAGAAATAACAAACACACAAGTAAACAAGAAGAAACAACAACAAACCTGTTTGTGGGCTGAACCAGGCCTGTGAGCCACCAACTCACAATCTCAGTTTCGTCGATCCTCCTGGGAAAATGCTGGAAGCCTGAGCGGTGACTAAGACAGCAGGGTCCCAGGCAGTGGGGCAGAGGCCCGTGAGGGTACGGGGGGCGCGGGGGGCATAGAACTGCGCTACTGGACGGTGACACCGCCTGCAGGTACCACCACGCTCCTTCACCTAGGGCTTCCTTTGGCCAGTGCCCACCCAGGTGCCTGAGTCTGATCTGTTCCCAGGGACCAGGATCCCACATCTAGAGGCAGGACAAAAACAAACAGCCCCAGCCCTGGGCTCCATTTCTTTTAAGGTTGTGGGTCTGCTTCTGAAGCTGATCACCAATGCTTGTACCGTTCCCTTCGCCCTACCCTTGACATTTTCCAGTCTCCACCTGTGATGTTGAGGTGGGAGGCAGGACTTGACTCCAGACCAGACTGAAGACTGGCTAAAATAGGGAAGAGGCCCTGGAAGCACCTCTCCGTGAGACACACCCACCAGTGCCATGACAGTTTACCATTGCCATGGCAACACCCAGAAGTTACCACCCCTCTTCTAACAATTTCTGAATAGCCTGCTCCTTAATTTGCATATAATTAGAAGTGGGTATAAATATGACTGCAGCACTGCCCCTGAGCTGCTGCTCTCCACACACTGCCTATGGAGTACCCCTGCTCTGCAGGAGTAGTCACAGAGCTGTAATGCTGCTACCTCAATAAAGCTGTTTTCTTCTGCCACTGGCTCAGCCTTAAATTGTTTCCTGAGTGAAGCCGGGAACCCGGCTGGGCACGGTGGCTCACGCTGTAATCCCAGCGCTTTGCGAGGCTGAGACAGGTAGATCCACCTAATGTCAGGTGTTCAAGACCAGCCTGGCCAACATGGTGAAACCCTGTCTCTACTAAAAATTCAAAACTTAGCTGAGCATGGTGGTGTGTGCCTGTAATCCCAGCTACTCAAGAGACTGAGGCAAGAGAATCACTTGAACCTGGGAGGCGGAGGTTGCAGTGAGCCGAGATCGCGTCACTGCACTCCAGCCTGGGCGGCAAAGTGAGACTCTGTCTCAAAAAAAAAAAAAAAAAAAAAAAAAAACAAATAACAAAAAGAACCTTCCCGGGCTTCATCCCGATTTGGGGACCCACCTCTCCTGCATTAATGTCAGCATCTATCAGCCGAGGGTTGAGCTGGGGTGGGCTGGGCTGAGCTGGGCTGGGCTAGGCCAGGAGGCAGAGAAGTGCAGGGCACAAAGAGGCCACAGAGAGCTGAGACCAAGTCTTTGGTCCAGGGCAAGTCAGTGGGGAAAGGTGTGCTTTGCCAAGGCATGCTTCAGGTCTCCAGGTCAGCTGCCAGATGGAAGCTCAGCTTCCCCGGGATTCCCATAGAGCCTGAGTCTTCATCCAGGCCCAGAAACCTGGAGATATGCTCAGTGAGTACAGGCGGAGGGCGGTCCCAGCCGTGATCTGGAGGCCAAGGATAATAAGACAACAAGCGTTTGAGAAGCACCACTGCTGTTTGGTGCCCTCGCCTCCCGAGGGAGGACATGAGTGAGATGCCCCGTGCAATGGGATTGGCAGAGACCTTGGGCAGACCCCTGCGGTCTCTGGCCATCAGCCTGCCAAAAACATCCTGCCTCCCCCACTCCACCTTTCCATCCCAAATGACACAAAGATTAAGCACCAGCCAACAAAATCAGGTTGCAGGAACCACAACCAGTTTGTGTGGATTTGCCTGAGCCAGGGTGGGAGGAAGTAAATGAGAACCTAAACCAAAGGTGACAAAGAAATCAGTTGCAAGCCTGGGGTGGCTTTCTACTTCTGTCCCCGCTACCGTGGGCACTTGCCACATAGTTCTTGGTTACCAGCCAGCATGCTTTACCAGCACTGGTTCCTAAGTGACTATTTAATCATGCATTGTGTGTTTGAATGTATTCATTATATTTTAATATGATTATGTTCAATCCAATAGACTGAAACTGATTTGTCCAGATGTATAATTATTTTCTAAATGCTTATAATTCTTGGCGGCAGAGTTGGCAGAGGTTTTGAGAAAGAAGAGGAGTCCATTAGCTCTTCATGTTCATTAGTCATGGTTGTGGGAGCCTCATCAGTGGGTTTGAGGTAATCGGTGCCATGCTACCCTGGGACACCCTGGCCTTAAACATGATCACAGAGACCTTGTGTTTTGAGCCCCATGCAGGGAATCACTGGGTCTCTAAGTTTCATCTGGAGCTCCTCCCTCTGCTGAGCTGTTTTTCCCTGTTCCTCTTTTTGTTTGTTTGTTTTAAGGGTTTTAAAATGTCCAACTTTAATTTAGATTCAGAAGGTACATGTGCCGGTTGGTTAAATGGATATATCGTGTGATGCTGAGGTTTAGGGTAAAAACATTCCCATCATCCAGGTAGCAAGCATAGTACCCAATAGGTAGTGTTTCAACCTTTGCCCCCCTCCCCCTCTTCCCTCTCTAGTAGCCCCCAGTGTCTGTTCTTCCCATCTTGATGTCCACATGTACCCAATGTTTCTTTCCCACTTACAAGTGAGAACATGCAGTATTTGGTTTTCTGTTCCTGCATTAATCTGCTTAGGATAATGGCCTCCAGCTGCATCTATGTTGTTGTAAAGGACATGATCTCATTCTTTTTCATGACTGTGTAGTATTCCATGGTGTATATGGACCACATTTTCTTTATCCAATCCACGAATGATGGGCACCTACGTCGATTCCATGTCTTTGCTCTTGTGAATAATGCTGCAATGAACATACAAGTGCAGGTGTCTTTTTGGTAGAACAAATTATTTTCCTTTGGGTTTGGGAAGGGGCTCTGCCCAGGGTGACTGTCGCACTGCACCCTCCAGGGCTCTGGAAGACAGTAGTCCCCAGATTTACCACAGTATCCCCAGTACCTCAGCCATATATTCACCACTTCTGGACAATCGCCCTCTGTAGCTTCCCCGCCCCGGCTCACATAGGGCTCCTGGAGTTTACCAGAGCTTTCCACAGAGATTCTTAGTCTTTTGCTCAGCCCCATCTGGATGGGTCTCCCTGTAGTTCAAGCTCTTATGTCACTGGGTGATGTGGCTTGCACCTATAACCCCAGCCCTTCAGAGGGCAAGGTGGGAGGATTGCTTGAGGCCAGGAGTTTGAGGCCAGCCTGAGCAACATGGCGAGACCCCGTCTCTACCAAAAAATCTTTTTAAAAATTAGCCAGGCATGGTGATGCATGCCTGTTATCCCAGCTACTTGGGACACTGTGCCGGGAGGATTGCTTGAGCCCAGGAGGTTGAGGCTACAGTGAACTATGATCATGCCACTGCACTCCAGCCTGGGTGACAAAGCAAGACTCCAAGTAATCCCTTTGTTTTTTGGTTTGGCGGACCTCTACCCATTGAAAAGCCTAGAAGTAGATTCCCAGAAACACCAAGCAGCCAAGAAGATGGATGCCCATCCCAGTGGGTGCAAAGTTGAGCTGGACAACACACGAATGCCCTGCTGACGACGCCCTGCCGCTGCTCAAAGCATCACAGTTCTCACCCTACTGCTCCAAAATTCCGTGTTGCACATGATAATTGTGCAAATGGTCTAAAATGGATTGTGATCACCACAACCCATTTTAGACCATTTTCATCATTCCCAAAAGGAACCTCATATCCACTGGCACAGTCACTCCCTAGTCCTTCTTTGGGAAGGAAGATTCCTCAGGTCTTCCTTCTTTGATAACCCATGGAATCTTGGGGCAGGGCATTTGGCTGCCGTATTTTCCTCAGGATTCATGTCTGGATTGGCTCAGGTAATCCCCTAAGGCTGGGTTTGGGAGGCACTGATTTGCCTTTCTTGGCTTTGACTGCATGAATACGGGTGTCCCAGAAACCCCACTTCTCCCAGTTGGCCTTAGAGTCATCCTGATATAGAATGGCTGGGCTCCTGACTAAACCCCACCCTCAAGCTTGGAGCCTCGGCCCTAAGTGGAAACAGCTGGCCCAATTTTTCTGCCCAAATGATTGCCTTATTGGCCTGCCATACCCCTATCCTGTGCTCATAAAAAGAGAAAAGAGCAACACAAGTGGCTGACCGGCAAGGATACAAGTGGCTGAGCAGTGAGCAGAGAAGCAAAAACTGAGCGTTGGAGACTACAGGTACATGCAGCTAACTTCAGATGTGTGGTTTTGGAGGGGAGCCCAGCCAGACATGGCTGAGCTTCAGGGAAAAGATCACCTTCTCCCCACACCATCCCCTTTCCAGCTCCCTCTCCACCAAGAGCCACTTCCACTGCTCAATAAAGTCTTCTGCATTCATCACCTTTCACACAGTTCATGTGACCTGATTCTTCCTGGACACTGAACAAGAACTCGGGTGTCAAAAAGGACAGGTGCAGAAGACTGTCACCCTGACCCTTCACGGAGCCGTTAACACTTAGCTGTCCACAGTCTGCAGGCTGAGTGAAATGAGCCACTTCAGTTCCTGCCCACGAAGGGGCAAGTTAGATGCTCACATTAACCCTAACCCTAACTCCCACCCTAACATTCACCCTTGGGTTGTATGAAGACATGACTAGAAAGAAACTTGGGAAAAGAAGGACAGAGGTAGCCAGACTCATAAGATTGAGGCACGATCTAAAGTGGTCCATCCTGCCTTGGCTGGAGCCCAGCATGAAATAACTACATGACCTGGCTCTAAACCCCACAGGCAACACTTCCTCTTGCAACCCCAAACAGGGGCAGATTTTGCTGAGTAGATGCTGGCTGGGAGGCTTCACTCACTTCAGAGTGAAATCTGAATCTAGGGCTCCCCTTAAGGAGGGAAGCAGGGCTACACCGAGAGGGAGAGGAGCTGGCATTCACCTGGGCACCTGTTTCAGGTCATGAGAAATCACCTTTTTAAAAAATTCCCCCAAAGGCAACAGTGCCTCTGCAGAAGACAGGTTTACCAGGCCTGCTCCAGGCTGATCTGGATGCATCTTTTTTTTTTTTTTTTTTTTGAGACGGAGCCTCGCTCTGTCGCCCAGGCTGGAGTGCAGTGGTGAGATCTCAGCTCACTGCAAGCTCCGCCTCCCGGGTTCACGCCATTCTCCTCCCTCAGTCGAGTAGCTGGGACTACAGGAGCCCGCCACTACGCCCGGCTAATTTTTTGTATTTTTAGTAGAGACAGGGTTTCACTATGTTAGCCAGGATGGTCTCGATCTCCTAGTGATCCACCCGCCTCAGCCTCCCGAAGTGCTGGGATTACAGGCATGAGCCACCACGCCTGGCCGGGATGCATCTTAAACATGCATCTGCAAGGGCCTTTTTCATATAATAACTTCTTTCCTTTTGGGTAAATACCCAAATTTCCCAATTTCCAGGGAGTTCTGGGTCTAGAAACCCGGGCAGGTTCTTACTGCACTTTCCTTTGCGTCCAGTGCGTTTTTAGAGTGAGCATTGTCTGGGAACTTTCCAGAGATCAGATTCCTTTCTTAAAAAAATGGTAATTTATTTCAATAGTTTTTAGGGTACAGGTGGTTTTTGGTTATATGGATGAGTTCTTTAGCAGTGATTTTTGAGATTTAGTGCACCCATCACATACTGTACCCAAGATGTTGTCTTTTATCCATCACTCCACTCCCAACCTCTCCCCACCCTGAGTCCCCACAGTCCATTAGATCGCTCTGTATGTTTTTCTATCCTCACAGCTTAGCTATGAGTGAAATAACTCAGGAATGGAAAACCGAAAGAATAATTCTTATTCTTCATCCTTAACGTAAATCCTCACCTTTTCCGAATTGTTTTTCTCTCTCTTCATCAACCTTTCTGCTTTTAACATCTTATCTTCTTGGCTTTATCTTTTACATGAACTCTCATGGTGTCATTTTGTCTTTATTTTATCTTATAACAGTCATCATATTTCAGATGATAAGATTTCATTTTATCCTACTTTTTTTTTTTTTTTTTTTTTTTTTTTTAGACTAAGTCTTGCTCTGTCAGCCAGGCTGGTGTGCAGTGGCACAATCTCAGCTCACTCACTACAACCTCCGCCTCACAGGTTCAAGTGGTTCTCCCGCCTCAGCCTCCCAAGTAGCTGGGACTACAGGCACATGCCACCACACCCAGCTAATTTTTTTGTAATTTTTAGTAGAGACAGGGTTTCACCATGTTGGCCAGGCTGGTCTCGATCTCCTGACCTCATGATCTGCCAGCCTCAGTCTCCCAATATCCCACTTATTAATGAGAATATATGGCATTTGGTTTTCCATTCCTGAGTTACTTCACTTAGGATAATGGCCTCCAGTTCCATCCAACTTGCTGCAAAAGACATTATTTCATTCCTTTTCACAGCTGAGTAGTATTCCATGGTGTATATATACCACATTTTCTTTATCCACTTGTGGATCGACCCGCACTTAGGCTGGTTCCACGTCTTGCAATTGTGAATTGTGCTGCTATAAACATACATCTGCAAGTGTCTTTTTCATATAATGACTTCTTTTCTTTTGAGTAAATAGCCAGTAGTGGGATTACTGGATCAAATGGCAAATCTACTTTTAGTTCTTTAAGGAATCTCCATACTGTTTTCCATAGTGGCCGTACTACTAGTTTACATTCCCGCCAGCAGTGTAGAAGTGTTTCATTTTCACCACATCAATGCCAACGTCTATTGTTTTTTGACTTTTTAATTTTGACCATTCTCGCAGGAGTAAGAAAACCATATTGTGGTTTTGATTTGCATTTCCCCGGTGATTAGTGATGTTGAGATTTTTGAGTAACCACAAGCCCCCCTGGCTGTTTATTTTGATGAAGTCTTTTCAAGGTAGCAGCAGCAGCTGATAAAGTTGCAGGGTCCCCAGCATCTTTTAATTCTTCTTGCTGAGTGACACCATCCTCTGCAGAGGGGAGGCTTAGTTTAGGATACTCTAAGAACCAGTTACAAAGTCACTTCCCTCGTCCTCCGCAAGTGCTTCCAGCTGACTTCTTAAAATATTCCCTCCCAGTGAGATTCCATTTATATAAATTGTCATTTACCTGTTTCATTCTTATTCTTCATCCTTCATGTAAATCCTCACCTTTTCCTAATTGTTTCTCTCTCTTTGTCAACCTTTCTGTTTTAACATCTTATCTTCTTGGCTTTATCTCTTACATGAACTCTCATGGTGTCATTTTGTCTTTATCTTATCAGATTCATCTTATTTCAGATTAAAAGATTTCATTTTGGCTGAGCGCATCGGCTCACGCCTGTAATCCCAGCACTTTGGGAGGCTGAGGCAGGCAGATCACTTGAGGTCAGCAGTTTGAGACCAGCCTGGCCAACACGGCGAAACCTCATCTCTGATAAAAATACAAAAATTAGCCAGGCGTGGTCCCAGCTACTCAGGGGCTAAGACATGAGAATCGCTTGAACCCGGGAGATGGAGGTTGCAGTGAGCTGAGATCACGCCACACTCTAGCCTGGGCAACAGAATGAGACTCCATCTCAAAAAAAAAAAAAAGAAAAAGAAAATATTTCATTTTATCTTATCATTTCATCTTATCAATTTCACCTAATCTTAATTTTTACTGGATGGAATTATTCAGAACTTGTACTATTGTATTTTTCTTTTGTCTTTATTCCTTCTGATTTTTCTTTCAAGTTTTAATTTTCCTACTTTCTACAAGTCCTATATCACTGGACAAATGTGCTTCTTTTATTTCCCTTATTTCCTCTTTCCTTTTTCATTTTACTTTTCTGAGTAGCATAGAAAGCCTAGCCCCAGGGCAGGGACCAGCAGAGGGGCAGGGCAGGAGGTTTTCCTCCTTCACAGCTGTCCTTAAAGCTGTCTCTCCTCCAAACAGACCTCCAGACCATCCAAGGCTGGCTTTCCAGATAACCTCACCCCCAGGAGACCCAGAGATACCAGCCCTGGGACACAGCAGTAATAATAACCTTGCTACTTGTAACACACTTGCTCTAAGAAAAGGGTCTGGCATCTGATGCCCCACACCACCTGGGCGAATTCAAAGAAGATAATCCAGCCTCTCTGGAAAATACATGCATCTGGCCAGGCACAGTGGCTCACACCTGTAATCCCAGCCACTTGGGAGGCTAAGGAGGAAGGATGGCTTGAGCCCAGGAGGTGGAGGCTGCAGTGAGCTGTGATCATGCCACTGCACTCCAGCCTGGGTGACAGAGCAAGACCTTGTCTCAAAAAAAAAAGAGAGAGAGACAAAGAAATAAAGAAAAAAGAAAAGAAAGAAGGAAGGGAGGGAGGAAAGGGGAGAAGGAAGGAAGGGAGGGAGGGAGACAGAAAGAGAAAAAGAAAGAAGAGAAAGAAAGAAAGAAGGGAGGGAGGGAGGGAGGGAGGGAGGGAGGAAGGAAGGAAGGAAAAGAAGGAAGGAAGGAGGGAGGGAGGAGGGGAAGGAAGGAAGGAAAAGAAAGAAAGAAAATACATGCACCTGAATTTGTACCTTACTGCCAGCTTGGGTTAGGGACCCAGGCTTCCTATCCCTTAGCAGGAGCCAGAGAGCACTGAAGAGCCCCCTGGGAAAGGCAACAGGGAGAGGCCAACCCTGCCCTCAGTCTCAGGTGTCCAGTTCTCAATGGAGCCCCCTTGTTTTGTTGGGTAGGAAGATTCTTCCCCCAGGCAGCCCTCCAGGTTTCCTTCCTCCATCAGCAAGTTATGAGGACTTCCAGTTACTTACAATACAGTCCTAAGGCAGAGGACCCACTTGAGTTGAGTCATAACATCTGGGGCTTTTACATTTTAAAATTTTAAAGTTTAAACTTTCTAGAACTGGGGACTAAAATGTGTAGTGCCCTAACCTAATGGCACTTTTGGATTGTAAAAATGAATTTTAGGCACACTAAACCCACCCAGCATTTCAAGACCATCTCATACCCCAAACCATGTGCCTTGCAAAAATATGAATCTGGTATAAAACAAGATTGTTTATTTCCATCCTTTTAATTCTGTCTCTTAATTTATTTTATTTTATTTTTTTTTAGAGAACGTGTCTCACTGTATCACCCAAGCTGGAATGCAGTGGCGTGATCATAGCTCACTGCAGCCTCAAACTTCTGACCTCGGGAGATCCTTCAACCTTAGCCTCCCCAGTAGCTGGGACTACAGATGCATGCCACCACTCCCATATAATTTTTTTATTTTTTGTAGGGATGGGATTTTGCTATGTTGACCAGACTGGTCTTAAGCCCCTAGCCTCAAAAGATTCTCTTGCCTCAACCTCCTGAGTAGCTTCCTTCTTTATTTTCTACCTTGGTAAGTTGGGGCCCATCCTAGATGAATGGCAAGATTCACAGGACTCACTCAAGCGGGTGTAAGGCTGGGCCCATCTCTAAGGTTTCTCTCCTGAGCCTGAGGATGCTACACAGTGATACAATCAATCCACAGGCTCTAGGACTCATTGACATGATTTCCACCATTGGCATCCATGTTGCTAAAGGACCTAAGGACCTCAGAGAGGGGTAGGGTTTGTTTTTGCAGGGCTGGGGGGTTGTTTTTTTGAGACAGAGTCTCACTCTGTTGCCCAGGCTGGAGTGCAATGGCACAATCTCGGCTCACTGCAACCTCCACCTTCCTGGTTCAAGTGATTCTCCTGCCTCAGCCTCCTAAGTACCTAGGATTACAGGCACGTGCCACCACACCCAGCTAATTTTTGTACTTTTAGTAGAGACAAGGTTTCACCATGTTGGCCAGGCTGGTCTCAAACTCCTGACCTCAAGTGATCCACCCACCTCAGCCTCCCAAAGTGCAGGGATTACAGGCATGAGCCACCACGCTCGGCCTCCTGCCCAGTTACTACCGGGGGCCCTCCATCCCCATGTGCCCATGGCTGAGACCACGCTCCCAATAAGTGCCATGCCTCATTACTCATGAGTTCCAGCACAGCTTCAGTCCATCCACGACTGTGAATTTATTCCCATCCTGATGGGTTGGCCATTCTTAATTATGGAAAATAGTATACCTCATCGTTACTATTGCAGCTAATGTTGATTGACAGCTCCTTAGTACCACATTCTGTTGAGCATGCAACAGGCCATTCACAGATTACCATCTCATCTGAGTCTCACAGCCATCCTGTGAAGTATGAGGTGTTTGTATTCCTGCTAATAGATGACGTTAAGGGGGCTATAAAGCTTGCAGAATTTGACTTTGCAGATTCTTAAGATTGCAGATTTGAATCCAGGCCTCTCTGCACACAGAGTCCCACGTCTAAGCTGCCACTCTGTCCCTTAGGGAGATGGCTACCTGTCGGCTTTGGGAAAGAGATTCCAATAATTACAATCAAACTCCTCCTCATCCCAGGGTGCCCTCGGAGGGAGCCGAAGACATAAGGAACCACAGCTAAGAGGAAGCCAAATGCCTCAGGGCGAAGGTAAGCTGCTGCCTCTGATTGGGAGGCATCTCTGATGGGGTGTGCTGGCACCTAGGCTTAGGCCAGGAAACCAGGAGGGATTTCTGCCATTGTCTTCCGGAAAGTGAAGAATGCATTGTCCAGACTTGAATCCACTTACCCCAGGGACTGTGTGGATGAGCCTCACCTGGATGAAGGGCCAGAAGAAGGTGAGGGGCCCAGGCCCAGCCCAGCCCAAGGCGGCTGGCCCATCTAATGCCTGCAAGTGCTCTACTGATATGGTTTGGCTCTGTGTCTCCATCCAAATCTCATCTTGAATTTTAATCCTTAGGTGTTGAGGGAGAGACCAGGTAAGAGGTGATTGGATCATGGGGGAGTTTCTCCCATGCTGTTCTCATGATCATGAGTGAGTTCTCACAAGATCTGATGGTTTTATAAGTATTTAGAAGTTCTTCCTTTGTTCACTCTTCTTCCTGCTGCCATGTGAAGGACACGTTTGCTTCCCCTTCCGCCATGAGTGTAAGTTTCCTGAGGCCTTCTCAGCTATGTGGAACTGTGAGTCAATTCAACCTCTTTCCTTTATAAATTACACAGTCTCAGGCATTATCTTTAAACCAGTGTGAAAATGAACTAATACATCTACTATAGCTGAAAAACTACGAGCCTGACTATCCCAGGCCAGGCACCACGAAACTGATAGACAGAGCCAGGCAGGGCTGTTCTGCTGTAACCACTGGGCTGTATTTATCCCCCTGAGGAGTGGTCTCTTAGGAAGCACTTCTATCAACCTCACTTGAGTCTTTGGTTCTGGGGACAGTGACCAGCTATGGCTTGCATTGACCACTCATGTTTGCTGTTCATACAGACTCAACAACGTGTGGCGATGCTCATTGCCCATGGTGGGCCTGTCTGAGTGGTGGCATTCTTACCCAAGCCCCTGTCTTCCCCCTCCCACAGGAGCCCCCCATTGGCCTTCCTGCCTATTGTCTGCAGAATCAGAGCAATCTTTATTTTTAAAGTGATGAGATCTCACTCTGTCACCCAGGCTAGAGCGCAGTTGTGTGATCATGGCTCACTGCAGCCTCAACTTTCTGGGATCAAGTGATCCTCTCACCTCAGCCTCCCAAGTAGCTGGGATGGTAAGCACATATCACCATGCCTGACTAATTTTAAAAAATTATTTGTAGAGATGGGGCTTTGCCAGGCTGGTCTCAAACTCCTGACCTCAAGCCACCCTCCCACCTTGGCCTCCCAAAGTGCTGGGATTACAGGTGTGAGCCACCTCACCCAGCCACTACCCTGCCCTTTGAGAACCAAAAGAAGAAACCAAATTTTCCTTAGCTCAACTAGGGCCATTTCCCCAATTGTTTCATCAGCAAGGAGCTGGTTATTGGGCTGTCCAGACCTCTCAAGCAGCACAGAAATGAGATGAGGGCATTTTCCTGCTGCTCCACTCTGTGCAGAGTTGGAGAATGACATTTACTCTTTGCAGAGAAAGATACTCTGTAGGCACCTTAGGATGAAGGGGACCTGATTCCAATGTCCTTTTGTTTTCTTCTTTAGAAACAGGGTCTTGCTCTGTCATCCAGGCTGAAGTACAGTGGCACAAACATCACTCCTGAGTAGCTGGGATTACAGGTGCATGCCACCACACATGGCAATTTATTTTTATTTTTATTTTTATTTTTATTTTTATTTTTTTGTAGAGACAGAGTCTTGAACTCCTGGCCTCAAACAATCTTCCCACCTTGGCCTCCTGACGTGCTGGGGTTACAGGTAGGAGCCACGGTGCTGGGCTGCAGAGTGATCTTTTAAATGAGCAAAAACAGATCACATCACTGTCTTGCTTAAAGTTCTCTCAGTGGTAGATCATTTTATGTAGAATAAAATCTCAATGACTGTTGCGTGGTCCAGCTGCCTTCCTTCTCTCTTGTCCTCACTGCCTAACCCCTGCCTCTCCAGCAGCCTAGCTCCTTCTTGCCTGAACATTTTTACACCTGATATTCCGTCCAGGGTGCTCCTGCCCCACCACGCAAATGCAGCTTTCCCATGTCATCCCAGCCTCAGCTCAATGTCCCTTCTGTGTTCATTTGAAGTGACCCTCCACAGACACAGTCGAGACACTCCCTGCCATGCTGTTTTCCATCATAGCATTGATCACTGTGAGGAATGATCATATATCTGTTCACTTACTTACTTGCTAAGTTTTAGAGTTCTTCTCATAATCACAGAGTAGCTCATATTTGACCAGCTCTCCTACAAATAGTAATCATAAATTCTGGACAATATACAAAAGAGAATGCTCAAAAGGCACTGGCAAGTGGCCCAAAGCAGGAAGAAACTGAAAGGGAGGCGATTTTTGGAAGTGAGAAAGGCACAGATTGATTTTTTTTTTGTTTTTATTTTATTTTATTATTTTTTTTTTTTGAGACACAGTCTTGCTCTGTGGTCCAGGCTGGAGTGCAGTGGCCTGATCTCAGCTCACTGCAGCCTCAACATCCTGGGCTCAAGTGATCCTCCTGCCTCAGCCTCCCAAGCTGCTGGAACTACAGAAGCATGCCATCACGTCCAGCTAATTTTTGTATTTTTTGTAGAGACAGGGTATCACCATGTTGCCCAGGCTGGTCTCAGTCAGCACTGCTGCTGGCGTGAGGCCAGAAACCTGAAGTCTTACTATCAAGAAATCAGAAGAGAGTTTTCAGGATGACACCAGCAGCTAGAAAACTAGAAGGATGGTCTGGCACAGTGGCTCATGCCTGTAATACCAGCACTTTGAGAGTCCAAGGCGGGCAGATTGCTTGAGTCCAGGAGTTCAAGACCAGCCTGGCCAACATGGCGAAACCCCATCTGTTTAAAAAATACAAATGCTAGAGGGACCTATCAGAAAAGAGAGAATCACAGAAGGGGAACCCAGATTCTGAGAGTGGCTCTATCAAACCTCTGGTTGACCCCCTAACTACACATACACACAGGGCAGACCTCCAAGCAGCCCAGCTCAGCCTGAGAGAACCAAATAGACATTTCAGCTGCTGTCCGGCCTGGCTAACTTGGTACTAAAACAAAAACTGACAAATAATATTCTTCAGATGTGCCCAACAGAACCCTTAGTCTGCCCAATAGATCATTCATGAAGTCCAGGGTAGAATGCAAAATTACTAGACATACCATAAACAGGAAAATAGAATCCATCTTCAAGAGGAAAGTCAATCAATGGACACCAACCTCAAGTGGATTCAGATATTGACATTAGCTCAAGGTCCTAAAAGAAAATATTACCTAAGTTTTCATTATTTGTGTTTCACCCCTAGACTATGAGTCCCGTCAGAGCAGGACCTTATTGGTTTTGTTCCTTGCAACATCTCCAGCACCTAGAATAGCAAATGGCTCGTCGAAAATATCCCCCAAAAATGAATGTGGCGTAATGTGGGATTTTCCCCTCATTTTCTGCCTTTAGGACTTGAGGCCCCTCCTAGATGAACAGAATGCTGACAAAGAACAAAATCATCACCGTTCTCTTTTCAACGGAGGACATGGTTTTATGGTTATGAATTAGTAGCAGCTGTTGTAGACAAGTGGCTTTGATCTGAGATTACTGCCAAAAAGAAAGCATGTAGAATAGCTATTCTGAAACTCAATGTCATCATTTAAAAGAAACAAAAACTTCTCACATTCTTCATGATTTAACTCCCTTAGAATATCTCTATATATATTACATAAATATATATAATTATTATATGTAATTATATATATGTCTGTGTATATATATATATACACATCTGTATATATATATGTATATACATCTATATGTATATATGTGTGTGTATATATGTATGTGTGTGTCTATATATATATTTGAGATGGAGTCTTGCTCTGTCACCCAGGCTGGAGTGCAATGGTGTGATCTCGGCTCACTGCAACCTCTGTCCCACTGGGTTCAAGTGATTCTCTTGCCTCTGCCTCCCGAGTAGCTGGGATTACAGGCACCTGCCACCATGCCCAGCTAATTCTTTGTCCTTTTAGTAGAGACAGGGTTTCACCTTGTTGGCCAGGCTGGTCTCAAACTCCTGATCTCAGGTGATCTGCCCACCTTGGTCTCCCAAAGTGCTGGGATTACAGGTGTGAGCCACCGCCCGGCCTGTAATTATATATTTTAACAAATATATGTAATTATTATAGATTTATATATAATCGTATATTTATACATAGGTAATGTATATTTCTACATAATAATTATATTTATAGATTATATATTTACACATAATAATTATAAATTTATAGAAAATATATATTTATCTATAATAATTATATATTTGTATCTATAATAATTATACATATTTTAACAGATATAATAATTATATATATATAAATTCTAAGACCTAGGTATTTAATTTGTGGTCAATTTGTAATACGATACACCAGGAAATTATGATGTTTAAGGTTAAACATAAAATTTTACAGGGAGGTTAATTACTGAGGTGGCTGTTTAGGTCACCTGCTTTAAGTGTTTTCTGGATAAACGTTTTTCTAC
Source organism: Homo sapiens (assembly GCF_000001405.40). Classification (NCBI taxonomy): domain Eukaryota; kingdom Metazoa; phylum Chordata; class Mammalia; order Primates; family Hominidae; genus Homo; species Homo sapiens. Next base: position 72,430,511 of record NC_000007.14, read on the forward strand.
CAGGGTCAACACTTGGGATGTTGTTACACCTTTTGCCTGGACTTCACATGGGACCCTAAATATTCCCCTCAAGGGGCTTCTCAGCCTGCTCACACACAGGTGAATGTCAGTATTTAACCACCTGTAGGGCGCATGCACTGACCAATCAAAATGAAGGTGAGCCGAGCACCAACCAATCAGAAGCAATGCCAGCTCTAAGGACCCGGTCTGGCTGTACCTGCGCTCTGCATGGTATCCTGTTCCGGAAGGTGTCCTGGTCACCTGTTCCCTGTTCCTAAGAGGATTTCAGTGCCACCTCCGGCTCTACCAACTGTTAAAGCATATGGGGTTGCACTCAACCAGCAGCCCAAGGCAACTGCCCTCCAAGTTTTTGTCAAGGAGAATTATCTCAAAATTCCTCGCCCAGTGCTCACAGTGTTGGGAAAATAACTACCCATGGAGTGAAGCCAAGCTATTTTTTTTTTTTTTTTTTTTTGAGATGGAGTCTCGGCTCACTGCAACCTCCGCCTCCCGGGTTCAAGCGATTCTCCTGCCTCAGTCTCTCGAGTAGCTGGGATTACAGGCCTGTGCCACCACACCCGGCTAATTTTTGTATTTTCAGTAAAGACAGGGTTTCACCATATTGGCCAGGCTCGTCTCGAACTCCTGACCTCAAATGATCCACTGGCCTCAGCCTCCCAAAGTGCTGGGATTACGGGCATAAGCCACTGAGCCGGGCACCAATCTATTTTTCTCAACCACTAATAAAGCTATTATTAGTAGTGGTGGGCCCTTTTCTTCAGGTAAAATATTATGAGGAACTCCAACATGAAAATTACAAAAAAACTGAGGGTTTGGGGGAAACAGAACCCTCCTGATCTCTGCACCCCAATCCTTTGGCATTCCTCCAGCACACACGCACACATGTGTACACCCACATGCACACACGCATGCACAACTTAACACTGCAGCAGCCTCTATTGCCACTCCGTGGAATCACTTGCCATAGAGAATGACTTGGAGGGAAGGCAGCCCACCATAGGTAATCTAAGCGCTAAGTCAGATTAAGTCAGGTGCAGTGGCTCATGCCTATAACCCCAGCACTTTGGGGGGCCAAGGCTGGAAGATCGTTCGAGGCCAACAGTTCGAGACCAGCCTGGGTAGCACAGTGAGAGAGACCTCGTCTCTACAGAATATTTAAAAATTACCGAGTGTGGTCATGCGTGCCTGTAGTCCTGGCTACTTGGTAGGCTGAGGTCAGAGGATCTTTGGAGTCCAGGAGTTCAAAACTGCAGGGAGCCATAATCATGCTATTACACTACTCCAACTGGGGCAAAAGAGTGAGACCTCATCTCCAAAAAAAAAAAAAAAAACTAAGTCAGACTATCAGAGAATGTTTTGGGACAGCTCTACCTCCCTAACCACCTCCTAATCTTGAGGAATATTACAAGAGGAGGCAGCCAGTCCTATTAAACTCCTTGCCATCATGAACTGTGAGACTGTTCGGGACACTATTATTGCATTATGCCATGTCTTCCCTTTGAGGATTGATATGATTTGGCTGTGTCCCCACCCAAATCTCATCTTGAATTGTAGCTCCTATAATCCTCATGTGTCGTGGGAGGGACCCAGTGGGAGGTAACTGAATCATGGGAGTGGGTTTTCCTGTGCTGTTCTGGTCATAGTGAGTGAGTCTCATGAGACCTGATGGTTCTATAAAGGGCAGTTCTCCTGCCTACACTCTCTTGCCTGCCACCATGTAAGACGTGCCTTTTTTCCTCCTTCGTCTTCTGCCATGGTTGTGAAGCCTCCCCAGCCATGTGGAACTTTGAGTCCATTAAACCTCTTTTTCTTTATAAATTACCCAGCCTTGGATATGTCTTTATTAGCAGCATGAGAACAGACTAATACAAGGACCCATGGGCAATATTCTCTCTGCCTCCGGGAACAGAAATAGCTGTGCGTCTCCTGAGCAGCTGCTTGCTTTCATCACATAGATGCTGGGTCTGTAACAAGGGACTGTTTCCCTCTCTGTGTTGGCTGAAAGAAAGCTCAGGGCCACCCCATGAATTTTGTCTCCTAACCTCATTCCTGGCTCCATCCTTGCCTTCCCGGACTGCTTTTCCCTTTGTCTTGTTTTCATTGTCTATTTATTTTTTCATTTAATTATGTCCTGTAATTGGATACTCATCTTTGCAAATCACCTTGCATCCTTTCTGGAACAAGGTGGAGAGTATATAAATGGATCCTAAATGTTGGGTTTCTGCAGTGCACCAGGGCTCTCTGAAGTTGGCTACTTTATGACATGCTTCAGCAAGCACCAGCTCTCACATCAGCAATTTTACTGTCTTTTAAAACCAGGAAATCGATCTGCCTCGGCAAAAAGACGGTGCTAGTAAACTAACTAGATTTCCCTGCATTACATATTCATGTAATCGTGTTATCTTCTAGACAGCACATCAAGGAGAGGCGGGAAAAGAACAAGGCCATGGCTCTGTTTGAACCCAACATTTGTTACTCTTTCTACACACCCTATGGACTATCTTTAGGCTCAAGCGCAGAAAAGGAAGATTCAGGGTGTTGGACAATCTCATTGGAGCTTGGGTGTCTTAAATTTCTGCTGGTATAATTCCATTTTCCTCTGAATCACTCACTACAAGGGGGAAAGGAACCTGCCCCTTGGAGAAGTCTTTGAGATATTGATCGCCCTCCAGCAGCCCCCTGACCAGGTAGCAGCCTAAAGTGTCCCCGGGACAGAAAAATAGATTAACTGCTATCCAAACAAGAGAACACATCCACAAGACAGCAGGAATTCAACCGAGCAGTCTCCTCCCAACTCTTAGCATGCATCAGCTGTGCTATATAAACAGGAACAAAAAAGAAACTGGTTAGAAGAAACAGGGGACTAAAAAACCCAAGAGTTCTCCCACACTGGCCCTGAGTTTTTCAGTTCGCCATGGATCCCACAGATTATGCCAAGGCTGGGAGCCCTCCCCAAGATCAGGAAGCAATGCCCTGCTACCCCATCCTGGGTGCTTGCGGCTCCTAAGTAGAAATCCATGGAAACCCCAAGAGAAACACCCGAGCACAGTGGCAGAGACTCCAGAAAACTCTCAGTTTTGGCTCTGCTTCCCTACTTCTTCTCAAGCAGAAGCATCTCAGGCTTCAGGTGAATTTACAATCTAGCTGGGTCTCAGGGTAGCAAGAAGGACCCAGGGCTAGTAAACCAATGCGGATGCTGCTATCAACTCAAAGATAGGTCTTATGGGCTCTGATTCAAAATGTACATTGGAGGCGGGGCACAGTGGATCACGACTGCAATCCCAGAGCTTTGGGAGGCCAAGGTCGCTTGAGGCCAGGAGTTCCAGACCAGCCTGGGCAACATAACAAGGCCCCATTTCTGCTAATAATAATAATAATTAGCCAGGCAGGGTGGTGGCACACACCTGTAGTCTCAGCTACTCGGGAAGCTGAGGCAGAGGATCACTTGAGCCCAGGAGTTCAAAGCTGCAGTGAGCTATGATCATGCCACTGCTCTCCAGCCTGGGTGAAAAAGTGAGACCCTGTTCCTGAAAGAAAAAAAAAAAACTGCATATTGGATTTGCACAAATCACTTCCTGTTTTCTAGTTCACTCTCTGCTTGCCACCTCACCCCCAAATCAAGGAAGAGTGCTTAAAGTTAACAAATAGGAAAATAACATTTCTTTTTTTTAGGATAAAAATAATTTACCAGCCAGGCACAGTGGCTCATGCCTGTAATCCCAGCACTTTTGGAGGCCAAGGCGGGTGGATCACCTGAGGTCAGGAGTTTGAGACCAGCCTGGCCAACATGCTAAAACCCCGTCTCTACTAAAATACCAAAAAAAAAAAAAACAAAAAAAAAATAGCTGGGCGTACTGGCGGGCACCTGTAATCACAGCTATTCGGGAGGCTGAGGCAAGAGAATCGGTTGAACCCAGGAGGCAGAGGTTGCAGTGAGCCAAGATCATGCCACTGCACTCCAGCCTGGTGACAGTGCGAGACTCCATCAGAAGAAGGAGAAGGAGAAGGAGAAGGAGAAGGAGGGGAAGAGGAAGAGGAAGAGGAAGAAGAAGGAGAAGAAGAAGGAGAAGGAGAATTTACAAAGAATGGTAGAATTAGTTACTGGAAAGATCTTTCCAGGGGGAGAGGCAGCAAGGTAAGCTCTCTTAGCTATAAGACCATGGAGGGCTCCCTTCATCTGAAGGACTAAGGACTAAAAGCATGTCTCCCTGTCTCTGAAAACGAGTAAACATCATCCTCCAACTCCCCACAGAGCAGAACAGCAGGAAAAACTTTTTTGCTGCATTTCTGCACTTCATGCGAGGCCTGGACAGTCAATAACCAGTTCCTTGCTGATGAAGCAATCCAGAAATGGCCCTAGCTGAGCTAAGAAAAATTTGGCTTCTTCTTTGGGTTTTCAAAAGGCAGGGTAGGGGCCACGCATGGTGGCTCACACCTGTAATCCAAGCACTTTGGGAGGCCAAGGTGGAAGGATTACTTGAGGCTAGGGTTGTGAGACCAGCCTGAGCAACATAACAAGACCCTGTATCTACAAAAATGGTTTTTTTAAAAAAATTAGCTGGATATGGTGGCATGTGCCTGTAGTCCTAGCTATTCAGAAGGCTGAGGTGGGAGGATCACTTGAGCCTAGGAATTCGAGGCTGCAGTGAGCCATGATTGCACCATTGCACTCCAGCCTGGGCAACAGAGCCAAATCCAGTCTCTAAGGAAAAAAAAAAAAGGAAAAAGAAAAGAAAGGGAAGGGAAGGGGAAGGGGAAGGGGAACGAGAAGGGGGAAGAGACATAGGAAACAGGCCAGCAGAGAGAGCAGACGAGAATGTGGTGGAAGCTCATCTACAATAGCTTTCCTGGGCTCAAACATTCTGTCTGAAGACTAGAGACGGTGAGTAACTGTGCCTCCTAAGTGTAAACACTGGAGAAACGCAAGGCCCCATTCATCCACGCCTCCCTCGGCCTGCGGGGGCCTCCTGGAAGTGGACAGATGGGTTTCCTTCCCCTGGGACCACAATTGCAGCCCCGGAGAGCCTCAGGCAGCACAGAAGCGAGGCAGCAGCCAGCGCGGAGAGGCCAGCAGCGCTCTGTGAATTTGTGAACGTGCTGTCCCACTTAGGGCTCTCTGGAGAATTCCAGGAGCCAACCCTCAGCCTCCGTTTGACAGAGCCGCTTTTCATCTTCCCTGGCTCCGGCACAAGCAAATGCACACAGGCGAAAATCAGTTAATAACTGTGCACATTTTCTAATAAATTTTAACAATTTAACAGTGTGGTACAGCTTTATTATAGTTTTTATTTCACTACACTAATTCAGCGTGTAATAACCTGCCAGAGACACAGAATTCACTTGACATATGCTCTGAGTGCCAAGATAATGGAATAAGCTCAAGAGGAACCTTGAGTCTCACCCAGCTGGGCACTACCCATTCCCTTGGGGAGTGACAAAGGGGTGCTGGCCTCAGAGTGGCTGCAAGGGAAATGTGAGCTATGAGATGCCCCCCAGCCTGGGTCTAAATGGCCAGCTTCCCTGTGATTCCCTCTCCATAGAAGGCAGAAAGACGTAAAAGCACAGACAGTGCTGTATTTAATGACAGCCTGGTTCCTGGGATTAGTCCCAGGGCTCAGCCTGCTACACTGCTGATATGGTTTGGCTGTGTCCCCACCCAAGTCTCATCTTGAATTGTAGCCATAATCCCCACGTGTCCTGGGAGGGACCCCATGGGAGGTAATTGAATCATGGAGGTGATTTCCCCCATTCTGTTCTCATGATAGTGACTAAGTTTCACGAGGTCAGATGGTTTTATAAGGGGGAGTTGCCCTGCACAAATTCTCTCTTGTCTGCTACCATGTAAGATGTGCCTTGTGCCTTTCAGCTTCCATGATTGTGAGCCCTCTCCAGCCACGTGGAACTGTGAGTCCATTAAACATCTTTTTCTTTATAAATTACCCAGTCTCGGGTATGTCTTTATCAGCAACATGAGAACAGACTAATACAACTGCATTCCTTAAGTCTCTTGGTGACTAGGAGGTGAAATGGTGTTGATCTTCTTGGGCCTGGCAGCTGGCCACCTACACCTCATTCAGGCCTGACCCAAGGGAAATGAGATCAGGTCAGAGAAGATGCTTGCTTCTAGGGGCCCCAGTCTAGCTGCTCTCACTCCCTCCCTGCCTGCTCTGGGCACACCCCCTCTTAAATAATGTTCTCCAAGCGTGGGCCCAAACAAGCAGCCTCAGCATCACCTGGGAAAGCTGTTGATGCTGCAAATTCTCAGCCTCTTCCCAGCCCTACTGAATCAGAAATTCAGAAGGGGTGGGGCCCAAAAAGTCTGTCTTGACAAAACCTCTAGATGAGCCTGGGCAACACAGCGAGGGCTCGTCTCTGCAGAAAATAAAAAATTAGCCAAGCGTGGTGGCACACACCTGTAGTCCCAGCTGCTTGGGAGGCTAAGCAGGGAGGCTTGAGCTGCTTGAGCCAAGGAGGACAAGTCTGCAGTGAGCTGTGATTGCATCACTGCACTCCAGCCTGGTGACCAGATGAGACCCTGTCTCAAAAAAAAAAAAGGAACCTCTAGATGATTTTGGTGCTTGCTGAAATTTTAGAAACACTCAAATTTTAGAGATTAGGAGGGAGAGTTTTGAAAATGCCTGGAACTAGGGAGTTCTGGAAATACAGTCAAGTAGTCTGGCGATCTGGGGTTTAGCTCTGCTGTTCTCTCTACCTTGCCAGGAAATCATGGGCCTCAGTTTTTTCATTCGGAAAATAAGAACACAGGCTGGACACTCACTAAGGCCCCTCCCTGGCAGTCCTGACATTCTGGGACTGATGGCTGAAATAAAGTTGACAGATTACAGACAGTGCCCCTTTCACTAGAGAGAAGCCTGAGTGGGTCAAGTTTGGTTGCTAAGGGCTGTTTTAGCTTCAAAACAAAAGAGAACAATGGCAAGGAGAAGGGTCTGTCACCAGGAAAAGTTAAAGAAGGTGAGAAACCCAGTTGTGTGGAGTGTGTGTGTGTGTGTGTGTGTCCACAGCATGCAAATTTATCTTTTTAGGTCTTTGCTTGCTTTAACTATCTTTTCTCTCCTCTATATCTTTTGCCTTTCTTTCTTTTTCTTTCTCTTTCTCTCTTTCTTTCTTTTCTTTCTTTCTTTCCTTTTTTCTTTCCTTCCTCCCTCCCTCTCTCTTTCTTTCCTTCCTTCTTTCCTTCCCCCCTCCCACCCTTCCTTCCTTTCTTTCCTTCCTTCTTTCTTTCCTTCCTCCCTTCCTTCCTTTCCTTCCTACCTTCCTTCCTTCTTTCCTTCCTTCCTCCCTCCCTTCCATCCTCCCTTCCTTCCTTCTTTCTTTTCTTCCTTCTTTCTTTCCTTCCTTCCTCCCTCCCTCCCTCCTTCCCTTCCCTCTCTCCCTTCCTTCCCTCTCTCCCTTCCTTCCTTCCTTCCTTCTTTCTCCCTTCCCTTCTCTTTCTTTCTTCTTGAGATAGAGTCTCAGTCTGTTGCCCAGGTTGGAGTGCAGTGGTTCAATCATGGCTCACTGCAGCCTTCACTCCTAAGCTCCAATGATCCTCCCACCTCAGCCTCCCAAGCAGCTGGTTCTATAGGCATGCGCCACCACACCCAGCTAATTCGTTTTTCTTTTTATTTTTTGTAGAGATGAGGTCTCGCTATGGTGCCAGGCTGTTCTAAACCCCTGGCCTCAAGCAATCCTCCTGCCTCAGCCTCCTGAGTAGCTGGTTCTCCAGGCATGCACCACTATCCCTGGCTCATTATTTTTATTTTTGTTTTTTGTAGAGATGGAGTCTCACTATGTTGCCTAGGCTGGCCTTGAACTCCTAGGCTCAAGCCATCCTCCCACCTCAGCCTCCCAGAGTGTTGAGATTACAGAAGTGAGCCACGGCACCCAGCCTTGCCTGTATTTCTTGACTCCCTATTTCTCCAAAAACACGATTAAGTCTCCCTCATTCTATCGAGAAATAAACAAAATCCTTCCTTATGTTTTGCAAGGTCTTCTACCTGCCATCTTTTCTCCCTTCCCATGAGAATAGACCGTCTTAAAATAGTAGCCGCCACGTAGAGACATCACAGCAAATCTCTTATTCCTTCCTTGACCTCCTCCCTCAATCTGGCTTCTACCTCCATCACTCCAGGAACCTGGCTGGCTGCCTCCTACTTTCTAACTCCGAGGGACACTTCCAGGCCTTATGTTGCTTCATCTCGTTGGCATTTAACACTCCATCCTCTCCAGATTCTACCTTCTGACTGCCCCTGGTTGGGCTTCAAGCGATGCCAAATAGCTGCCACTCTTCGCCTTAGCTTATAAGTTTATATTTTATGTTTCATTACACACATATAAATTTGCATGCTATCCAAAGTATGTTATGGAAATAGACAAGGTACAAGCCACCTAACTTTTCAACATTCCTTAAAGGAAACCTCAGAAGAAAATACAGTTGAACCTCAAACCCTGTGGGGGTTAGGGGTGCTGCTCCCCCTACCCCATGCAGTTGAAAATCTGCATACGACTTTTTCTTTTTTTCTGGAGACAGCGCATCACTCTGTTGCTAAGGCTGGAGTGCAGTGACGCCATTATAGCTCACTGCAGCCTCCTGGGCTCAAGTGATCCTCCCTCCTTAGCCTCCCGAGTAGCTGTAACTACAGGCACACACCATCATAACTAGTTAATTTTTAAAATTATTTATAGAAATGGGGTTTCGCCATGTTGCCCAGGTTGGTATCAAACCCCTGAGCTCATGCAATCCTCCTACCTCAGCCTCCCAAAGTCTTGGGATTACAGGCATGAGCCACTATGCCCAGTCACATATGACTTTTGAATCTCCAAAAACTTGACTGCTAATAGCCTACTGTTGACTGGAAGCCTTACTGATAACGTAAACAGTTGATTAACACATATGTTGTGTGTTACATGTAATATATTCTGTATTCTTACAATAAAGTAAGCTAAAGAAGAGGAAATGTTATTAAAATATCATGAAGAAGAAAAAATATATTGACTATTCATTAAGTGGGAGTGGATCATCATAAAGGTCTTTATCCTTGTCGTTTATTCTTTTTTTTTTTTTGAGATGGAGTCTCGCTTTGTCGCCCGGGCTGGAGTGCAATGGCGCAATCTCGGCTCACTGCAACCTCCGCCTCCTGAGTTCAAGCAATTCTCTACCTCAGCCTCCTGAGTAGCTGGGATGACAAGCGCCCGCCACAATGCCTGGTTAATTTTTTTGTATTTGTAGTAGAGATGGGGTTTCACCATCTTGGCCAGGCTGGTCTTGAACTCCTGACCTCATGATCCACCCGCCTCGGCCTCCCAAAGTGCTGGGATTACAGGCGTGAGCCACTGTGCCGGGCCTCTCCTTGTCTTTTTCACATTGAGGAGGCTGAGGAGGAGGAAGAAAAAGAGGGGTTGGTGTTGCTGTCTCAGGGGTGGTGGAGGCAGAAAAAGATCCATGTATAAGTGGCCCCTTATAGTTCAAACCCAAATTGTTCAAGGATCAACTGTATTCTTTTCGAATTAAATGCCAGAAAGCTTTGGTTTTCCTTAAGGAACTAGCATATCATCTCACGGACAACAAAACTCAGAAAGCAATTCCCAAAATAGTTTAAAACAGACAAATGGTTAATGTCAGTCCCCGGAGAGAGAACCAACTGGAAATGATCACGGGGTGGCACTGGGGTGCAGACCATGTCCTATTTCTTGGTCTGGGTCCTGGTTAGGTAGCACCCAGAATACCCAAAACCCAAAGATGTATTCACCCATACAATGATTATCTCAGAGCACTGGTAAATTTTTTTAAGAAATCCCCATTTTCTGTTTTCTGACCAGAAAGTTCTGATCAGATTAGAGGCTCAATTATATTCTTATACAGTTTTATGACCAGCCAGGCACAGGGGCTCATGTCTGTAATCTCAATACTTTGGGAGGCCAAAGTGGGAGGATCACTCGAGGCCAGGAGTTTAAGACCAGCCTGGACAACATAGTGAGACTTTGTCTCTCAAAATTAAAATAAAATAGAATCTGGCCAGACACAGTGGCTCAAGCCTGTAATCCCAGCACTTTGGAAGGCTGAGGCAGGCGGATCACTTGAGGCCAGGAGTTCAAGATCAGCCTGGCCAATATGAGGAAACCCCATCTCTACTAAAAATACAAAACTTAGCTGGGTGTGGTGGCTTATGCCTGTAATCCCAGCTACTCCGGAGGCTGAAACAGGAGAATTGCTTGAACCCAGGAGGCAGAGGTTGCAGTGAGCTGAGATCGCACCACTGCACTCCAGCCTCAGCAACAGAGCGAGACTCTGTCTCAAAAACAAACAATAATAATAATACCATAGAATCTTATGACCTTTATTTCTGCATTCTGTTTTTTGTACTGATCTTGCTCCTCTGTTCTAAATTGTATTTTAGAATACAAATACAAATTTTTTGGTACAAAATTTTTTATGTTTAGTTTATGATCATATATTTTTTATTTCATTATATATACATGTCAAAAAATGCTATCCAAAATGCTTTATGGAAGTAGACAAGGTGTAAATAAATATTCTTTCAAGTAGGGTAAAATCTGTCTTTTGTTTCCATGTTCTTTACTCCTGGTATGCAGCAGTTGTTTGATGAATGCCGAAAGAAATAAAAGTTTATCTGTGAAGAAAAAGAGAACAAGAAAGCAAAAGCTAAAGGAGTCAGTAGGAGCTAAGGGAAGATTCTTTTTAAGATGAGAAAGATCTGAGCAGACCTACAGGGAGGTGGGAAGAAGCCAGGAGAAAGGAGTAAGTTAAAAATTGGGAGAATGAGGGCCAGGCACGGTGACTCATGCCTGTAATCCCAGCACTTTGGGAAGCCCAGATAGGAGGATCACCTGAGGTCAGGAGTTCGAGACCAGCCTGACCAACAGGATGAAACCCCGTCTCTACTAAAAATATAAAAATTAGTCGGGCATGGTGACATGCGCCTATAATCCCAGCTACTTGGGAGGCTGAGGCAGGAGAATCTCTTGAACCCAGGAGGCAGAGTTTGCAGTGGGCCAAGATTGCACCATTGCACTCCAGCCTGAGCAACAGAGCGACACTCCGTCTCAAAAAAAAAAAAAAAAAAAAAAAAGTTGGGAGAATGAGCTATAAGTCTTGGTCCCAGGAGAGACGAGGACGTAGAATGTACAAACAGGGCGAATCGTCTTGAACAAGGAAGAAGGAAGCACCTCCCTCCCAATCTCCTGGTTTGGGTTTCTGGTCATCTTTTTAACCTGTAAATAGCTGTGATGCCTCAGAACTCAGTTCGTCGTCTCTTCCATCTCCTGATGATCTCATCTGAGATGGCTTTAAATACCATCTGTACTCTGATGATTCCCAAGGCTGTCTCCAGCCCAAATCTCTCTCGTGAACCCAGGACTGCCCACTCAACATCTCCACCGGGAGCCTCAACAGACGTCTCCAATTTAACATGAGAAACACCCGACTCCTGCTCTCCTCCCAAACCTGCTCCACCCACAGCTGTCCCCGTCTCAGGCCAAGGAAGCTTGAGTCATCCTCGACTCATCTCACACAACTCACCAACCCATCAACACATCCCATTGCCTCCATCCTGAAAAAAACAAAAAGTTCAGAATCCTAGCACTTGGCAGACCTCCATTGGTACCCCACTGGCCAGCCACCATCACCTCTCACCTTGATTAAATGTTCACCTCCTAGCTGACCTTCCTGTTCCCACCTTGCCCACCCACAATCTTTCCTCAACACAGCAGTGAGGAGGATCATTTAAAAATGTTTCTCCTCTGCTCAGAGCCCAGCGCTGGCTCCCGCCTCACTCAAAGCAAAAGCCAAAGTTCTTACAACGCCTCCAAGAGTTTTCATTCTGCTGCCACCTTTATTTATTCAGGATTGCATTCTATTTAGGATTGCACTTTATTAAGGGCTGCACTTATTTAGGATTGTACTTTATGTAGGGTTGCACTTATTTAGGATTGCACTTTATTAAAGATTGCACTTATTTAGGATTGCACTTTATGTAGGGTTGCGCTTATTTAGGATTGGACTTTATTAAGGGTTGCGCTTATTTAGGATTGGACTTTATTAAGGGTTGCGCTTATTTAGGATTGCACTTTATTCAAGGTTGCAATTGTTTAGGATTGGACTTTATTAAGGGTTGCACTTATTTAAGATTGCACTTTATGTAGGGTTGCACTTATTTAGGATTGCATTTTATTAAGGGTTGCAATTATTTAGGATTGCACTTTATGTAGGGTTGCACTTATTTAGGATTGCACTTTATGTAGGGTTGCACTTATTTAGAATTGCACTTTGTTAAGGGTTGTGCTTATTTAGGATTGCACTTTATGTAGGGTTGCACTTATTTAGGATTGCACTTTATTAAGGGTTGTGCTTATTTAGGATTGCACTTTGTTAAGGGTTGCACTTATTTAGGATTGCACTTTATTAAGGGTTGCACTTATTTAGGATTGCACTTTATTAAGGGTTGTGCTTATTTAGGATTGCACTTTATGTAGGGTTGCACTTATTTAGGATTGCACTTTGTTAAGAATTGCACTTAGGATTGAGCATTATTAAGGGTTGCACAGACACACCCATGCCTCATCACTGTCTCAGGACCTCGTCCTCCTCCTCGGCTGTATTTCTCTCAAGAGCGTGTGTCACCATCTGACGTGCTATGTACAATTTACCTTTCGTGACTTATTTTTTTGTCTTCTTCTCTGCCTGCAAGTTCCGCAAGAGCAGGAGATTTTGGGTGTTGTGTTCACCACTGCATCCAGGTGCGTAGGACACAGTTTGGTAAAGGATCAATGCTCAGTGCGTATTTGTTCAATTCAATTTTCCCAAGTGATTCCGTTGCTAAAAATCCTTCAATGACTCCATCTCCTTCAAAATGAAGTGCCCGCCTTTCACGCACCCCGGGTCCCTTAGGATCTAACCCCTGTCTCCTCTCCGGCTTCTTCTTTTATCACATTGCCTCCCATAATGGTCAGACAGATTTGCTGCCACTCCCTCGAGTGTTTCTTTCACCTCTGTGCTTTGCATGTGTAATTTCTTCAGCCTAGGATGATATTTCATAGCCACCTCTGTTGGGACTCAGTTTGGGGATCATCTACTTGAAAGAAGCCTTTCCCAAGGCCAAGATCATCATCCTCCCAGGATCCACTAGACTCATGCCTCATGTATCCCATGACACACACTATTTAGCCCCCATCCCTTTACTTGAGAACAGGGGGCAGCCAATCTCACGTGGGTTCCTCCAACCCCTAGCTAGAGAGACCCTCTGCAAATGTTAGGTGGTGGTATTCACTTTTATGATGATGATTATCTTTGATCAACTTTTTTATTTTTTTGAGACAGAGTTTCTCTCTTGTTGCCCAGGCTGGAGTGCAGTGGTGTGATCTCGGCTCACTGCAAACTCCGGGAGGTGGAGGATGCAGTGAGCAGAGATCATGCCACTGCACTCCAGCCTGGGTGACAGAGTGAGACTCTGTCTCAAAAACTAAATTAATTAATTAAAAAATTATTAAATCAATGACTCTCCCCAGTAGGTACTAAGTGTCTCCACACAAATCAACTTACTCTTTTTTAATGGATTGATATATTGATAGACTCGTACTACGCACCAGAGTAGCAGTTGAAGCTCCTCTTTCCATTCAGAGCGGTTATCCCGTTTCAGAGCCTCTTCTCTTCTTCAAAGCATGAAAAAGAGGAAGTAGCACATGAAGAGGGAAGGCTGCTAGCAATCAGAACAGCTCCCAGGGCACTCCTGGAGTCCGCAGGCACCCGGTACAGGTTCCAGTGCAGGAGACATTTTTTTAATTACAGTTCAAATTTCCCCACAAATGGATCTATCTTAATCCCAATTTATTACAGTCACGAGGCTCTTTGATCTAACTGGCTCAGCTGTATTTCTTAAGTAAACTGAGTGAGAATTGGTTTTGCTTAGTCATTAAAAACCACCTATGTTGAAGGTTATGTGTCCACAGACTGGTGTGTATTCATTCAATAAACTTTTATGTTGTTTCCACGCCATGCCAGGCCCTTTGCTAGCTTTTGGGAGAGATAGAGTGACAGGGAGGAGGCCATCCCTGCCCTCAGAAAAGGCACAGTCCAGCAGTCAGTACAGGAGTCACTATAACTATTTAAACAGTCCAATCCTTTGTGTTAATGTTGACTTAACTCAAGGCAGCTGCAATTGAAAGAAGAGATACTCCTTTGTACAAGCTGCATACACAGACTTCAGCTAAATGACTCCATTTAATCCTGACAATGCTACCATGTTACAGACAGAGAAACTGACGCCCGCCCAATGAGATTAATCAGCAGCCCAGGCTAGGTGCTCTTGTGTGGTGAAGCTGAGACTCCAGTGAAGGTCTGTTGGTCCCCAAAGGCCATGCCTTTCCCACCACCTTGTAAGCTAAGAGCCCACCACGGCCATTAAAGAAATGTCAACGGAACACAGAACTACACAAAGTTGCCAGATCTAAACAAACTCCACTGGGACCTGCGTACAGCTTCTTGAAAGCCAGCAGCCATCAGTGAATTAAACACACACACACACACACACACACACACACACACACACACACACACACAACATTAAGTTGAAAAGAAAATTTGACACAAAGGAACAGTCTACTTAATTACTTATTGTTAATGGGCCCCAGCTGATACAAAAACACAGTTAGTGACATCTATTTCAAGCCTCTCTTGGCTTCCCCTAGAAAGTGAAAGAAGGCTGTTGACCTTTGGGCCACCAGGCAACAGAGGAAGAGGTGACTATAGCTGTGTGGACGAACCTTCTCCACTGAACGGTCTGTGAGCTCAAGGAACTCACCCGGCTAACCATGGCCTCAGTCCGCTTCTACCCTCAGCTCCAGGTGAGAATCTGACCCTCACAGACCAGCTGAGAGCACGACCTTTAAAAATGACCTCAAACCTCCAACGCCACCCTCCCCAAAGCCTCCTCCCTTTAACCAGCATGACCAAGGCCTCCAGGCTGAGTTTCTGTTTGCAGGAAACATCTCTCCCGGGGTTACTTCTTTAGAATCTTTAAATCAACCACACAGATCCACCGATGGGCATGGGGATAATAATTCATTCCATCAAGCGCTTCACTCATAAGTTCTGAATGGTCTCTCCTAAACCAGAGAGTTTCTGCCACAGCGGAGAGTTTGATGATTCTGATCATACAAAATGCATTGCACCCCCAGTGTCTGGGAAGCAGACAGGCTGACTTCCGGGACATTCATCCAGAGAAAGTGCCCATCCTTGGCTGGGGGATTGCAAAGGGATTTAGCTGCAAACGCGGTAACTACCGTTCATGGAAATGGTTCAGAACTCTGCAGGCAATCACTTTGGGGGAAAATCTCTACTCACGTGAGCTGTGTTTTGGCTCAGATCCCCCTCAAGACTTGAACGGGGATGTTAACCATTCAGCGTGTTTTAAAGCCCCTGGAAAATTCAGTAAAAGCACTTCCCCTCCCAAGCTCCTCTCCCAGGTGGGGAATTGGAAGTCCTTAGAACCCTGCCTCTAAGCCACAAGAACCCATGCCCCCGGGACCCCCAGAGATGACTGTCACTCAGGCCAATGAAAATGCCTCCCTCTGCCCAAGTCTGACTTTCAGGGATGTCTGTGGAGTCATGTCAAGCTGACGGAAAGGAAATCTTTCCTTTGGGTATGACTCGGAAAGAGCATTTCACCCAGAAGTCACCCCGTGAGGGTCAAAAACAAATCAATGAAGGATTTGCAGATAGATGTTCTCTGAGCCCAAGTACAATTTACACAATGCAATGTACAAAGAAGATAAATCTACTCCTTCTCTCTGCCAGGCTAGAGCAGATTCCTGAATCAAAACAACTCTTTGCCACAGAACCTGAGACTCGGCTAGAAGTGAGTTTCCTCAAAAGGCACAAGGGACAGGGTTAGGAATTCCTGAAATCATACAGCAAGCATTTGAAAGGAGCAGCGTTCAGAGAGTAAAGACGAGGGGAGAATGAGGGCAGGGGCGGGGAGGGGGGACAGGTGTCGGCAAGATGTTCCTCCGGGACGACTTACAGGGAAAGTTGTATGGAATGAGTTTTCCAATAACGTAGGAGTGCAGCCACACAGCCATGTTCTGACCGAGTGGCAGGGCACCGATTTGACAGGCAAGTCGAGTCAGGGTTATGCCCTTTTCATTATCTCCAAGGGGAAAGGACCCGGCCGGGAGGAAATGGTTTTGCATGAGCCAGAGCTGAAAGAAGCGTGTCTCCCCACTCCTCCAAACCACTTTGACAGCTGGGTGAAGCTGGGGCCAAAACAAACGTGCCAAGAGCCACCACCACCTCCAGATCTCCCTACCCCTCCCCTTCCTCGGAAACCCATCAAAACTTGATTCTGTCTCAACTAAACACAAGCTGGGAAATTGGAGAGGAGGAAGAGGGGAAGAGGAAAAGCAGAAGGGGGAAGGCAGGCAGCATCCATGCAGTCAGTTATATCATTGACTGAGAGACACACAAGCTTCAGAGTGTCATCGGCAAGGGTCATACCTCCTGCTGATCTCGGGGGAAATTCTCCAAGATCCATGGCTGGGAGTTAAGGAGAATCTCTAAGCCATCAGGAAGGAGCAGGGCACTGCAGCTCCTCAGAATGATGGACCGGGGCGAGCTTTAATTAACAGGGTCTGATGCCTCTTCTTTTTTGGTAACTGAGCAGATTTAAAGGGCTAGAGTCCCAATTTGAAGGGTGCCAGTGCTGCTGCCGTGGCTGCTGCCGTGTCTGCTCTGGCTGCTGCTCCTGCTGCTGGGAAAGCTTCCTGCAGCCCTCTCACTCCAGCAAGAAAACGGGGCTGAGAAGGTGGAAAAGTGCCCCCAGAAACACCGGAGTCTCTCGGGCTGCATGGTTTGAATCGGAACCACAGGGCTGTGGACCCACGCACTGCCTACCCTAGGAAGTACCAAGGTCCTGCTCGCTGTCTTCCAGACCGAGGGAAAGAGCGGGGCTCCGTGGAGGCAGGGGGCATCGGTGACACCCTCTTCAGACACGGGGCTGCACGGGACACTGCCTGGGGAAAGTGGGAAACCTGGTCTGTACTGTGTGCTCCCCTCCTGAGAGCACTGCCACTTATGTAAGCTGCATGCACACACGCCTACCCATGTACACACACACCTGCCATGCACACACCCATGCCTGCCTATTATACATACGTGCCTGCCCATGCACGCACACACACCTGCCCACGCACAAACATGCCTACCCATACATGTACACACACCTGCCCATGTACACACACATGCCTGCTCGTGTATATGCATACACATTCCTATGTACACACATACCCACCCGTGTACACACACATTCCTGCCCATGCACACACACATGCCTGCCCATACCACACACACGTGCCTGCCCATGTACACACATACACACACGCTTGCCCATGTACACACACAGACGCCTGCCTAGGTATACACATGCCTGCCCATGCACACACACACACACACACACACATGCCTGCCCAGGTACACACATGCCCGCTCAGGTTCACACATGCCTGCTCATGCACACTCACACACATGCCTGACATACCACACACACACACCTACCCAGGTACACACATGTCTGCCCGTACACCCATAGATGCCTGTTCATGCACACACATCTTCCCATGCACACACACCTACTTGCCCACTTTTCCAGCCATGTGCCTGCAGCCAGCTAGACACACTGCCTGCATATTACAGGCAGATCACCAAGAGAAGTAGTTGTGACACACAGCATGGCCAGGAGTGGAACAGAGAAACGTAGCCACAGGGATGAGGGGAAGAGCAAACCCGTGTTGGGAGTTCCTGGCATCTCCGGCTGCCTTTGATAGAGCACGAATCTGTGTCAAGGACAGTTCCTGTGTCAGGGATAGAGGGTCAGCCTCAGAGACCCCCTTCCCACGCTGCCTCTTTTTGCTTGCCCCTGCTTGAGCAGCTGCTGGTCCCTTTGTGAGCCTGTCTTGGCTAAGACCGCCACACCTCATCCTCACAATAGCTCATTGCACTTGGCATCCCACACTATGGAGTCGGTTTTTCCGAGATCTTTCTTTAGTCAATATGGTGGCACCTTGCGTGATCTTTTTTTTTTTTGACGGAGTCTCACTCTGTTGCCCAGGCTGGAGTGCTGTGGCGTGGTCTCGGCTCACTGCAACCTCCGTCTCCTGAGTTCAAGCAGTTCTCCTGCCTCGGCCTCCCGAGTAGCTGGGACTACAGATGTGCACCACCATGCCCGGATAATTTTTTGTATTTTTAGTAGAGACAGGGTTTCACCATGTTGGCCAGGCTGGTCTCAAACTCCTGACCTCATGATCTTCCCCCCTCGGCCTCCCAAAGTGCTGGGATTACAGGCGTGAGCCACCGCACCCGGCCGCATGATCTTTTTAATGCCATTTTCCCCTCATAAGCACGTGAAATAAATCCAGCCAATTGGTGCTCAGAAGCCAGAGATCTCCAGGGTACGTGCCTTGGAGTGAGTGTCAGGGGTGTCCAGGAGGGAGGTGGGCTGTAGTGTCAGAGTGAACCCCAGATCCCATCTCAGCTCTACTAAGAGCATGCATTTGACCCCCTTCCCCTTTTGAGCCTGGGTTTATAATTTGAAAATTAGACAGGGTTGAACTAAGCCAGTAATGCTCTTAACAGAAAGGGAAAGGAAGGAAGGGGATATATGGACTTTTAGAAAGCTTGTCAATTATCTCAGCACCAAGGTTGACCAAATCTTCTTGGCAGATGCGGACGGCGCACTGCAGAGGGCATGCCCTAAAAATCTTGAGAAAATCTGAGCAGGATCATCTCTAAGGACCTCAGAGTCCGTGAGGGATGGAGCGGAATGGCCACAATCTCCCAGATCCTAGCCACTTCTCTAAGAAATGGACCCTGCACTGGGCCAGCTCAGACTGGCAATGTCAGAAAGAGTAGGCTTTCAGCAAAATCCCTGAGCTTTCCCAGCAAACCTCCCTCTGTGCCCACTTTACCCCTGCCTGGTTCACACCCTTAGATACCCACAGCCCTCACCCCCACTGGCCGGAAAATCTTTGTCAGCAAAGAATCTGCCGTCAGGCTGGGCGCGGTGGCTCATGCCTGTAATCCCAACATTTTAAGAGGCCAAGGTGGGAGGATCACGAGGTCAGGAGATCGAGACCATCCTGGCTAACATGGTGAAACCCCGTCTCTACTAAAAAAACACAAAAAAATTAGCCGGGCATGGTGGCGGGCGCCTGTAGTCCCAGCTACTCAGGAGGCTGAGGCAGGAGAATGGCGTGAACCTGGGAGATGCAGCTTGCAGTGAGCCAAGATTGCACCACTGCACTCCAGCCTGGGCAACAGAGCAAGACTCCGTCTCAAAAAAAAAAAAAAAAAAAAAAAAAAAAGAATATTCGGTCAGCTATTTAGGCTGGACACTGTGGCTCACACCTGTAATCCCAACGCTTTGGGTGGCTGATGAGGGAGGATCCCTTGGGGCCAGGAGTTTGAGGCCAGACTAGGCAACATAGCAAGATCCCATCTTTACAAAAAATTTAAAAGCTAGCTGAACATGTTTGTGCATACCTATAGCCTCAGCTACTTGGGAGGCTAAGGCAGGAGGATCACTTGATCCCAGGAGTTCAAGGTTACCGTGAGCCACGATGGTGCTACTGTACTCCAGCCTGGGCAACAGAGTAAGCTCTTGTCTTTAAAAATAAAAATAAAAATCTGCCATCACCCAGTCAGACATCAGTTACATGCAATTTCTTGTCCTCCATTTTCCGAGGAGATTTGCATATTGCATCTTCTCTTCCCCTTAAAGAAAGGTGTGGGAAATAATGAGGTTGTAAGTGGGGGATGTACACCTGGCATAAACAGTGTCCACAGACTCACAATCCCAGAGCCCCCCGACCCCCAGCGCCCAGTGGGCCATCTCCAAGTAAAGTGGACTCAGGTCAACAGAGGATGGCACAGCACAGATGGCCAACAAGGACCACATGACGAGGAATTGTCTGCAGGGGAGTTCCAAACACTATTCCTACTACGTCCTCCTCAAATCTTTGGGTCTATTTCTGCTTTTTCATTAACAAAATCAAGCCCCAGCCAGGCATGGTGGATCACGCCTGTAATCCCAGCACTTTGGGAGGCTGAGGCAGGCAGATCACTTGAGTCCAAGAGTTTGAGACCAACCTGGGCAACATGGCAAAACTCCATCTCTACTAAAAGTACAAAAATTAGCTGGGCATGGTGGTGCATGCCTGTAATCCCAGCTACTCGGGAGGCTGAGGCAGAAATCACACCACTGCACTGAAGCCTGGGCTACAGAGTGAGACTCTGTTTCAAAATAAAAATGAAAACAAAAATAAAATAAAGCCCTAATTTTTTTGAGATTAGAGGATCCTCATGTGGGGCAGGAGCAGTGGCCTCAACTCTGCCCTTTCTCCAGTCCCTTAGAGTTCTCTCAATCATGTCCCCATAGTTGCCACCATGACGGCCTTGTGGAAGCTCTGTGCCCCAGGATGCTACAGTTCATATCTTCCCCCAGCTTTCTCCACAGTTCCTCAGAACAGAACTTAGACCAGGCAGAAGAAGGAGGAGGGGGAGGAGAAGAAAGGAGAAGGAGAAGAAGAGATAGAGAAGAAGAAGGAGAAGGAGAAGAAGGAGAAGGAGGAGGAGGAGGAGCAGGAGGAGGAGAAGAAGAAGAAGAAGAAGAAGGAGGAGGAGGAGGAGGAGGAGGAGAAGGAGGAAGAGGAGGAAGAGGAGGAGGAGGAGAAGGAGGAAGAAGGGGCGAAGGGAAGAGAAGAGGAAGAAGAAGGAGGAGGAGCAGGAGAAAGAAAGAGGAGGAGGGAGAAGAAGAGAAAAAGTAGAAAAAATAAGAAAGAAGAAGGAGGAGGAGGAGTGGGGGAAGGGGGAGTAGGAGGGGGATTTGGGGAAGGGGGAGGAGGAGAAGGAGAAGAAGAGAAGCTGCAGCTGGTAACCTGCCCAAAGACAAGAACTCAACTCTCCTGGGGCCCCTAGGGTCCTGTGGGCTGGTAAGATGTCCACAGCATCCATCACCAGGGAGTACCCTCATGTCTACCTTGACCTATCAACCTCCAAACAGGAGAAACTAAAACCCAGAGAGAAAGAGACGGTCCCTCAGCTCCTGCCTAAGGTTCACCATTGGCACCCCTTTGGCCCACAAGATGATCTGCCCCATCCCCGGTGATTGACAAGTCAAGGACAAATGAGAAGCTCCACTTTGTTTATTCCTGGCACATCCTTGTGTTATGTATTTGTCATTTATTACACCAAATTAACCTATCAAGAAGAAACAATATTCCAAATCTAATTTTAGATGTGGTGAATTAAAAAAAAAAAATCAGGAGCAACTAAGAAACTCTATTTTGGGGCTGGGTGCAGTGGCTCATGCCTGTAATCCCAGCACTTCAGGAGGCTGAGATGGGAAGATCACTTGAGCCCCAGGAGTTCAAGACCAGCCTGGGCAACAAGTGATACCCCCATCTCTATTTACAATCAATTTTTTAAAGGAAAAGAAACTTCACTTTGGGAGAATTGAATGGAATATGCCAGCACAGCAAAAGACTATGGATAATTTACATATTAATATTCTGCTTGTTGTCTGGTTATGTTAGGTGTGTTAGGTAAATGTTAATATATTTTATGAATATTTTGGAACTTGGATGGGGGAGGTTATTAGAGAACTGGAGGGCTTTAATTCAGCTCTCAACTCACTCCTTGTGGGGTCTCTGCTCTGATCTCATTCCCATCTGCAGCAGTGGTACAGTTTGGATATCTGTCCCCTCCAAATCTCATGTTGAAATGTGACCCCCAATGTTAGAGGTGGGGCCTGGAGTAAGGTGTTTGGGTCACAGGGGTGGATCCCTTATGGATGGCTTGGCACCCTCCTTGTGATAATGAGTGGATTCTCACTCTATTAGTTAACAAGAGATTTGATTGTTAAAAAAAGAGCCTGGCACCTTCCTCCTCCTTCTCTCTCCCTTCCTGACTCTCACCACGTGATGCCTGCTCCCCCTTCACCTTCCACCATGAGTAGAAGCTTCCTGACACCTCACCGGAAGCAGATGTTTGTGTCATGTTTCTTGTACAGTCTGTGGAACTGTGAGCCAAATAAACCTTTTCTTTATAAATGACCCAGCCTCAGGTACTCCTTTATAGCAGTGCAAAACAGACTAATTCAGGGAGCTTAGCTTTATTGAACCTCTAAGAGATAAGCTTATCAGAATAGAATCCAGGAGGCCTAATATCTGTTTAAGGTGGGAGTGATTTTTGTGGAGCTTCAAAATTGGCCTGTATGTAAATCTGGTTTTGTGCTGGTTACTTCCCATTGCCCCTCAGCTCCAGGATACCCACAGAGACTCTGCAATGTGGGGGCCAGGCTCTCCAGACCACAATTACTAGTGCTCCTACCTGCCGGCTTCCTGTTAGATTCAGTCAAAGGAGGACTCAGGAGATGGGAAGGCAAGGAGAAAGGAAAGCAGCAGAGAGTTGGCTCAAGCCTCCAGCAAGCTTTGGTTCTGCTGATGCCAGCCTCACTGCACCCCTCAGAGGTCCAGCCCTTCCTAAGCCAGGCAAATCACATCTTACTTTTCTTTCCCCCAGCCCTAGTGGTAGTAGTAATGCAGGGCAGGTGAACCCCAAAATTGGGGCTTAGGCTGGGAAGTTTCTTGGCTTCACTCAGGAAAGAATTCAAGAGCAAGCTGATGGCAGAAGAAAACAGCTTTATTGAAGGGGCAGTGTTATAGCTCCGTGACTGCTCCTGCATAGCAGGGCTACCCCACAGTGTGTGGAGAGTATCAGCTCAGGGGCAGTGCTGCAGTCATATTTATACGCACTTTTAATTACATGCAAATTAAGGGGCAGGCTATTCAGAAGTTTCTAGAAAAGGGATAGTAACTTCCGGGTCATTGCCCTGGAAAGGGGTGGTAACTTCTGGATGTTGCCATGGCAATGGTAAACAGTCATGATGCTGGTGGGCATGTCTTATGGAAAAATGCTTTAGGTGCCTCTTCCCTGTTTCAGCCAGTCTTCAATCTGGTCCACAGTCAAGTCCCACCTACTATCTCATTAGCTACTCTTGCAATTACAAATCTCTGGGTTTTTTCAGCTTTCCAGTTCCTGTGCAACTAATCATCTGTATGAAATGCCATCTGTTTGAAACATCTCATGTGGATTTTGTTTTCCTGACCGGACAAGAATTTTCCTTGGAGATTCCAAATTGGAGTGTTCTCATAGCCATGGTGCAGCCCTAATCTGAACAGCTGGGCACAGATAATGCACTTTGGAGTATAAATGTCAACATGGAAACATGAAAGGAATTATAAGAGAGAGTGAAGTTTTAAGATCATTCCTTAAGTTGGAGCCCGCTGGCACATCCTTGTATTACGTATTTGTCATTTATTAAACCACATTAGTATATCAAGAAGAAACAATATTCCAAGTCTAATTTTAGATGTAGTGAATTCACAACCAAAAAATATATATATATATATATATTCATGGGCAACTAAAAAACTTTGCTTTGGGAGAATTAAATGGAATACCAGCACAGCTTGTTATCTAATTGTGTTAGGTGTGTTAGGTAAATGTCCGTACGTTTTACTAATATTTTTAGAACTTGGTTAGTGTAGGTTGTTAGGGAATTGGAAGGCCTCAATTCAGCTCTCAATTCATCATCTGTGGGATCTCTGCTCTGAGAATCATGCAAAGAATAGAGGAGCCCCAGGCAGTGCCTGGAGAAGCTGCCCTAGGCTAGGAGGTCTAAGAGATGACTGTGGTGTCTCCACTGGGAGGAGGGAGACCATCAGGGGTGATGAGACCTGGAGAGCAGGCTTGATCAGGCACCCACCAGACACAGAGAGAGGGGCAGCTGAAAGAGGCCAGCTTCAAGTAATGAACGCCCTGTCCCACTGGGCTGTCTGCAAAAAAACAGGAAGATCAATAAAGTGACCAGTTTTGAATGGCAATGAACTTTCTGACCACAGACACCAGACCCTGCCACTAATCCAGGTCCCAGCTCAGGTCAGGGATTCACAAGTTCTCCTCCTTATAGAAAGCGATTGGCAGAAAGGCAAAAGCCCAGAGAACAAAACAGAAGTATTCCTTCACTACAGGAAGGAGCAAAAATGTGGGGAGAGGAAGAAAAATGTCTTTGCAACACTTCAGATCATCGTCCTACCCCTCTCCACTCTTCCAGCACACCACATCAAATGTGATTTATTTGTGCTATCTTAGAAATACGGCCCTCAGCTGTCTCCTCCTCTCCGTTCCCACTGCTGCTGGCTTCAGTTAAGCCCTACTGATCTCTTCTCTGGTCTCTTTTTTTTTTTTTGAGATGGAGTTTCGCTCTTATTGCCAAGGCTGGAGTTCAATGGCACCATATCCGCTCACTGCAAACCCCACCTCCCGGGTTCAAGTGATTCTCCTGCCTTAGCCTCCTGAGTAGCTGGGATTACAGGCATGCCCCACCATGCCCAGCTAATTTTGTATTTTTGGTAGAGACAGGGTTTCTCCGTGTTGGTCAGGCTGATCTCAAATTCCCTACCTCAGATTATCCGCACACCTTGGCCTCCCAAAGTGCTGGGATTATAGGTGTGAGCCACCGCGCCCGGCCTCTGCTCTCTTACAAGAAATTTCTGGCTGGGCATGGTGGAGTGCACCTGTAGTCTCAGCTACTCTGGAGGCGGAGGCAGGAAGATCACTTGAGCCCAGGAGTTTGAAGCTGCAGTGAGCTATGATCACACCACTGTGCTCCAGCCTGGCAACAGAGGAAGGCCATGTTTCTAGAAACAATATATATATATATGTGTGTGTGTGTGTGTGTGTGTGTGTGTGTGTGTGTGTGTGTACATAGGTGTGTATATATAATACACACATATATATTTATGCACATATATTATATATATATTTTTTCTCTCAATGAATCCCCTATCTCCACTCATTCACAAATCATACCCCATAGCCTATGACTCAGTGACAAACGAGGGAGATAAAGCCCTCTTGGAGCTCAGGAGCTCGCAGGAAAGACAAATTTCAAACAATTGCAAAGGAGGACAAGTGTCTAAAGGAAGAAATGTACAGTACAGCCCCTGGTTCTCATCGTGAGGACTGAGTTACTCCGGGGACATGGAGGAGGCTCCTGAGATGGGTGTTGGTGACATTGGAACCTGGAAGATCATAGGTGTTGATGAGGTGATGGAGGCGAGATTGCTCCTGACCAACAGAATGAGCTCCAAGATTCCCAGGCTCCAAGCAAGGGGGAATAAGCCAACATCAATCAAGGGGAGAGACCAGTCAAGGTCAGGCAGGAGAAATAAGCAAGAGATATTCATGAGGCTGTGAACTTGACAGTGAGGGAGAGGGGAAGCCACTATAGGGCTAAGCTGTGTCTTAACATGGTGAGTTCACGCCTGTAATCCCAGCACTTTGGGAGGCCAAGGCGGGCAGATCACGAGGTCAAGAGATCGAGACCATCCTGGACAACAAGGTGAAACCCCATCTCTACTAAAAATACAAAATTAGCTGGGCCTGGTGGCACGCACATGTAGTCCCAGCTACTCAGGAGGATGAGGCAAAAGAATCACTTGAACCTGGGAGGCAGAGGTTGCAGTGAGCCAAGATCGTGCCACTGCACTCCAGTCTGGCAACAGAGCGACACTCAGTCTCAAAAAAAAAAAAAAAGAGAGAGAGAGAGAGATGTACCATTGTAAGAGGGATCCTTCATGGCTGGGCTTGGTGGGTCGCACCTATAATCCCAGCACTTTGGGGAGTCGAGGTGGGAGGATCACTCGAGGCCAGGAGTTCTAGACCAGCCTGGACAACATAGTAAGACCCTGTCTCTACAAACATAAATAAATAGATAAATAAATAAATAAGCCAAGAATGGTGGTACACGCCTGTCAGCCCAGCTACTCAGAAAGCTGAGGCAAGAGGCTTGCTAGAGCCCAGAAGTTCAAGACTGCAGTGAACTATGACTGCACCACTGCACTCGAGCCCATGAGACAGAATGAGACCCTGTCTCCAAAATAATAATAAATATATAAAAGATCCCTCAGCCAGGCATGGTGGCTCATGCCTGTAGTCCCAGCACTTTGGAAGGCCGAGGCTGGCAGACTGCTTGAGCCCAAGAACTCAAGACAAGCCTGGGCAACATATGGTAAAACCCCATCTCTACAGAAAAATAGCCAGGAGTGGTGGCGTGCACTTGTAGTCCCAGCTACTTGGGAGGCTGAGGCAGGAGGAGCACCTGAGGCCAGGAAGTTGAGATTGCAGTGAGTCATGACTGTTCCACTGTACTCCAGCCTAGGAGACTGGAGTGAGACCCTGTCTAAAAAAATAAACATAAATAAAAATATAAAAGATCCCTCAACCATACGGCATATCTAAGGGATCTGTCTTAGAGCCCAAGTAGGTAATGAGGGAAACTTGAACAAGGGTATACAATTGATGCATAATTGGTTCAGTCTTTTTTTTCTTTTTCTTTCTTTCTTTTTTTTTTTTTTTTTTTTTGAGACAGAGTTTCCTTCTTGTTGCTCAGGCTGGAGTGCAGTGATGCAATCTCAGCTCACTGCAACCTCCACCTCCCGGGTTCAAGCGATTCTCTTGTCTCAGCCTCCTGAGTAGCTGGGATTACAGGCATGTGCCACTATGCCCAGCTGATTTTTTGCATTTTTAGTAGAGATGTGGTTTCACCATATTAGCCAGTCTGGTCTCGAACTCCTGACCTCAGGTGATCTGCAGCTTAGTCTTTTTAACATGCAAAACATTTGTTTCTCATAGTGTTTGGAATAAAAATCAAACTCCACAATCTGCCTTAAATGCCCTTTCATAAGTTGCTGGCACCAAATGACCATTCACCACCTTCATCTCCTTCCAGCTCCCACTGAAAGTACATGGTCTCCAGCTACATGAAACCACTTGCAACTCCCAGAAGAGGTCAGCTGTACACACCTTGGGGCCTTAGTGAGTGCTGTTCCTCCAGCCTGGAATGCCCTTCCTTGCTGCCCTAGTGAACTCCTACATATCCATCAAGGCCCTACTCAGATGTCACATTCACTGGGAAACCTTATCCCGAGTATCACCTTTCCCTCTTCCTCCTCCTTCTCCCAGAGAGAGAGAGGTACCTATTTCCCTGAAACAGTCACCACACTGCATAGCTATTCATCCCTCCACAGGACTGTCCCCCACTCTTTAAAGGTGGTGTCCCTCCATAAGTGGCAAGTGGCCCTTACCTTCTTATTCTTTTTTTTTTTTTTTTGAGACAGGGTCTCACTCTGTCACCCAGGCTGCAGTGCAGAGGTGCAATCATAGCTCACTGCAGCCTCGACCTCTCAGGCTCAAGTGATCCTCCCACCTCAGCCTCCTGAGTAGCTGAGACTACAGGCATGCACCACCACGTCTCGATACTTTTTGTATTTTTTGTAGAGATAGGGTTTTGTCATGTTGCCCGGGCTGGTCTCAAATTCCTGGGCTCAAGCCATCTTCCCCACCTTGGCTTCCCAAAATCCAGGGGTTACAGGCATGAGTCACTGCACCCAGCCACCTTCCTATTCTTAGTGCCTGGTACAGAGTGGCCTCACAACAAATTCTGGTTAAAATGAAAATTGGTTTTATAAATATATATATATTTAATATATTTATATATATATTTTATTTTATGTATTATATTTAATATATTATAATATATAATATATTTTATAATATATTATATAATATATTCTATATTATATAATATATTTTATAATATATTCTATATTATATAATATATTTTATAATATATTCTATATTATATAATATATTTTATAATATATTCTATATTATATAATATATTTTATAATATATTCTATATTATATAATATATTTTATAATATATTCTATATTATATAATATATTTTATAATATATTCTATATTATATAATATATTTTATAATATATTCTATATTATATAATATATTTTATAATATATTCTATATTATATAATATATTTTATAATATATTCTATATTATATAATATATTTTATAATATATTCTATATTATATAATATATTTTATAATATATTCTATATTATATAATATATTTTATAATATATTCTATATTATATAATATATTTTATAATATATTCTATATTATATAATATATTTTATAATATATTCTATATTATATAATATATTTTATAATATATTCTATATTATATAATATATTTTATAATATATTCTATATTATATAATATATTTTATAATATATTCTATATTATATAATATATTTTATATAACATTATATAATACATAATATATTGTATTTAATATACAATATAATATTTAATATATTATATATAATATATTTTTATATATTCATATATATATTTGTTTGTTTTGGTTTTTTTGGGGTTTTTTGTTTGTTTGTTTTTGTTTTGAGACAGAGTCTTACTCTGTCGCCCAGTGTGGAGTGCAGTGGCACAACCTCAGCTCACTGCAACCTCCCGTTTCCTGGGTTCAAGTGATTCTCCTGCCTCAGCCTCCTGAGTAGCTGCAATTACAGGCATGTGCCACCACTCCTGGCTAAATTTTGTATGAGACGGGGTTTCACCATGTTGGCCAGGCTGGTCTCAAACTCTCGACCTCAGGTAATCCACCTGCCTCAGCCTCCCAAAGTGCTGGGATTACAGGCATGAACCACCGCGCCTGGTCGTATATTTCTATATTAACATGCGAAGTGAGCTTAGCTCCCTGATGTAAAATGCGCGATTTTTCAACCTCACACCTGTGAAATTCTAACAAAATGTCAACAACCTGTAGCCACTAATGGCCTGTAATCAAGGGACAGTCTGTCCAATAAGTAAATAGTTGTCTTATTTGTTAGAGTAATACACAAGTTATGATTTATTAATTTTTCTCATTTTCCTGACATTGCCAAAATTTTCTAGAGTTGTTTCACTGCATATCTGCCTGCAGAGGCAAGCTAAGCTGGGCATGGTGGTGCAGGCCTTATAGTCCTAGCTACTCAGGAGGCTGAGGCAGGAGGATCCCTTCAGCCCAGGAAGTGGAGGCTGCAGTGAGCTATGATGGTGCCACTGCACTCCAGCCTGGGCAACAGGGTGAAACCCTGTCTCAAAAAAAAAAAAAAAAAAAAGGCTAGACCAACCTAAATGTGGAAATAAAATGCCTCAGATGCAACTAGCCCTCCACTCTTGCTCAAGAGTTGCTGCATCAAAGGAAATGTATATTTTCCAATTTAAAGAAAAGGCAACCCAACACGACACAGCTTCCATGTGTATGGAATACAGGCGTGCAAGATACTAAGCCACCAGCTTCCGATAGCACCAAAGTCCAGTCTCCAACCTACAGCCTTCTCTCATTTTATGAGTCCATTTTGCATTGCTGTTAATATAAAGGCATACTTGGGGCTGGGTAATTTATAAAGAAAGGGGGTTTATTTGGTTCATGGTTCTGCAGGCTGTATAAGAAGCATGGAGCCAACGTCTGCATCTGGGAAAGCTTCAGAAAGCTTCCAATCATGGTGGAAGGAAAAGGGGAGCCAGCATCACATGGCAAGAGAGGGAGGCCCTTTAAACCAGACCCTTTAAACAACCACATCTTACATGAACTAATAGAGTGAAATCTCACTCATTACCACGGAGATGGCACCAAGCCATCCATGAGGGATCTGCCCCCATGACCCACATACCTCCCACCAGGCCCCACCTCCAACACTGGGGATCACATTTCAGCATGAGATTCAGAGGGGACAAACATCCAAACGATGTCACTTATGAAGGTGGAAAGACATCCACTTTATTCTACAGGTGGTAAAATGGAGATGAAAATGAAGTCCTTGGCCGGGTGTGGTGGCTCATGCCTGTAATCCCAGCACTTTGGGAGGCTGAGGTGGGTGGATAACCTGAGGTCAGGAGTTCGAGACCAGCCTGGCCAACCTGATGAAACCCCGTCTCTACTGAAAATACAAAAATTAGCCGGGCGTGGTGGCAGGTGCCTGTAGTCCCAGCTACTCAGGAGGCTGAGGCACAAGAATCACTTGAACCCTGGAGGTGGAGGTTGCAGTGAGCCAAGATCACATGACTGCACTCCAGCCTGGGCAGCAGATTGAGACTCAGTCTCAAAAAAAAGAAAATGAAAAAGAAAGAAAATGAAGTCCTTATTGCCACATGAGATTTCTGTGAACGCATGGGATACATTGTATACATCTCGAGTGAAGTCTCCCCTTGAGTACCAGGTCTAATTTCCTGTTGCTCAGCCCTTGTGTCCCATTCTCTGACCTACTGTGGTCAGCTCTGTGGCCACATGTACTCAGTGGATGTGGCTTTGGGAGGTGCCCCCTATAGAGGTTTTGCTTCCCCCCACGGCAGGACAGACAGCTTTTCCTTCTTGAATCACCCTGAGTCTGGGTTCAGCTCCATGGCTCTGAAATTCAAGGTTTCGAAGGATTTGCAAATAGCAGAAACAGCATGTTCCAACCATCCCTGATTCACTTCTCTCTCTCCAGCTTCCCCTCTCCTTCCTCCTTCCTTCTCTCCATCCCATTCCCTAGGCTGTGAGGAGGCACACCTATGCCATAGAATGCCTCATGAGGGGGCATGACAGATTCAAAGCATGAACCGGACCCACGAAGGGTACAAAAGTCAAAAAGTAACACATCGGTGAGACTGTGAGGAAAAGGGAACAATTATACACTGTTGGTGGAAGTGCAAATTAGTTCAGACCCTGTGGAAAACAGCATGGAGATTTCTCAAAGAACTGAAACAGAACTACCACCAAACCCAATCCCATTGCTGGCTGTCTACCCTGGAAAATAAATTGTTCTACTAAAAAGACACCTGCACTTATATGTTCATTGCAACACTATGCACCATAGCAAAGACATGGAATCAACCCAGTTGCCCATCAGTGGTGAATTGGATAAAGAAAATGTGGTATAAATACACCATGGAATACTACACAGCCATAAAGAAGAATGAAATCATGTCCTTTGCAGCCACATGGATGCAGCTGGAGGCCATTATCCCAAGCAAATTAACGCAGAAACAAACAACCAAAAACAGCATGTTCTCACTTATAAGTAGAAGTTAAACAGTGGGTACACGTGGACACAAAGATGTGAATAATGGACCCTGGGGACTAAAGAGGGGAGCAGTTTGCTACTCTAACAACAAACCTGTACTTGTATCCCTGGATCTAAAGTTAAAATTCATATGGGTTGGGCGTGGTGGCTCAAGCCTGTAATCCCAGCATTTTGGGAGGCCGAGGTGGGTGGATCACCTGAAGCCAGGAGTTTGAGACCAGCCTGGCCAACATGGCAAAACCCCGTTTCTACTAAAAATACAAAAATTAGCCCAGCATGGTTGCGCACGCCTGTAATCCCAGCTACTAGGGAGGCGGAGGCAGGAGAATTGCTTGAGCCCGGGAGGTGGAGGTTGCACTGAGCCAAGATTGCGCCACCGCACTCCAGCCTGGGTGACAGAGACAGACTTCGTCTCAAAAAGAAAGAAAGAAAAAAAAAAAAGGACATCACTTTGCGCTTTGGAGTTTCTTAGGACTTTAGGAGTTGTATGCCAGGAAACAGGTCAAAGACCAACTATATGTTTCACTACATCACACCTTCACTGTGGTCCCTTTATTTAATTTATGTATGTATGTATGTATGTATGTATTTATTTATTTATTTATTTGAGACAGAGTCTCACTCTGTCACCTAGGCTGGAGTGCAATAATGCAACTGTAGCTCACTGGAGCCTCAAACTCCTAGGCTGCTCAAGCAATACCTCCTGCTTTGGCCTCCTGAATAGCTGGGACTACAGGTGTGCACACCATGCCCAGCTTATTTCTCTATCTTTTTTAAAGCCAGCATCTCACCATGTTGCCCAGGCTGGTCTCAAATTCCTGGGCTCCCACAGTCTTCCCACCTCAGCCTCCCAAACTGCTAGAATCACAGGCATGAGCCACCGCAACCAGCTTGTCCCTGTATCTTTAGTCAAGGCTGGTGTGCGGTGCCTGCTGGGAATGACTGATGAGGTCGAGCAGTAAGGAGAAAATCCCACAATACTGTCGAGGAGGTCGCAGTCCAAATGGGCTGGGGGGACAATGACAAAGGAGTGCAGCTCACAGCGGGACTGGACAGCAGGGAGGAGCTTGCCCCACGCAGGTTCACCTGCCAGGTGGGAGATTCAGGGGCAGATGTGAGATGCACTCCCTTTTTCCCCAGAATTCTAGAGAACAGTGTCTGTGGAAGAGGAGAGATTTACACATGGGTTACACCCCTGGGTTCAACCGTGATTGTGCCACTGCCTGCCCGAACTTGCCGGGCACATACTTTCCTCTAGCCAGACCACACCACCTCCACCAGAAAGTCTTCTTCCCCTCTCTCAACTGCCCAGATTCTACCATCCACGTAGTTCTGCTCAAGTCCCACATCTTCCATCAATGAACATTACTATAGCAACAATCATGCGTACTGTTCAGCACCTGGTACATGCACTAGGTGAGGTGCATTTAATTCTCACCTCCATGCTGTGGGGTTAGCTACTATAATCTCCATTTTTCAGGTGTGGACACTGAGGCTCACAGAGCCAGAATGCTTTGCATTTTTATTTATTTATTTATTTATTTAGTGAGACAGGGTCTTGCTCTGTTGCCCAGGCTGGGGTGCATTGGCACGATCTTGGCTCACTGCAACCTCCGCCTCCCGGGTTCAAGTGATTCTCCTGCCTCATCCTCCCCAGTAGCTGGGATTACAGGCACCCACTACCACACCTGGCTAATTTCTGTATTTTTAGTAGAGATGAGGTTCCACCAGGTACTTTTAGTACAGATGGGGTTTCACCAGGCTGGTCTCAAACTCCTGACCTCAAGTGATCTGCCCGCCTCGGCCTCCCAAAGTGTTGGGATTATAAGCATCAACCACCACACATGGCCTGGTTTGCATTTTGAATATCTGCATTTTTCTGGGAGTTCAGGAAGCACCATCCACACAGAATACAGTGGTACTCCCCCCAACATTGGAGTTTTGCAATGTGGAGATCTGCCTACTTTATTTTATTTTATTTTTTTGAGTCAGTGTCTCACTCTGTCTCCCAGATTGGAGTGCAGCAGTGCAATCACAGCCCACTGCAACTTCAAACTTCTGAGCTCAAGCAACCCTCCCACCTTAGCCTCCCATGTGGCTGGGACCACAGGCAAGCATCACTACCGCTGGCAAATTTTTAATTTTTTTTGTATAGATGGGGTCTTGCTCTGTTGCCCAGTCTGGTCTCAAAATCCTGGTCTCAAGCAATCCTCCCACCTCAGCCTCCCAAAGTGTGGAGATTACAGGCGTGAGCCACTTTTCCTGGCCTGGCCTGGCTACTTAAAGGAATGGGTTTCTTAGAAGCAGGAGGATCACTTGAAGCCAGGAGTTCAAGATCAGCCTAAACAACAAAGTGAGAGAAGGAAGGAAGGAAGGAAGGAAGGAAGGGAAGGAGGGAGGGAGGGAGGGAGGGAGGGGAAGAAAGAGAGAGACAGAGAAAGAAGGAAAAGAAAGAAAGAAGAAAGAGAAAGAAAGAAAGAAGAAAGAAAAAGAAAGAAAGAAAGAAAGAGAGAGAAGAAAGAAAGGAGGGAGGGAGAGAGAGAGAAAGAAAGAGAGAGACATTTTAATTAACTGAGTATGGTGGCATGCACCTGTAGCCCCAGCTACTCAGGAGGCTGAGGCAGGAGGATTGCTCAAGCACAGGAGTTCAAGGCTGCAGTGAGCTATGACAGTGCCACTGCACTCCAGCCTGGGTAACAAAGCAAAACCCTGCCTCTTAAAAAGAAGAGAAAAGGGTTTCTCCCTTCATGTGGAACTAGACCGTGCTATCTCTGAGTATCAATACTGACCTGACTTCAAAACCTGTGTTAATCTTTTCTTCGATGCCTCTGGATAATAGAAATTCATATTCCAATGGTGACCAAATGTCCATATTAGCCACCTGCATCCCAAGGGAACCCACTGCTAGCTCCTCCCTTCATGCCAATCCCACACATTCCTCTTCTCCCTGTTCCGTGTGGTCAAGGT
This sequence comes from Homo sapiens, assembly GCF_000001405.40. Classification (NCBI taxonomy): domain Eukaryota; kingdom Metazoa; phylum Chordata; class Mammalia; order Primates; family Hominidae; genus Homo; species Homo sapiens. The sequence goes on from NC_000007.14 coordinate 72,464,560, forward strand.
CCCACCAAGCCCTGCAGTTAACCCTTTCTTAGAGTTGCTAAGCCCACCTAAGATCATACATTGAACCTGCAAGAGCAAAGCCCACTGCAGACTCTAAAATTAACAGTTGCCCCAAGTAACAGTGACTGGAGCAGCTCCAGCTTTGGGAAGTTAGCAAGGTTAGAGCAATATTCCCAACCACAGGAGGAACTGGCACTGATAAGTTGGCTAATGGGTCTCACTTAGATCCTTCCTTTTTAGTCCTGGGGACAGATGCCATCCATAGCAAAGATGTGGAAACCAGAAACCACCAGTGCCCTTTGTCCCAGAATGGGACCCGACCCAACCTAAGAATCTCCCAGACAGAAATCAGAGGCAGTGCCACCTATGTCAACCCTCATGGCATTCCAAGAACCTCCATGTCCTCTTGATGTCTCCAACTGTACTCAGGCACAGCCTCAGGGTCCCAGAGGAACACCCACTGGTATGCTCAGTCCAGCTCAGACTTCAGAGTCCAGGCCACCAAGCCCAAAAGTCCTGGACACAGCACAGGACGATATCTCAGATGCCTCTCTCTGCTCTCTCCAGAACTTGAGAAAGAGGAAAGAATTCAGAGGTCAGGGTACAGGTGGACACACTCCTGGATAACTTTACTTGCTCTTCATGGCTCTGGGCAGACATCACCTCATCCGAGAAGTCTTCCTTCATGCCCAAGGTTAGCTCCCTGTGATCTCAAAGCATCATGCACCTCCCATACATATTTATCACTTCAGATGGTAAATTCCAGTGCTCTGTCTGCTCCCAAATGCATGCTATGTTGTGTGCTTTTGAGCTTCTGGGCTCTGTCTTCCTTGCCCCTATAGTAGGCTCTAGCAGTGACCTGCATCTGCCAATATCCTGGATACCCTCAACTCCAAACTGGGGCTTTAAGACGTGGCCTGTGTGTGTTTGTATCAGGGCTAACATCTTTTCCACTCAAACCCACCCCTGACTGCTGCAGCCAGGAGAAATGAGCAGTGGAAATTGACCATGGAGCTCTCCAAGGCCAGACCAATAGGAGAGGGTTTTATAATGTCACAGTCAAAATTGGGAAAGAGACAAGACACTCTTCCATCATAATAAAGTACTAACATTATGCTAGCAGGAAGACATGAATCATATACATGGATCATTGAGGTCTGCGGGTAGGAGATTAACACTTGCAGTATAAAATGCTGGCTTTGTTGTTAAAACAGTTTGGAATGATCAAAGAGAAACAGAAAGGAAAATCAAGCTGCCACTCAGAGCGCGGAATCCCCACCCTTCTCTCTTCAGCCTTCCAGGCTCCAGGTCTCCCCTGACTCTGTGTGACAGTGAAATGAATGGGGACACCGATACGGAAGAGGGTGTGGGACACCCCCACCACGAGACAATCCTGGGCTTGGGAAAGGAGAAAAGCAAATCAGAGTAGAACAAAGATGAGAAACAGGATCCAAGGGGGAGATCTGGCCAGCCAAGAGACTATATGCTTCTGCTGGTGGATACCCTAAAGCTTTGCACAGAGAAGCCCATGCTTGGAAGGATGCAAGGGTTTGAGCTGTTTAGGTGGAGGTCACAGTGCCCACTCCACCTCCATTGCCCATTCCAGCTCTGTATAGTTTAGATTCTATCACAGGGACCTGAACAGGAGAACAGACCCAACAGACTTTTCTTGAGATGTGTGGTGTGTGTGTGTGTGTGTACACACACACAGGTGTGAACAGAAAATTACCTGGCAAAGAGAAGGAACTGGTTCTGCCTTCCCGGGTCACTAGCAGGCACCCAAGACAACTGTGGCAGTAAGTAGACCCCTGGAGAAAGACCCCCAGCCACAGTCTAGTGTGTCAGGGGAACCAAGAGATCATAAGGTATTTACAACATAGAGTAGAAAATGTTATGTAGGGTCGCCAGGTGCAGTGGCTCACACCTGTAATCCCAGCACTTTGGGAGGCTGAGGAGGGCTAATCACCTATGGTCAGGAGTTTGAGACCAGCCTGGCCAACATGGCGAAACCCCGTCTCTATTAAAAATACAAAAAGTAGCCGGAGTGGTGGTGGGCACTTGTAATCCCAGCTACTCGGGAGGCTGAGGCAGGAGAATTGCTTGAATCCAGGAGGCGGAGTTTGCAGTGAGCCAAGATCGCGCCACTGCACACCAGCCTGGGCAACAGAGTGAGACTCGGGAAAGAAAGAAAGAGAGAAAGAGAAAAGGAAGGAAAGAAGGGAAGGAAGGGAAAGAAGGAAAGGAAGAAAGGAAGAAAGAAAAAGAAAGAAAGAGAGAGAAAGAAAAGAAAGAAAGAAAGAGAAAGAAAAAGAAAGAAGGAAAGAAAGAAAAGAAAAAGAAAGAGAAAGAAAGAAAGAAAATGATATGTAGGAAGTGAAGGATGTTTTGAGGGCAGAGGAAGGTCACTTAGGGCATAGGAAGGCTTCCTGGAGGAGGTGATGTCAGTGTTGGGCTCTGAGGATCAAAGAGAAGTTAATCAGAAGCCTGTTCCTGGACTAACATCCTCCATTACCCCCAGAGAACAGTGGCAGGCCCTGCAGCAGGTCTAAGATACAAGGAGAGCAGCACTGGGTCACGCACACCTCAGATGTGTCTGAGACAGCCTATGACCAATATGAGTCCCGAGAGCTCTCAGGCCCTCTCATTTACCTGCGTTCCTGGGCAGTTCCAAGCCCTTTCCCTGGAGCTGCCAAAGAGGTCCCCAATCCTGCTGGTGGGGCTGAGAAGGCGGTTTGCAATGTCCACACGGCAGGGGGGTGCCATGCCAGAGCAGCCCTGGCCCGTCCTTGGAGCCCACTGAAGGCCTGCCAGACCCCAGCTAGGCTGTCAGCTCGGGCTGTAAGAGGAATGAGTGTTGCGAGCTCCCTGGAGCTCGGCCAGGACTCCTGGGCCAGCCAGCCAGGTGGAGGAGGAGCCGGAGAGAGCCTTATAAAACCTCCAAGACAGCTGGCTGGTGGCGGTCTCTAGGTCCATGGCAGAGCCCCACCCAGATTGGTGGGGGTCCACCTCCCTCACTCTAGCCCTCTGGAATGCTCTGGTTAACTTTGACTTGCTACTTCAATCAGAGCTGGCCGTCCATAGCCCCGACCCAACCCCCGCCCCAGCAACACACCCTAAGTAGAGTCCTCTGCTACACAACTATTGTCTTGCTTGGATCTTTTTAAAAAATATATTTTTATGAAGCTAAAATTCACATGATGAAATTGACCATCTTAAAGTGAATAACTTAGTGCATTTAGTACATCCACCTCTACCTGGTTGCAAAACATTGCATCGCCACAAAAGGAAACCCTTGACCCATCAGGCAGTTACTTCCCGTTCCCCTCTACCCCTAGCTCCAACAACCACCAATTTGTATTATATCTCTCTGGATTTACCTATATTCTGGATATCTCTTTGGATTTACCTATATTCTGGGTAGTTCTTGTAAATGGAATCATATAGTATGTTTTGTGCATAGCTTCTTTCACCTAGCATGTTTTCAAGGTCCATCCATGTTGTTGCATGTATAAGTACTTCATTCCTTTTTATGATCCCATAATAGTCCATTGCATGTAAACACCACAATTTGTTTATCCAGTCTTCCATTGTTGGACATTTGGGTTACGTCTACCTTTTAGCCATTGTGAATAGTACTGCTACAAATGTTTCTGTACATGTATTTATTTGAGTACTTGTTTTCAGTTCTTTGGGGCATATTCCTAAGAGGGGAATTGCTAGATCATATGGTAATTCTGTGTTCAACTGCTTTTTTTTGTTTTGTTTTGTTTTTCAGACAGAGTCTCACTCTGTCACACAGGCTGGAGTGCAGAGGTGTGATCTTGGCTCACTGCAACCTCCACCTCCTGGACTCAAGCAATCCTCTCACATCAGCCTACTGAGTAGGCGGGACTACAGGCATGTGCCAACACTACCGGTTAATTTTTGTATTTTGTGTAGAGATGGAGTTTCGCTATGTTGCCCAGGCTAGTCTCGAACTCCTGAGCTGAAGTGATCTGCCAGACTCAGCCTCCCAAAGTGCTGGTATTAAAGGCATGAACCACCCTGCCTGGCCTGTGTTCAACTTCGTGAGGCACAACCAACTGTTTTCCACAGTGGTTGAAAACATTTTCCACTCCCACCTGCAATGTACAATGGGTTCCAATTTCTCTACATTCTTGCCAACACTTAAATTTTTTTTTAAGAGCCATCATAGCGGCTATGAAGTCATATCTCTTTGGAGTTTTCATTTGCATTTCTTTAGTGACTAATGGCACTGAGCATCTGTTCATGTGCTTGTTGATAATTTTTATATCTTCTTTGGGGAAATGCCTGTTCAAATCCTTTGCCCATTTTTAAATTCAGTTGTCTTTTTGTTGTTGAGTTGTAAGAGTTTTTTAAATATATTCTGTATACTAGACTCTTATCAGATATATGATTTGCAATTCTTTTCCCATTTTGTGGGTTTCCTTTTCACTTCCTTGACAATGACCTTCAATGCCCAAAAGTTTTTAACTTTGATAAAGTTGAATGTTTCTATTTTTCTTCTATTACATGTGCTTTTGGTATCATATCTAAGAACCCACTGGTTCACAAAAACCTGGTCATGAATATTTACCCCTATATTTTCTTCTAAGGGTTTAATGGGTTTTAGTTCTTAGCTTAGGTCTTAAATCCATTTGGAGTTTTCTTGTTTGTTTGTTTAATGTAATATGGGGTAGGTATACAACTTCATTCTTTTTCATGTGAATATCCAGCTGTCCCAGTACCGTTGTTAAAAAGGCTGTCCTTTCCCTATTTCATGGTCTTGGCACCCTTGTCAAAAATCAGTTGGCCGCAGATGTATGGATTTATTTTATTTTATTATTTTATTTTTGAAGCAAGGTCTGACTCTGTCACCCAGGCTGGAGAGCAGTGTTGCCATCTCGGCTCACTGCAACCTCCACCTCCTGGGTTCAAGCAATTTTTGTACCTCAGCCTCCTGAGTACCTAGGATTACAGGCACACACCACCACGTCCAGCTCATTGTTTTGTATTTGTAGTAGAGACAGGGTTTCACCATGTTGGCCAGGCTGGTCTCGAACTCCTGACCTCAAATGATCCACCCACGTAGGCCTCCCAAATTGCTGGGATTGCAGGCATGAGCCACCGCACCCAGCCGGTTTATTTCTGAACTCTCAATTCTATCCCATTGATAAAACTATCTATCCTATGCCAGTACCACACTGTTTCGATTAGTATAGCTTTCTAGTAAATTGTGAAATCATTTTTTTCACTCTTGCCTGAACCCAGTCAAGGGTAGGTGACTCGAATCAGTTCTCCTTTTCCTAACTGGAGGCCTCATAAGCAGCCTCCTAAATTTCAGCTGTCCCTTGAAATTGTGGCTTCACGTCCTGATTCTGAAGTCAGCATAGAAGGGGAGATGGGGCAGTATAGAGCCTGCAGAGCCAGTGTAGAATTACTCCCTTCAGTTTCCCATAAAATGAGGGGGCATAAAGCAGTGAAAAGAACATAGGCACGTATGAGACACTAAACATGTGACTGAACCATTTTACATTCCCACCAGCCGTGTACAATGCTCTGAACATGGTAGGCCACTCTGAAGCTTACCAACTATATCGTCTTGGGCAGCTTATCCTCTCTGACCCCTCAGCTTTGTCATGTGGAAAATGGGTTATTGTGAGAATTACATATGTGCAGTAATGTGCATAGAGCCCAGATGAAGTCAGGTGTGGTGGCTCATACCTGTAATCCCAGCTACTCAGGATGCTGAGGCAGGAGGATCATGTGAGTCCAGGAGTTCAAGACCAGCCTGGGCAAGATAGCAAGACCCCCGACTCTAAAAAATAATTTAAAGCCTGGATGTACCCCCAGTAATGTACGTCTGGCCAACAAATAGCATCAAATGGCACTTTGAGATGATCATGGAAGTGTGTGATTATCCTGACTACTCCAAGAGCAGAAATATACCTCCACTGGAAATGTGTGAAATGGGGATAGATTTCTTGTTTTTCATCAGTCACAGGCACATGCAGACCTAAGCCAGGCAGTAGAAGAGACAATTTTTCTTTTCTATGTCCTTACTTTCTTTGCAGTAAAATGAGTTCCTTGGTAAAATATAAAATTAAAATTAAACAATAAAATAAAATAATAAAATATGTCATATGTTGTGTGGGATACCATAAAGACCACTAAGGCTTTCTCTAAGTCCACAAATAGTGTTTTTGGCAGAACACGTGAGCAGGGGAAGCAAACCCATATCCAGAATTAGTATATTTCAGTGACAGCCAGTCAATGTCTTCTCCCTGATGGAAGGGAGAAATTCCCCGACATAGGTTGGGTGGTCAGAGAAGCTAAATGTTAACAAGCAAGACAGTTGACCCCCACGTGGGGCATCATAATGAGATCCTTTGTTTGTTTGTTTGTTTTATTTTTGAGGCAGAGTCTTGCTCTGTGGCCCAGGCTGGAGTGCAGTGGTGCAATCTTGGCTCACTGCAGCCTTGAACTCCTGGGTCAAGCAATCCTCCCACCTCAGCCTCCCAAGTAGCTAGAACTACAAGCAAGCACCACCACACTGGCTAATATTTTTATTTTTTGCAGAGATGGGGTCTTGCTATCTTACCCAGGCTGGTCTCAATATAATCAATCATCCAGCATTTCTATTAAAGGAACAGGCAAGTTGGAGCTTATAGGGTTTCCTAACTAGCCCCCAGAATTCCTTTTCATGAGGCATTTCTAGATGCTCAAGGATACCCCTAGGTTGAGACAGGTGTATTTCATTGGGATCTCCTTTGGGGAGAAGGCAGGTGAAGGGCCTAAAACCCATTGGTGCTGCCTGGTGAATGGCTTGAACCAGGTGCTAAAGAGAGGCTACCCAGTGTCAATGGGTCCTCAGCCATGCACCTCCCCTGGGGGAACACACTCTCTCTGTCACTGGGCACATGCTGCTCTGTGCTGGTGCTGGAAGCAGGGTGTCTCTGCACCACCCTCACCAAAGTGGTGTCCATGGGGTTCTTGCTTCTGTGGGTCACTTGCTTCCAAACTGAAATGTATGCAGGTCCACGGGACTGGGCAGAGCCTCAATCACATGCCTGCCTTCAGCCGCAAGGGTGATGGGGAGAGCTTATTCCTGAGCTTTATTTTGGGGAGGAGCTGGCCCATCAAGCGGGAAATTCTCCCAACATCGGTTAGGTGTTGAAAGGAGCTAAGTGTTAACAAGCAAGACAGTTGTCCACCACGTGGGGCGTCACAATGGGGTCCTTTTTTGTTTGTTTGTTTTTGAGGCAGAGTCTTGCTCTGTGGCCCAGGCTGGAGTGTAGTGGCATGATTATAGTTCACTGCAGCCTTAAACTCCTGGGTCAAGGAATCCTCCTGCCTTAATCTCCCAAGTATCTGGAACTACAGGCAACCAACATGACACATAATATTTTTATGTTTTGTAGAGATGGGGTCTTGCTACGTTGCCCAGGCTGGTCTCAAACCCCTGGCCTCAAGAAATCCTCGCACCTCGACCTCCCAAAGTGCTGGGATTATAGATGTGAGCCACTGCGCCCAGCCAAGGAGGTCCTGTGAAGGCCTGGTAAACAGAATGCTGCTCCTCCGCTTCCAAATCCACCACAGTGAAGGCAGGAACATGGATATTGAAAAGGGAGAGTGCCACTTTCTCAGCCATAGTCACCAAAACCTTCCCACCCGCAGCATCTCCGTTCCTGAGCCTGGCATTTGCAAGGCCATACATCCTTGTTGAGCAAGTGGATGAATGCATGGTCAATGGAGACAATGCAGACACACCTTAGTTGCCCCCGGCACAATATCTGCCATGCCTGGGATCGAGCCCCATGACCCCAACACATTCCCAACATGTCCCAACACTTCTCATTCTCACCTGCCCCCACCCATTGGCCAGATCTGAAAGGTGGAGCTTTTGCTGTGTTTCCAGTTCTGCAACGAAAGGTGTGTCTCGAGGCCTGGCACAGTGGCTCACACCTGTAGTCCCAGCACTTTGAGAGGCCAAGGTGGGAGGATCACCTGAGGTCAGGAGTTCGAGACCAGCGTGACCAACACGGTGAACCCGTCTCTACTAAAAATACAAAATTAGCTGGGCGTGGTGGCGGGCGCCTGTAGTCTCAGCTACTCAAGAGGCTGAGGCAGGAGAACTGCTTGAATCCGGGAGGCAGAGGTTGCAGTGAACCTAGATCACACCACTACACTCCAGCCTGAGCGACAGAGGGAGAGAGACTCCATCAAAAAAGAAAAAAGAAAGGTGTGTCACTCAGCCCAAACACCTTGCTATCCCTCCCACAAGGGACAGAGCCTGCTCACTTTATCCCGTGGACATTGGCCAGGATTTGGCTTAAATTCTTCCTTCAACAGATTTACATCTAGAAATACAGGGCAAGGGGCGGGAGGCAGATAAGCTGCTGCTGCTAGTCTAACCTTGGAATGACCTGCTGCAGAGAAGCCCTCCTTCCTGTACCATCTCCTGGGCCAGGGTCCACACTGGCCCCAACCAAACTCCAAGTGCCTGTGCTTAGCTGGGTCAGCTCCCCTGTTTTTGAGGCTGTGCAATCTGTTCTTTTTGTTTTTTTTTTTTAAGAGAGAGGGGTCTCACTATGTTGCCTAGGCTGGTCTCGAACTCCTGGATTCAAGCGATCCACCCACTTCCGCCTCCCAAAGTGCTGGGATTATAAACATGAGCCACCGTGCCCGGCCCAGCCTGTTCTTGCTACTCTTCACCCTCAAACAAAGTCTCAGGTCTCAGGTGCCGAGGTCTCAGGGTGCCCATCTGAGCTGTGATACTCCCTTTAATCCTCATGACAACCTTTCCATCTCAGGTTCCCCTCATCCCCTCCCAGCTTTGCTTCCCAAGCCCGAGACTAAAATGAAAAAATCGCTCCAGTCTTTCCAGTTCCATAACTCCCTCTTCAACGAGATTTTTGGCTGATATCACCATCGAAGTATAATTTTCAGAAAGTTAATAACATGGTTCTCATGTAAATGTAAAATGAACACATGCCAAAGATGTATTTAACTTATTAATGAAATAATTAAGAGAGTTGGGTAAAGCAGTTTCAAAAGTGAATAAGTAAAGCTGGTTCAAAAAGCATTTGAGGGCTGGGCACGGTGGCTCATGCCTGTAATCCCAGCACTTTGGGAGGACAAGGCAGGCGGATCACCTAAGGTCAGGAGTTCGAGACCAGCCTGGCCAACGTGGCGAAACCCCATCTCCACCAAAAATACAAAAAATTAGCCAGGCATGGTGGCAGGCACCTGTAATCCCAGCTACCTGGGAGGCTGGGAGAATCGCTTGAACCCAGAAGGCGGAGGTTGCAGTGAGCCGAGATCACACCACTGCCCTCCAGCCTGGGCAACAAAGCGAGACTCTGTTTAAAAAAAAAAAAAAAGAAAGAAAGAAAGAAAGTGAATAAGTAAAGCCAATTCGAAAAGCATTTGAGGAACTGAGTATTTTGAAAAAAAAGATTGTTAGAATAAAGTTGCTAGGTTGGATACGAAACTAGTTAGTATCCTTACAGGGCAATAAGATCATAACATTTGGAAATATCACTTCTACCAGCAGAAATCAATTGCATTTCCACCGGGAAAACATTCATCAAGTTAACATGTAACTCCGCAATGGCTAGGCTTTTAATCAATACTGAATTAAACAAAGGTACACTCCTCTATATTTAAATAATCCAAGGGGGCTTGTTAAACAATGCTCCTGTGTGGCATTGAAAGAAGACATTGTTCTTTCTCTGTATTATTTCTTACTTTTTATTAACTCCTTGGACAGATAGTGAAACCAAGCTCTCAAGGAAATGTCACTAAGAGATGGACCTGCATGCAGTGTTTAAAATCCTGCAGGGACCAGGTGCAGAGGCTCACACCTGTAATCCCGGCACTTTGGGAGGCTGAGGTGGGAGGATCGCTTGAACCCAAGAGTCCAAGACCAGCCTGGGCAACATAGTCAAGCCCTGTCTCTACACGAAATACAAAAATTAACCAGGTGTGATGGCAATCCCTGTGGTCCCAGCTACTCAGGAGGCTGAGGCCAGAGGATCGCTTGAGCTGGGAAGGTTGAGGATGCAGTGAGCTGTGACTGCACCACTGCACTCTAGCCTGGGCGACAAGAGCGAGATCTTGTCCCAAAAAAAAAAAAAATCCAGCAGAGACCCTTCATTGCTCCCTAAAACGATAAAACCCAACTCTTGGGCAGGACATATAAAGCCCTGTATGAGTTGAGACCGTCTCCCTCCTGCCTCTTGCCGCTTCTGCACATGTGCCCAGCACGTGGGGCTGTGCAGTCCCTAAACACACTGGCCTCTTCCATCCTTGACTTTGCCCAGGCTTCATTATCCCCCTGAACCTGAAACACCCTCTCAACAGTCATTCATCTGGATTACTTCTGTGCTTACTTCGTGACATGTCCCAGGCAGTACTTTGTCCCCCCCAAGCCTGGGGAATCAAACCCTCTCAAGACAGTATCTAAACATAGCAATTATGGCATTCTTCCCAATGACTGGGTTCTTAACATGCACCGGGCTTTGTCCTGAATCATGTATGGGTCTTATCCAATGGAAACCTTTCAGCAAAGATTGAACAAAGATAACGTTATCCCATTTTCCTTATAAAGAAAGTGAAGTGGCAGGGTGCGGTGGCTCAGGCCTGTGATCCCAGCACTTTGGGAGGTCGAGGCGGGTGGATATCGAGGTCAGGACCATCCTGGCAAACATGGTGAAACCTCGACTCTACTAAAAATACAAAAAATTAGCCAGGCATGGTGGCACGCGCCTGTAGTCCCAGCTATTCAGGAGGCTGAGGCAGGAGAATCACTTGAACCCAGGAGGTGGACGGAGGTTGCAGTGAGCCGAGATCGCGCCACTGCACTCCGGCCTGGGCGACAGAGTGAGACTCTGTCTCAAAAAAAAGAAAGTGAAGTTCAGAGAAATGAAGTTGCTTTCCAAAAATCACACAGCCAGAAAGTGGCCAAGGCAGGACTGGAACACAGATCTTTCTGATGCATAGCTTTAATTGTTCCTCTACCCTAGAGAGATTTACTTTTCACACTGCTCTGTGAAGATTTTCATGAGCCCCCTGAGGAAATGAATTTCATGGCATATGCCTTTTGCACAGATTGCTCAAGATTATCTGAAAATTTAGACAAGCTTGGCTCCAAAGAAGGAATATTAGGGATGTTGTAGAAGAGCCTTGCCCAAATCTCATCTTAATTGTAGCTCCCATAATTCCCATGTGTCATGGGAGGAACCTGGTGAGAGGTAATTGAATCATAGGGGCCGGTCTTTCTTGTGCTGTTCTCGTGCTAATGAATAAGTCTCACGAGATCTGATGGTTTTATAAAGGGAGAGTTCCCCTGAACATGCTCTCTCTCTCCCTCTCTCTCTCTTTTTTTTTTTTTTTTTTTTTTTTTGAGACAGAGTCTTACCCTGTCACCCAGGCTGGAGTGCAGTGGTGTGATCTCACCTCACTGCAACCTCTGCCTCCCGGGTTCAAGAGATTCTCCTGCCTCAGCCTCCCAAGTAGCTGGGATTACAGGCATGCACCACCACACCCAGCTAATTTTTGTATTTTTAATAGAGACCAGGACTCACCATGTTGGCCAGGCTGGTCTCGAACTCCTGACCTCATGATCTGCCTGCCTTAGCCTCCCAAAGTGCTGGGATTACAGGTATGAGCCACCATGCCTGACAGCACATGCTCTCTTACATGCCGCCACGTAAGATGTGCCTTTGCTTCTCCTTTGCCTTCCTTTGCTTTCTGCCATGATTGTGAGGCCTCCCCAGCCATGCTAAACTGTGAGTCCATTAAACCTCTTTCCTTTATAAATTACCCAGTCTTGGGTAGGTCTTTATTAGCATCATGAGAACAGATTAATACAAGCATTTAGTGTGTAAATCGTTGATAACCCCTGGGACTTCTGGGGTGACCTCCATTGGCAAAGCCTAGCCTATGAGCATAGTGCAGTGATGTGAGTCATTTCCTGACTGAGACCTCTTAGGACCTCCAAAATAGTGGAATTCTACTAGACATACCCACATCATATCTCAACCCAAGCCTGCTAGTTTCCTGGGGCCTTCGTAAAACCAACCCCCTCAGCCTTCAAATGCTCTCAGCCTATAGCATTCAGGGATGCTTTTCCAGCTTCTCTTCAAACTATGCATTCATTCATGCATTCCACACAATGATACTGAACACCTACCACGTGCCAGGCACTGTACAAGGTGCTGGAGGGGGCAGAGGTTAGCAAATCAGACAGGGGCAGAGTCCCCTGCTGGAGATCATGTTCTATTGCAGGGAAAAAGCTACTGAGAGAACGAATATATAAATGTGAAACCACAGTGTTAGGGAAAGTGCTATGAAGAAAAGGTGCGTCGCCAGGCGCCGTGGCTCACGCATGTAATCCCAGCACTTTGGGAGGCCAAGGCAGGTGGATCATTTGAGGTTAGGAGTTCGAGACCAGCCTGGCCCACATGGTGAAACACCGTCTCTACTAAAAATACAAAAACTAGCTGGGCGTGGTGGCGCGCACTTGTAATTCCAGCTACTTGGGAAGTTGAGACAGGAGAACTGCATGAACCCAGGTGGCGGAGGTTGCAGTGAGCTGAGATCGTGCCACTGAACTCCAGCCTGGATGACAGAGCAAGACTGTCTCAACAAAAAAAGAAAGAAAAGGTGCATGCCCTGAGAACATGAAAGCGAAAGGAGCTATTGAGCTGAGATCTGATGAGTAGAATTGTATTAGGGGAGCAAAGAATGAGTTGAAGGTGAGGGACAGAGAGAAGGCATGTGAGGCCCCAGTACACAAAAGAGTTAAAGGAGATCTAACTGATATTGCTCAGGGCCGCCACCTTCTCCTTACCCCTTTTTTAATTTTTGTTTTTTTGTTTTTGAGACTCTGTCACCCAGGCTGAGGTGCAGTGGCATGATCATAGCTCACTACAGCCTTGAACTCCTGGGCTCAAGCAATCCTCCTACCTCAGCCTCCTGAGTAGCTGGGACTACAGAAGAGCAACACCACATTCAGCTAACTTTTTGTTGTTGTTTTTGTAGAAACGGGGTCTTGCTTTGTTGTCCAGGCTGGTCTTGAACTCCTAGCTTCAAGCAATACTCCCACTTTGGCTTCCCAAAGTGCTAAGTCTACAGGCACATGCCACCATGCCTGGATAATTTTTTCATTTTATTTTGTAGAGACGAGGTCTCACTATGTTCCCTAGGCTGGTCTCGAACTCCTAGCCTCAAGGGATCCTCCTGCCTCAGACTCTCCTTCTCTTTTCATTGCCTTGCCAAGAGTCACCTTTGTGTCCATTGGGTTCTCCCAGGAATACTCGCCTTTATTCTCCAAAACCTCCTCTATCTAATCTCCTTTGTTCCAGTTACATTCGTATCACGCTTTTCTGACATCCCTCCCTTACCCATTATTGACTAAGCTGCATTAAGACAGGAACCATGTGGTATTCATCTTCATGTCTTCAGAGCCTAGCACGTTGCTTGGATCAGAATAAGCATGTAATAAATGAATGAATGAAAATGGATGATGATGCCAGGGCCATTGGCTCATGCCTGTAATTCCAATACTTTGGGAGGCTGAGTAGGGAGGATTGCTTGAGGTTAGAAGTTCAGGACCAGTAAGCAACGTAGCAAGACCTTGTCTCTACAAAATATACATATGTATTTTTATAAATATATATGTTATATATTATATATATTGCCACTGCAATATTTATATATACTTTATATAAATAGTTATATTTTATGCAAATATATTTATATTATATATTTATATAATATATAAATATAAATGTAATATATAAATAAATATATAAATATTATATAGAAATATATATATATTTTTTCTTAATTAGATGGGTGTGGTGGCATGTTCCTGTAGTCCCAGCTACTCAGGAGGCTGAAACAGGAGGATTCTTTGACTCCAGGAGGTCAAGGCTGCAGTAAGCTATGATCACACCACTGCACTCCAGCCTGGGTGACCAGGACATGCCACAAACATCCCAGTCTTCCTAAAATATTCATCCCAATGAGGATATGAAGCCCAGAGAAGGCCCCTGAGATCTCAGGGCCTAGTAAGGTGTATCAGTCTGTACCTGATTGCTTCCCCTGCTGCCTCCATGTCCTGACACTCTGTTATGCAGAAATGAACTGTGAGTGTATCATAAATAACCGGGTACCCAAAATAAAGTCAACATTTGCAAACAATGTGATTAAAATAATAAATTATAGGGCGTATACTGTAGTTTTAATTTGCGTGTCCCTAAAAACTAAGGTATTGATTGTTTCTTCACAGGTTTATTTGCCATGCATACGAACCACTTCTTTTTTTTTTTTGAGATGAAGTCTTGTTCTGTCACCAAGGCTGGAGTGCATTGGCGAGATCTTGGCTCATTGCAAACTCCACCTCCCGGGTTCAAGTGATTTGCCTGCCTCAGCCTCCTGAGTAGCTGGGACTACAGGCGGGTGCCACCACACTTGACTAATTTTTGTATTTTTAGTAGAGATGGGGTTTCACCGTGTTAGCCAGGCTGGTCTCGATCTCCTGACCTCGTGATCCGCCCACCTCAACCTCCCAAAGTGCTGAGATTACAGGCGTGAGCCACTGCGCCGGGACCATGAACCACTTCTTGGTTGAAGTGTGTGTACGTATATTTCATCTGTTTTAATGGGTTGTTTGTTTTCTTCTTATCAAGTTTGGAAAGTTCTTTATATATTCTGGATTCAAGACTTCTATAACAAGATTTACAAGTTATTTCCCACAAATATATTTATATGCCTTGTCTTTTCATTCCTTTAACAGTATCCTATAGACAGATGATTTTTTATTTTGATGAACTCTAATTTGTCTATTTGTAGTTTTTTATCATGCTTTTTGTTTTTAAGAAATTTTGCTTAACATAAGGTCACAAAGGTTTTCTCTTATGTTTTCTTCTAGAAATGTTATAGTTTTAGGTTTTACATATGGATATTCAGTTGTTATAGCACAATTTTTTTTTTTTTTTTTTGAGATGGAGTCCCGCTCTGTCACCCAGACTGGATTGCAATGGCGTGATCTTGGCTCACTGCAACCTCCATCTCCTGGTTCAAGTGATTCCCCTACCTCAGCCTCCTGAGTAGCTAGGACTACAGGCACAGGCCACCATGCCCAGTTAATTTTTGTATTTTTGTAGAGATGGGGTTTCGTCATGTTGGCCAGGCTGGTCTGGAACTCCTGACCTCGGAAGATTCACCCACCTTGGCTTCCCAAAGTGCTGGGATAACAGGCATGAGCCACTGAGCCCGGCTTACAGCACAATTTATTGACTAGACTAGCCTCTCTCCACTCAATTGACTCTGTATCTTTGTTGAAAATTAATTGCCCATATAAGTGTGGGTGTATTTCTGAACTTTCTATTCCATTCCATTGACACTTTTGTCTACTTTTACGCCAATAATACCTTAGCTTAATTGCTGTAGCTTTATAATATAATTCTTGAAATCAGGTAGCATTAATTTTCCAATTTTATGTTTTTCCTTCCAGTACGGATGCCTTTCATTTCTTGTTCTTATTTTCTGGCACTGGCCGAGAATCTCCAGTGCAATATTAACTAGAATGGTGAGAGGGCCCCTTAAGGGGAAACACAGATGTTCTTTATCAGATTGAGAACATTACCTTCTATTCCTAGTTTTCCGAGAGTACTTGTCAGGAATCAATGAAGGGTTTTGAGAAATGTTTTACTGTGTCTATTGAGAGTGGATTACATTGGTTGATTTTCAAATATTAAACCAACCCTTCATTCTTGGGATAAACGTTTTTAATCTTTCATCTTCTTTAAATTTATATGTTGTTAGATTTGATTTCCTGAAAATTTGTTTAGAATTTTTGCATTTATATACTTGCGGGATATTGGACTGTCCCTTTTTTCTTATCATGTGTTTGCCTTATTTTGGTATTAGAGTAATGAGCTGGGAAATATTCTCTCCCTTTCCATTTTCTAGGAGCGTTTGTGTGGTATTGGTATTTTTTCTTCATTAATTCAGAATTCCGTAAAGTTCAGAATTCATCATCTGAATCAGTAGAATTCAGAATTCATCAGTGAAGCTGTTTAGGCTTGGAATTTTCTTTCTGTGAATGTTTTAAACTACAAATTCAATTTCTTCACTAGACATAGGGTTTTTCAGATTATTGATTTCTCTTTAAGTGAACTTTGATAGCTTACATCTTCCAAAGAATTTGTCTGTTTCATTTACATTGTCAAATTCATTGGCCAAAAAAAAAAATTGTTCATCATATTTTTTATAATTCACTTACTGTATATGGAATCTCTAACGATGTCACCTCTCTCATTCCTGATAGTGGTAATGTGTATCCTGATAAATCTGGCTAGATGTCTATCAATTTTACTTACCTTTTTTTGTTGTTGTTTTTTGAGACTCTCGCTCTGTTGCCCAGGCTGGAGTACAATGGTGCGATCTCGGCTCCCTGTGACCTCCGCTTCCCGGGTTCAAGCGATTCTCCTGCCTCAGCCTCCTGAGTAGCTGGAATTACAGGCGCAGGCCACCAGGCACGGCTAATTTTTGTTTTTCTGGTAGAGACGGGTTTTGCCATGTTGTCCAGGCTGGTCTCAAACTCCTGACCTCAAGTGATCCGCCCGCGTCGGCCTCCCAAAGTGCTGGGATTACAGGCTGGAGCCACTGCGCCCGGCCTAATTTTTGTATTTTTAGTAGAGACAGGGTTTCTTCATGTTGGCCAGGCTGGCCTGGAACTCCTGAACTCAAAGCAATCTGCCAGCCTAGGCTTCCCAAAGGGCTGGGATTATAAGCATGAGCCACCACGCCCAGCTGATTTCACCAATCTTATTAAAGAACAAACTTTTGATTTTATTGATATTCTCTGTTGCTTTTCTGTTTTCTATTTCGTTGATTTTTCATTCTGATCTTATTATTCCTGTTTTTAAAAACTCATTTTGGGTTTATTTTGCTCTTCATTTTCTAGTGTCTCAAGGTGGAAGCTTAGGTTATTTAAGAACTTTCTTCTCTAATATACTCGTTAGTGCTGTAAATGTCTAAATACTGCTTTCATGGCATGCAACACATTTTGATGTTGTTGTATTTTGATTTTCATTCAATTCTAAGTGCTAATTTCACTTTTGATTTCTTCTTTAACCCGTGGGTTTTTTAAAAGTGTGTTATTTGATTTCCACGTATTTGGGAATTTTCAGGAAGCTTTTCTGTTATTGATTTAGAATTTAACTTGATGTCTAATTTAACTTCATTTTGGTCATAGGACATTTTTTATTATTTGTATACTTTGACATTTGAGACTTGTATGTTCTATAAATATCATTTAGATAACTTGGTTGATAGTGTTTTTCACATCTTTATGATCTTTATTGATTTTCTGTCTACTTGTTTTCTCAAATATTGACACAGAGGTATTAAAATATTCAATTACAATTGTGAATTTGTCTATTTTTCCTTGCAATTATATCAGTTTCTGCCTTCAGGTATTTCGAAGCTCTGTTATTAGGAACATAAACATTTAGAATTATTGATTAATCAACATCTTTGTTATTGTGAAATCAACTTTTTTAATGTCTGGAAATATTCTTGATTCTGAAATCTACTTAGTCTGGTATTAATAGAGCCATTCAACTTCATTTTCATTAGTGTTAACATCATTTGCTTCTGACCCATTTGGATTTTTATATTTAAAGTCTGATTCTTATAGGCAATATATAAAGGGTTCTTGCTTTTTTATCCAAACTGAAATGCTTTGCCTTTTTATTAGAGTGTTTAGACCATTTCTGTTTAGTGTAGTTACGATATAATGAGGTCTAAGCCTATCATGATAATATTTGTTTTCTATTTGTTCCATCTGTTCTTTGGTCACTTTTTCCTCTGTTTCTAGCTTCTTTTGAATGAATTGAATTTTTTCTTTTATTCCATTTAATCCCCCTTTGTTGGCTTTGTTTTGCTATTTTAGTGGCTGATCCGGGTTATAGAATATTTCTTTATGACAGTCTACCTTCAAATGATACTATACCACTTGACATATAAGAACATTATAATAGTATTCTTCAATTTCTCCACTCCTAATCTTTGACTATTGTTGTCATATACTTCACTTTTCCATATGTTATAAATCCAATATTCCATTATTCATATTTTTGTATAAAAAGTCAATATCCTTTAAAGAGATTTAAATAATAAGAAAAAATACATATATATACTTATGTAGTTACCATTCCCAGTACTCTTCACTCCTTTGTGTAAATCTATATTTCCTTCTGGTCTCATTTTCTTTCCTCCTGAAAAAATTTCTTAAACACTTCATTTATTGCAGATATGCTTTTTGATTAATTCTTTCAATTTTCTGTGTCCAAAGAACTCTTTCTTTCACTTCCATTTTTGAAAGATATCCTTGCTGAACGTTGACTTCTAGTGCAAAGGGTTATTTTGTTTGTTTGTTTACTTGTTTAATATTTTAGAGATGTTCCATTGTCCTCTCACTTACTTTGTTCCTTGCAAGAAAGCCACTGTCATTCTTATCTTGTTTATTTATATATAACATGTCTGCTTTTCCTCTGGCTGCTTTTAAAATTTTTTTTAATCACTGGTTTTGAGTAGTTTGATTATGATATGCTTTGGTGTTGTTCTTATTTTCCCCTGATGTTTTTTGTGGGGTTTTGTTTGTTTGTTTGGTTTGGTTTGGTTTTTTTCCTTTTTCTTTTTCTTTTTTTTTTTTTTTTTTTTTTGAGACAAAGGCTTGCTCTGTTGCCGAAGCTAGAGTGCAGTGGCACGATCTCAGCTCACTGCAACCTCCATCTCCCAGGTTCAAGTGATTCTCCTATCTCAGCCTCCTGTGTAGCTAGGACTACAGGCACCCACCACCATGCCCAGCTAATTTTTGTATTTTTAGTAGAGACGGAGTTTCACCATGTTGGCCAGGCTGGTCTTGAATTCCTGACCTCAGGTGATCCACCTGCCTTGGCCTCCCCAAGTGCTGGGATTACAGGCGTGAGCCACCACACCAAGCCCTCCCCTGATGTTTCTTGTGCCTTGAGTTTATTGAGATTCTTAGATCTGTGAGTTTATAGTTTTCATCAAATTTCTAAATTTTCAGCCATTATGTTTTCAAATATTTTTTCTGCAATCCCTTCTCTCCTTTGCAGACTCCAATTACACATTTATTCGGTTGCTTGAAGTTGTCTAAACAATTCACTGATACTCTGTTCCTTGTTTTCTCTCTTTTCTCTCGGTGGTTCATTTTGGATAATTATCTTCAAGTTCACTAATCTTTTATTCTGAAATATTTGATTTGTTATTAACATTTTCCTGTCTATTGCCTCAGACATTGTGGGTTTCATTTCTGAAAATTTGGTTTAAAATTTTTTTTGAGACAGAGTCTCGCCCTGTTGCCCAGGCTGGAGTGCAATGACACAATCTTGGCTCACTGCAAACTTTTTATTACAGTCCCCATGTCTTTTCTTCACTTTTGAACATATGTAATACAATTACAATACTTGTTTTAATGTCCTGTCTGCTCATTCTGACACCATTGTCAGTTCTGGGGTGGTTTTCACAATTGATTTTTCTTCTCATTATGGGTCATATTTTTCTGCATCTTTGCATGCCTGGTAATTTTAGATTGGATATGAGTTCATATTGTGAATTTTACCTTGTTGGATGCTGGCTATTTTTAAATTTTTATAAGTATTCTTGATTTTTTTTTCTGGGACACAACTATTTAGAACTAGCTTATCTATTTGGGTCTTGATTTTAAGATTTGTTAGGTGGGACAAGAGCTGTGATTAATCTAGAGTTAATTATTCTCCTGTTGAGGAAAGACCTGTGAACTCTAACTTCTGTCCCATGAATTGTGAGGTTTTCTATTCTGGCTGGTGGGAACAGGCACTATTCCCAGTCCTGCGTGTCAAGCATCATCACCGCTAATCCTTTCAGGTAGTTCTTCCCCCAGTCCCCACCGCCCGCCCCCGCGTAGTTTCCTGACTTCCATGCACTAATCAATATCCAGCTGAATAGTTGAGGGTCGCCCTCTGGTAACTCAGGATTCCTCTGTGCAGCTTGCTTCTGTCTGGTGCTTAGTCCTTTGAATTCCAGCCACCTTCATCTCCCCAGAATGTCAGCTATCTCTTCTCAACTCAAGAAGGCTTCCTGGCTCTGCCTGGGTTTCCCACTCCCACAACACTGCCTGAGTACTCTCAGAGAAGAAAGCTGAGCAATTGTAGGGCTTGCCTCGTTTCTTTATCATCTCATTTCATCTCTTAGGGATAATGGGCCCTTCTTCTCTGATATCCAGCGTTTTGCAACTGTTTTTTATTGTTTTTTATGTATTTTGTCTTTTTTGTGTGTCCAAGCCTATCTGGGAAATCTGATCTCTGTTCTTTTACCTTGACTAAAAGTGAAAGCTCTATACTTTCTTGAATGGGAGAGAAATAGGTGGCCTTATACTTGTCTTGGCAGACAGACAAATAATGCACAGCCTCTCTAAATAATGCACAGTCTCTACTAAAAATACAAAAAAAAATTTTTTTTAATTACCTAGGCATGGTAGTATGTGCCTGTAGTCCTAGCTTCTTGGGAGGCTGAAGACAGAAGATGGGTTGAGCCCAGGAGATTAAGGTTGCAGTGAGCTATGATTGAGCCACTGTACCCCAGCCTGGGCAACAGAGCAAGACTCTTAAGTATTAACTCAACAACTAATACTGTGCCGGGGATGGTGGCTCACACCTACAATCCCAACACTTTGGGAGGCCAAAGTGGGAGGATCACTTGAGCCCAAGTGTTTAAGATCAGCCTGAGCAACATAGCAAGACCCTGTCTCTACAAAAGAAATTTTTTTAATCACAGAATTTAGAAAGTTTTTGCTATTTTAATTTAATCATTTTTTAAATCCATGCATAAATTTCATTTTAAAGTAAGGAATTGGATGAAGAAAGTTTAAGTAGTGCTGTCTACATACACATTTGTGCATAAGCTAGATTGATCTGTGGCCATTGCGCTTAACAGAAAGTTAAATGTGGCTGGGCATGGTGGCTCACGCCTGTAATCCCAGCACTTTGGGAGGCCCAGGCGGCAGACCACCTGAGATCAGGAGTTCAAGACCAGCCTGGCCAACATGGTGAAACCCCGTCTCTATTAAAAATACAAAAATTAGCCGGGTGTGGTGGCATGCACCTGTAATCCCAGCTACTCCGGAGGCTGAGGCAGGAGAATCACTTGAACCCGGGAGGTGGAGGTTGCAGTGAGGTGAGATCGCACCACTGCACTCCAGCCAGTTTGCAACAAGAGCGAAACTACATCTCAAAAAAAAAAAGTTAACTGTTACTGGACTAAATGTAGATATACAGTCATATGTTGCTTAACAGTGAGCATATGTTCTTTTTTATTTTTATTTTTGGAGGCGGAGTCTCACTCTGTCGCCATTGTTAGGCTATTTCATCGTTATATGAACATCACAGAACGTACTTACAGAAACCTAGATGATATAGCCTACTACACACCTAGGCTAGATGATACAGCCTATTGCTCCAAGCTGCAAACCTGTACAGCAAGTGACTGTACTGAATACTGCTGGCAACGGTAAAACAATAAGTATTTATGTATCTAAACATATCTAAGCATAGAAAAGGTATAGTAAAGATACAATATTATAATCTTATGGGACCACCGTTGTATATGTAGTCCGTCATTGACAGAAAAGTCATTATGCAACGTGTGACTTAATGAACTTCTCAATAAAAAGGCTGTAGTAATAATACATATAAACCTGTAAATCATCTATATCATACCCTTTTTTACAATACAATAACTTTTTTTTTGAGATGGAGCCTTGTTCTGTCGCCCAGGCTGGAGTACAGTGGCATAATATCAGCTCACTGTAACCTCTGTCTTCTGGGTTCAAGTGATTATCCTGCCTCAGCCTCCTGAGTAGCTAGGATTACAGGTGCATGCCACCACACCTGGCTAATTTTTTATATTTTTGGTAGAGACTGAGTTTCACCATGTTGGCCAGGCTCGTCTCAAACTCCTGACCTCAAGTAATCCGCCTGCCTTGGCCTCCCAAAGTGCTGGGATTACGGGAGTGAGCCACCGAGCCCAGCCACAATACAATAAGATTTAGTTGTACTACCTCTTCACTTGTATGTAGGTCTAAAAAAGTGTTTTTGAAAAATTTAAAGCTTTAAGATTTTTTATTAAAGTCATTTATATTTTCTCCAATTTCTTCCTTCATTCATTCAATAAATACTCACTGATTACCTACTATATGGTAGCTAGTAGATTTCTTATAAAACATCAAATTTATTTTCATCAGGTACTTTAGTTATATAGTTATAGAATGCAACTGGGGCAACATTTATTTTGCTTCCATACAAAATTTTAATGGATTCAGAATCTAGCCACATTCACGGGAGTATTCTTATTATGTATCATGTGTGTATCATGCTTTATAATCATCGTCGATGTGGATGTATCTCTCCTTCCTCTTCTTTCTTTCTGGAGATAGGGTCTTGTTCTGTTGCCCTGGCTGGAGTACAGTGGTGTGATCATAGCTCACTGCAGCCTCAAACTCTTTGGGCTCAAGTGATCTCCTGCCTCAGCCTCCTGTCTACTTCATCTTTGATATGGGTGAGGGATGAACAAGGATCTATGGGGCTAAACAGTTGGCGAGAATGGTGTGAAAACAGACAAGGTGAGTAGACCTCAGAAGAGGACCAAAATAGGGGGTTGTAAAAGTTTAACACGTGTGAAAAAGACTGGGACGGGCAGCTGCTTGTGGGTGTTGAGACCAGGAAATAAAACTCCCCAGCTGGGGAATGAGAAAATAGAGAGGTGGCCAGGTGCGGTGGCTCATGCCTGTAATCCCAGCACTTTGGGAGACTGAGATGGGTGGATCACCTGAGGTCAGGAGTTTGAGACCAGACTAGCCAACATGGTGACACCCCGTCTCTACTGAAAATACAAAAATTAGCTGGGTGTGGTGGCAGGTACCTGTAATCCTAACTACTTGGGAGGCTGAAGCAGAAGAATCGGGTGAACCCAGGAGGCAGAGGTTGCAGTGAGCCAAGATTGCCCCAGTGCACTCCAGCCTGGGCAGCAGAGTGAAAGAAAGAAAGGAAAGAAAGAAAGAAAGAAAAGAAAAGAAAAGAAAGAAAGAAAGAAAGAAAGGAAGGAAGGAAGGAAGGAAGGAAGGGTAAAGAAAGAAAGAAAGAGAAAGAAAGAAGAAAGAAAGGAGAAAGAGAGAGAGAAAGAGAAAAAGAAAGAAAGAGAGAAAGAAAAAGAAAGAGAAAGAAAGAAAGAAAGAAAGAAAGAAAGAAAAGAAAAGAAAGAAAGAAAGAAAGAAAGAAAGAAGGAAGGAAGGAAGGAAGGAAGGAAGGAAGGAAGGAAAGGAAGGAAGGAAGGAAGGAAGGAAGGAAGGAAAGAAGAAAATAGAGGGGTGCTTCATGAGCAGTTTTAACCTGAGCTCAAGGACAAATACCATGCTGGGCATGGTGGCTCACACCTATGATCCCAACACTTTGGGAGGCCAAGGTGAATCACTTGAGCCCAGGTGTTAAAGAGCAGCCTGGGAGGATCACTTGAGCCCAAGTGTTTAAGACCAGCCTGGACAACATAACAAGACCCTATCTGTACAAAAAAAAATTTTTTTTAATTAGCCAGGCATGGTAGCACATGCCTGTAGTTTCAGTTACTTGGGAGGCTGAGGCAGGAGGATTGCTTGAGCCCAGGAAGTTGAGGCTGCAGTGAGCCATGACTGCACCACTGCACTCCAGCCTGGGCAATAGAGCAAGATCCTGTCTCAAAAGAATAAAAAAAAATAAAAATAAGAATAAGTTTTAAAAAGGACTAATACTTTGGGAATTGATAGAGGTTAGGGGGCCTAAAGTTCACTCTCCCTTTCTTTCAGAATTCCAGCTAATAAGAGAGCACTCAGTGAGTGGCCAAATGGATACCAGAGAATCATTGTTATTAATGGGCCACAGAGTACTTACTAACCCCAAAGTGTAGGGCTCTCTGCTAAACTATATTGGAGCACGTGCCTTGGACCAGATATCTGATGTGTCTCCTGTTACCCTGCCAGCTTCAGGAAGAATCACAGGCCTGCCTCACGTACCCATTCACTTTTTTTTTAGATATAGGATCTCACTCTGTTGCCCAGGCTTGGGTACAGTGGTGCAATCATAACTCACTGCAGCTTTAATCTCCTGGGATCAACCCATCCTCCCTCTTCAGCCTCCCAAGAAGCTAGGACTGTAGGCACATAGCACCATGCCCAGGTAATCTTTTTATTTTTTGTAGAGATAGGGTCTCACTATGTTGCCCAGGCTTCCAGTTACTTCTTAAAAACTGATCCTTATTCTGACCCAGGTGAGCTTACTCATGGAAGCTGGAAGCATAGGAGAGCCTACAGACTCCTTATCGACCATGAGACAGTCAAGATAGATATGGTAAAATTTTTTTTTCTTCTAAACTCAATCCCCAGTTATGTGGTTCAAGGATTATTGGGCCCTGTGAGTCCATCCGCCAACCCTCCACCCATGTGAAGAAGTATTGAAACCATGGGAACAGAAGTGAAGCTTTTCCCTCCAATACTCCTCCTCCAGGCCACAGATTCAGAAGGCCATCTCCTCTTTGGAAACAGGGGAAACAGGCAGAACAAGGGAAAATCATTCTCCCTTGACCAAAAAGAATCACGATAGCTTTTCTGAATTCAATTCAACATATCCTTGCTGAGTACCTGTGATCCCAGCCCTCCTGGCACAGTCTTATCTGTAAATATTCTTAGCAGAAGTAAGAAAGCAGAATTGGAGCTTTTCTTATCTTTCACTTACACTTTCTTAGTACGATTTTTCTGGTAGCTTAAGTCTGATGTCCTATGAAGTGTGAGGGATCAAGCCCAGGACAGTCTAATCTCGAGAAAGAGTGTCACTCTATTAAAGTGACTGAATCCCACTGAGCTTGTTCACCAGCTGGAACCGCAGAACTCATGTTGTTTCTTGACTGTTTGCCTCAAGAGGAACCTCTTGAAAGAGCCTTTATTTCATGTTCCTAAAAACTGGAAGCAGCAAAAAGAAAGGAGTGGGTATGAAGGTTGGCAATTGCACCCTCTAAAGCCAACCCTTTGCATGAAGATAAGAAGGAAAGACACTATGGTGGAGGGGGTGGGTCCCATGGTAGCCCCAACCTTCAGCACCCTGTGACCAGGCAAGAGACAGTTGTTGCACCGTCTTCCTCATAGCAGAGTCTAGCTGCACTCAAAGACTTCCTTATCACTCCCCAATTCCAGGGCTGCTGGGACATGTACCCCAATGTCTTTCTCATACATTTCAGGTACCAGGAAGTCCACATATGGCTGGATCCTCATATGAAGCCAAGTCTCCTGGCTCCTAGCCAGGGCTCTCTAGACAGCCTAGTGGAGACCATTCCAGATAAAAATTACTTTCTTTGGTGTCTTTGCTGTCTTAGGCAAAGGAATTGCAAGTAAAGCTTGAAGAGATTAAGGCTAAAGAAATAAGTGGGAAGAAATAGAGACCATGGCTTCTCCTTGGCAAATAGAGGAAGACCTTCCACATTAGTAGAGTTCAAAAGAGTCCTCCAGAAATGGTCGTCTATAGTGTGTCTTTCCACATCAATCTAACCCCCAAGGGCTTAGGGATTCCAGCAAGTAGAAGACCTTTAGAAAATGCTTATACA
Source organism: Homo sapiens (assembly GCF_000001405.40). Taxonomy (NCBI): domain Eukaryota; kingdom Metazoa; phylum Chordata; class Mammalia; order Primates; family Hominidae; genus Homo; species Homo sapiens. The sequence goes on from NC_000007.14 coordinate 72,490,264, forward strand.
GTATGATCTCAATTATGCAATTATAAAATAAAACAAAATAAACAAAAACACTGTGTGGACAAAAAGACTGGCAGAAAATACTATAAAATGTTGACAGAGAGGGTTATATAGAGCAATGACTCTGGAGTCAGGCAGACGCGGATTTTCATCTCCTCTGCCATTTACCCACTGTGCTGCCGTGGCCATGTTGTCTAACTTCTCTGACCTCAATTTCCTCCTCTACAGTAGGAATAATAGCACCTACCTCAAAGTGTTTGATATGGTTTAGCTCTGTGTCCCCACCCAAATCTCATGTTGAATTGTGGTCTTCAGCGTTGGAGGAGGCGCCTGGTGGGAGGTGACTGGATCATGGGGGGCAGATTTCCCCCTTGCTGTTCTCCTGATAGTGAGTGAGTTCTCACGAGATCTGGTTGTTTTAAAGTGTGTAGTACTTCCCCTTTGCACTTTCTCTCCTGTCACCATGTGAAGATGTGCTTGCTTCCCCTTCACCCTTCCACCATGATTGTAAGCTTCCTGAGGCCTCCCAGCCATGCTTCCTGTACAGCTTGCAGAACTATGAGTCAATTAAAGCTCTTTTCTTCATAAATTACTCAGTCTCAGGTAGTTCTTTAGGCAGTGTGAAAATGGACTAATACAGTGTTGTTGTGAAAATTGCATTATATAATGTATGTAATGCCTAGTGCTTAAAATGATGCTCAAGGCCGGGCGCGGTGGCTCACGCCTGTAATCCCAGCACTTTGGGAGGCCGAGGCGGGTGGATCACGAGGTCAGGAGATCGAGACCATCCTGGATAACATGGTGAAACCCTGTCTCTACTAAAAATACAAAAAAATAGCCAGGCGTGGTGGCAGGCGCCTGTAGTCCCAGCTACTCGGGAGGCTGAGGCAGGAGAATGGCGTGAACCCGGAAGGCGGAGTTTGCAGTGAGCCAACCAGCCTGGGCAACAGAGCGAGACTCCGTCTCAAAAAAAAAAAAAACAAAAACAAAAACAAAAAACAAAATGATGCTCAAAAATTGGTGGTTGCCCAGGTGCAGTGGCTCATGTCTGTAATTCTAGCACTTTGGCAGACTGAGGCGGGAAGATCAGTTGAGGCCAGGCCTTCAAGAGCAGCCTGGGCAACAGAGCAAGATCCTATTTCTGCAAAAAGTTAAAAAATTAGCCAAGTATGGTGGTGTGCACCTGTAGTCCTAGCTACTCAAGAAGCTGAGGCAGGAGAATCGCTTGAGCCCAAAAGGTTGAGGTTGCAGTGAGCTATGATTGCACTACTGCAGCCCAGCCTGGGCAACATGGTAAGACTCTGTCTCAAAAAGAGAAAAAAATGGTGTTCTGCAGCCTGACAAGGGTTCTTTTCTTTCACGTTCATTCCATGAGGCACTTCACTGGGGCCTTCAGGACTGCTGTGTGCAAATAAAGCCCATTTCTTCAGGACAAGCCTCTGCCCTGTGCAATTAGCTGCAATGGGGAGGTAGTGGGGAAATGAAAACTCATAGAGTAGAGAGGAAGACCACTGCTCACAACTGCACTTTTATCCTCTCATTAAGTGACCAGAGGCCCTGAAAGAACACACCAACGGTCATTTTTTGCACAAGTAGCAAACACTGAGACACTGTTCCAAACAGCAAGGTAATTCAAGATGCCATAAGTTATGTCCTCTTGTTGCAAATATTACATAACAGATAGAATTTTCCCTTTAACTAAGATATGGGGCAAACTATGGAGGCCAAACAAGGGACTCCAACTCTCAAAGGCAGTTTCTCCAGTGCCCTCATCATGCTCCCAATCTCATCTCTACCCTTGGGCTCAAAGGATCAGGCACCTAGGCTAGGCCACAGCTTTTCAAATTACAACTACTGCAAACAACAGAGGTAGCCGACAGGTAAGACACAAACAGAAATGTGCCACCTTGGCCTTCAGTGTGAACTACATTTGTTCTCAAGAGTGTTTAAGCCAATAGCTCATGGAATTTAAAACTGAGAATGAACTTAAATGTCTAAGCCTTGGTTTCCCATATAAGACTCAATCTATTGACATACCCAAGGTCAGAGAGTTAGTGGCGTGATCTTGGTCAATTCAAATAGCAAAGCCAGGTCTAGAAGCCAAGCCTCCTAACTGCCAGCCAAAGATGCTTCCTCTAAAGATGGATTTTGTTTTGTCCCACATTGCTGGGTTGATTGGTTCCACCCTTTGGGAGGTGCTTACTACAGGGGCTGTTGTACAAGATGGAGCAACGCAGATCTTGCATGCAAGTTGGGTGAGAATTGGAAGCAAGGCCTTGCCACCTGTGTAGTCCTGCGGCTGCTGTTTCTCACAGTCACAAGCTGTCACAGACCTCCAGCTAATGCCAGCAGGGCTGTGGGGGCACCATGCCAACCGCTGGGTCAGCCCTCGTGGCTCTAATAGTTGGACTAGTGATTAGAATGAAAGTACCCACTCTTATCTGGACCTGGTCATTATCTGTGAATGGGGACAACAGATGAGCCCCTCACAGCACCATGGCAACGATCAGAAAATACACTGGCTGCCGAGCACCGGAACAGTCGTGCTCCTGCAATGCATCCCTGCTGGCACATGCTATCCAGGACGTATGGACAATGGTATGTTCGATCCTCAGAAAATCGTCATCTCCATCACAGATGACTAACACATTTGCAGAGACTAAATCACAAGGACAACAAGATAAATGTAAAAATGTAGCTGAACACGAGTATTCTTTTTTACAGCTTTGAGATAGAATTCACCCATTGAAAGTATGCAGTCCAGTGGTTTTTAGAATACTCACAGAATTTGGCAACTATCACCACAACCTAATTTTAAAACATTTTCATCACCCCCGAAAGAAACTCCACACCCTTTAGCTGATATTCCCCAGTCTCCCGCCATCTCCCCGGGTCTCCCACCACCTCCCCGGGTCTCCCACCATCTCTAGGCAGCCACTAATCTCTGTCTCTATAGATTTGCTTATTCCAGACATTTCACAGAAATGGTATCATACAATATGTAGTCTTTTATGATGACTAAATGGCCTCTTTCATTTAGCATAATGTTTTCAAGGTTTGTCCATGTGATCAATTATTCTTTTTTTTTTTTCCTTTGAGACAAAGACTGACTCTGTCACCCGGGCTGGAGTGCAGTGGTGCAATCTTGGCTCACTGCAGCCTCCACCTCCCAAGTTGAAGTGATTCTCCTGACTCAGCCTCCCGAGTACCTAGGACTACAAGCATGCACCACCACTCCCAGCTAATTTTTGTATTTTTAGTAGAAACAGGGCTTCACCATGTTGGCCAAGCTGGTCTCGAAATCCTGACCTCAGGTGATCCATCCGCCTCAGCTTCCCAAATTGCTGGGATTACAGGCATGAGCCACTACACCTGGCCGATTAATTATTCTTATCATAACTCTTACAGCATCTTTTCTAGATCTTGAAGCCCTTCTGAAATGTCCTCAAACATTTTGGTTACTATTGGAAGGAAAACAAATTCTATTTACCCAAGTTTTTAGTGTGCTAGTGCAGGTGGCATTGTGTTATTGCTGAGATAAGGTCAATCAATTTATTTATCTGTATCAACAGCCACTAAATACTGGGCTTAAAAAATATTTAGTGTGCTTTGTGGGTGTAGTTTTCTCATCATGTATAAGTCTAGGGCTTGTGGCAAGAAGCAATTATTCCCAAAATAACACACTTTGGAAGACTGACACAGGAGAATCGCTTCAGGCTAGGAGTTCCAGACCAGCCTGGGCAACATAGAGAGACCTCGTCTCCACAGAAAAATGAAAAAATAAGCTGGGCATGGTGGTGCATGCCTGTAGGCTCAGCTACTCAGGAGGCTGATGCAGGAGAATCGCTAAGCCCAGGGGTTCAAGGCTGCAGTGAGCCATGATTGCGCCACTGAACTCCAGCCTGGGCAACAGAGCAAGACCTTGTCTCTAAAAATCTGAGCCCCGTGGAACTTGGAACAACTCTCTTTCACCTGATGGATGTTCGTGCATTCGGGGATGCACAACACTGCCCTCTGCTGGACAGTGTTCCAGGAAGACTAAAAAAGTCAGTAGAATACACCAGTCAGAAATGGCACCAAAGGTCCAGAGGACCTGCTAGCAAGCTTACCTTTATTTGTTCACTAATCAAAGAACACTTAAAGGGCACCCACGCCGTGCCAGGCACTGTCCTGGTAGTAACGCAAAGATAGGCAGTGACTATTGCCCTCCAAGTGCTCCTTGTTAGAGAAGTTCTTTTTGACGCAAGCTGGGACACCTCCCCACCTGCGGGAATTCCCTGGACCTCAACTTTGCCCAGAACACATGTCTCGGGTACCACATCAAAGGCAACACAGGCCGGGCGCGTTGGCCCATGCCTGTAGCCCCAGCACCGTGGGAGACCAACACTGATTGCTTGATGCCAGTCTGGGCAATATAGCGAGACCCCATCTCTACAAAAAAAAAAAAATTATTTTAATTACCCAGGTATAGTTGGGCACACCTGCAGTCCCAGCTACTCAGGAGGCTGAGGAGGAAAGATCGCTGGAGCTCAAGAGTTCGAGGCTGCAGTGAGCTATGATTGTGCCACTGCACTCCAGCCTGGGGGACAGAGAAAGACCCTGTCTCAAAAATAATAATAATAATAATAATAAGATTGTTCCTCTCCATATGGTCCTCCCCAAGGGCTGTGTGAGTGCCCTTATGGCATGATAGCTGGCTTCCCCAAAATAACACCTGTAAGCTGCAACGCCTGCATGACCTGGTCTTGGAAATCACCCCCTATTACTTCCACTTTCTTCTGTGAGCCACACAGCCAGCTCAATCCAATGAGGGAGGGACCCACACAAGTGCATGAATTCTAGGAGGCAAGAATCATTGAGGGCCATCTTGGAGTCTGACCATTGCGTGATGATTCCATTTTTCTTCCATTTTCCATTCCCATTTGAAGGTCAAAATCCAGATTCCTAACTGTTGTTTGAGTCCACCCTTTAAATTTCTGCCAGGTGTTCATCCAATCTCTACCCAAATCCTCCTTGGGCAGGAGTCCAAGGTCCTCCAGCTCTGACTGGTCTGTCCTCAGATGGCACTGACTCTTGGAGATCTCCTACCCAGGCTGGGTCAGTTCCTCCTCGTGTGAGTCCTTCAGTTAGTTAAAAATAGCAACCACGGTCCTTCAGTAAATATTGATTGAGACCTACTCTGCACCCAACCCACTGTGCTAGCTGCTAGGGACATTGCAGGGAACAAGGCACAGTCTTTGTCCCAAGAACTCATTTTGGTTTGGCATCCCTTGCTCCATTCAAGCAGGTCCATGCCACACCCCATGAGCAAAAGACCCCTAAGCCTGACCTCAAAGAAAACCCCTCTCTGTTAGTCAAGGCTCTTCTGGTAGCAAATAACAGAGAACAAAACTCAAATGGCCTCAAGAAAACAGAGAAGTGTGGACAAACGGTGGGCTATAAAGTTGCTTGGAATCTGAGGCAAATCGTTATTGCTTCCGAAATACAATTGAAAAGATGTGAAGCTGATGGATAGAAAGCCACAGAATTTTTAATATTGCTCTGATATCTAGCATCCTTCCTGAACTTTTATTTTAATTAAAATTGCTTCTATAGATTCTTTCAGATTTGTATATCATGGGCAGATAATTCTATTTCTGTTTCTTCTATTCCAATTTGTTATTGTTTTCAGTTTTTTTGTTTTGTTTTGATGCTCTGTTGCCCAGGCTAAGGTGCAGTGGCACAATATTGGCTCACTGCAACCTGTACCTCCCAGGTTCAAGAGATTCTCCTGCCTCAGTCTCCCAAGTAGCTGGGACTACAGGCATGCATCACCATGCCCAGCTAATTTTTTGTATTTTTATTAGAAACGGGTTTTTGCCATGTTGGCCAGGCTGATCTCGAACTCCTGACCTTAGGTGATCCACCTGCCTCGGCCTCCCAAAGTGCTGGGATTACAGGTGTGAGCCACCATGCCCGGCCTCATTCCAATTCTTACACCTTTTCCTTTTTGCTTATTTTTACACTTGTTAAGACCTCCAGTATAATGGAGAATGAAAGTAATGATAGTACACATCACTACTTTATTTTTAAATACTTTTTTCTTCTAGCTCTGATAATGGGGGATAGTTTGTATCAGAAAAAACCATCTGTTGATAACAACTGTAAACAATGGACAAAATATTAAAACAACTATATCATGTCCTTGGAGAGTAGCCAAAGCCTGGCAGAAATTAGGGAACTATAAGCCTTGGAAAAATGGAAGTACACAATGTGAGATTCAAGTTTAACCAGCTTTTCTTCTGAAAGCACTCTTCAATTTGTTTGGGGCCTAGGGACTAGAATTCAATCAAAAAGCTAACAGTTGGGTTGGGTGTGGTGGCTCACGCCTGTAATCCCAGCACTTTGGGACACCGAAATGAGAGGATTGTTTAAGACCTGGGCAACAAAGCAAGACCTCACCTCTACAAAAAATTTTTAAAATTAGCCAGGTGTGGTGGTGTGCACCTGTAGTCCCTGTAGTCAGCAACTAGAGAGGCTGAGGTGGGAGGATTCCTTAAGCCCAGGAAGTTGAGGCTGCAGTGAGCTGTGATCGCACCACTGTATTTCAGCCTGGGCAACAGAGCAAGACTTATTAAGCTAAAGTTTTATTAGGGCTTATAGTCTTATGAGGCCAAAGAATCATAGGTGAGAATTTGGAGCTGCCAGAGAACTGGAACTGAGAGACAAGGAATGTGGAAAAGGAAGGAGCCACAAAATCCTTATGTAAGTACGCTCTCAAATCCTTGGCTGAATTTTAACGTCTGTGCATGGAGGAAAGATTCCAATGAGCCCAGAGGAAAGGAATAGCTGAAAGGGAAAAAAAGCTGAGCAGAGATTTTAGCAGGCGCTCAGTGCTATTAATAGAATGACAGACTTGGCCGGGCACAGTGGCTCATGCCTGTAATCCTAGCACTTTGGGAGGCCAAAGCGGGTGGATCACCTGAGGTCAGGAGTTCAAGACCAGCCTGAACAATATGGTGAAACCTCGTCTCTACTAAAAATACCAAAACTAGCCAGGCGTGGTGGCACGCATCTGTAATCCCAGCTACTCAGGAGTCTGAGGCAGGAGAATCGCTTGAACCTGGGAGGCGGAGGTTGCAGTGAGCTGAGATCACGCCACTGCACTCCAGCCTGGGTGACAGAGTGAGACCCCATCTCAAAAAAAACAAAGGAATGACAATGACAAACTTTAGAGTTAAAATCTCACCAACTTAAAGGGATTTGATAAATACTTCAAGATTTTTAATTACTCCTCAAAGGGCCATGCCCTGAGATTAGGAAGCACATGCTAGGGTTAAGAGCTACATCCTAGAAACGAGCAAAATCAAAACAGAACCATGAAACAAAGCTTTCAACTAAACTTCTGGGTGATCTGCCAGTGGGTCTACTAGATCTGCTAGAACAGAATTTAACACTCTTCAGAGGAAGATAACAGAATGCAGAGTCTCTACAATGTATCATCCACAAGGTTATTATACAATAAAAAAATTACCAGACACGTGAAGAAGTAACAAAATGTGACGACTAATAAATAGAGGGGAAAAAACAGTTAATAAATAGTATCCCCACAGGCAACCCATGTGTTGGTATTGAGAAAAGGACTTTAAGATAATTCATAACTATACATTAAAGTTTTACAGAAGAGAAATTGGTTGTAATGGATAAAGAGACAGAGAATCTCAGAAAAGATGTGGAAACTCTCAAAAAGTACCAAGAAGAAATCTTAGAACTGAAAAATACAATATGAGAAATTTTTAAAAACCATTACACAAGATTTGTAGAAAATTGAATATGGGGGATGGGGAAAGAAAGGTTATTGATTTAAAGACAGATAAATAGATAAATTATCCAAAAGTAATCCAATGTATAAAAAAGGTGAAAGCCTCAATATCAAGTAATACCAAATAGATCCATAATACCAAACCTCCCTAATGTGTATTTGCCATCTCAGGAGGAGGGAATAGAATCGAGAATTTTTAAAATTTCAAGAAATATTGGCCAAAATTTCTCCAACTTTGGTTATAAACATCAAATCCTATTTATAAGAGGCTTAACAGGCCTCCAAAAAATTAGTTAAAAAAAAAACTTATACCTAGCCACATCATGGATAAAAACCAAAAAGAAATAGAAAATCTCAAAAGCAGTCAGGAAAAAAAGACACATTACATACAAGGAAGCAATAATAAAAATAACAGCCAACTTTGTACTCAATAAATGGAGCCTGGAAGACAAGGAAATTACATCTTTAAAGTATAAAAAGAAAAAACTGTCAACTTAGAAGTTTATGTCCAGTAAAACTATTCTTCAAAAATGAATGCAAAGAAAACAAGACATTTTTAGATAAATTCAGTTGAGATCATTTTTTGCCAGCAGATCTTTACCACGAGAAGTGCTAAAAGAAATTTTTTAGGCTGAAGGGAAATAATATTATTTGGAAAAGGAATACTACAAGTTATTAATTAATAGTTGATGGATTCATGAGTTTTCTTTTTATCACAAATGCAAAATATCATTATGAACTCATTCCTCATTATGATAAATAAAGCACTAATTTAGGTACTTTTTTTAATGTTTTAAAATAAACATTCTTATGAATTATTCATATACTTATTTTGCAAAATATCAATTTAAGATAAATTGACTCATACACAGACTCATACGCAAATAATTGTTCCTTGGAAAAAGGAACAATACTATTATAAAAAGGAATTAGTTAATATTGGGGCAAATATAAAAGAATAATTGTCTATAAGGAATAATTTTTTTTGAGACAGAATCTCACTCTGTAACCCAGGCTGGAGTGCAGTGGTGCAATCTCAGCTCACTGCAACCTCCACCTCCTGGGTTCAAGTGATTCTCCTACCTCAGCCTCCCTAGTAGCTGGGATTACAGGAACCTGCCACCACACCTAGCTAATTTTTGTATTTTTAGTAGAGACGAGGTTTCACCATGTTGGCCAAGCTGGTCTCAAACTCCTGACTTCAAGCGATCCACCCACCTCAGCCTCCCAAAGTGCTGGAATTACAGGCATGAGCCACTATGCCTGGCCAGCTGAAAGAAATCTTTTAGGCTAAAGAGGAATAATATTATTTGGAAAAGGAACACTACAAATTATTAATTAATAATTGATTGATTCATGAGTTTTGTTTTCATCACAAATGCAAAATGTTATTATGAACTAATTCCTCATTATGATACATAAATAAGGCAATAATTTAGGCACTATTCTTCTGAATGTTTTAATATAAACATTCTATAAATTATTCATATTATTTTGCAAAAAAATCAGTTTAAGATAAACTGACTCACATGCAGACTCATATGCAAATAATTGTTCCTTGGAAAAAGGAAAAATACTATTACAAAAAGGAATGAGTAGTATTGGAGATGGTTAATATTTGGGCAAATATAAAAGAATCTATAAAAAATTATTTTTTAAGAATTTGCCATTAATTATAATTTTTGCTGCATACTTCCGCAAAACTTTCTTTCTTTCCTTCCTTCCTTCCTTCCTTCCTTCCTTCCTTCCTTCCTTCCTTCCTTCCTTCTTTCTTTCTTTCTTTCTTTCTTTCTTTCTTTCTTTCTTTCTTTCTTTCTTTCTTTCTTTCTTTCTTTCTTTCTTTCTTTCTTTCTATCTTTCTCTTTTTTGAGACAGTGTCTCGCTCTGTTGCCCTGGCTGAAGTACAGTGGCACGATCTTGGCTCACTACAACCTCCGCCTCCCAGGCTCAAGCGATTCTCCTGCCTCCGCCTCCCTAGTAGCTGGGATTACAGGCATGCACCACCAAGTTGGGCTAATTTTTGTATTTTTAGTAGAGAGAGGGTTTCACCATGTTGGCCAGACTGATCTCAAACTCCTGACCTCAGGCTATCCACCCACCCCAGCCTCCCAAAGTGCTGGGATTACAGATGTGAGCCACCTCGCCCGGCCTCAGCTGAAACTTTCTGTGTCTCTTTTGTGGGTCTCATGAACTTCTGTTCGTTCCTTCTTTTTTTTTTTTTTTTTTTTTTTTTTTTTTTGAGACAGTCTCACTCCGTCGCCCAGGCTGGAGTGCAGTGTCGCGATCTCGGTTCACCACAACCTCCGCCTCCCGGGTTCAAGCAATTCTCCTGCCTCAGCCTCCCGAGTAGCTGGGACTGTAGGCATGCACCACCACACTGGGCTAATTTTTGTATTTTTAGTAGAGACAGGGTTTCACCTGTTGGCCAGGCTGGTCTCAAACTCCTAACCTCAAGTGATCCACCTGCCTCAGCTTCCCAAAGTGCTGGGATTACAGGCGTGAGCCACCGTGCCCAGCTTGCTCTTTCCTTCTTTATCATCCCCTCTCCGCTGTTTATATAACCTGTCCAATTCCTGTGATTACTGATATTCATTTATTTAATGAGTAACATTTTGTTTCTTAAAATCTAAAAAAAAAACTAAAACTGATATGAAAACATACACTCAAAATTCTGAGTGATGAGGCACTAATGTTATTATCTTATTCTTTGTGCATTTCTATTTTTAATTTTTTTGTTTACAATGTCCAGTTACTTCCATTCCAGATTCACTGTGTATTAATCAATTTATCTTAAATTGATTTTTTGCAAAATAATTATATGAATAATGTATAAGAATGTTTACATAAAATCATTCAAAAGAACAGTACCTAAATTGTTGAATTATTGATTTATCATAATAAGGAATTAGTTAATAATAAAATTTTGCATTTTTAATGAGAATAAAACTCATTAATTAATAAACTTTTCCAGGATTCTTCTCTTTTGCTGCCTCCTAAAGACAATTCTGTCTCTCCTCTCTTCCCATATCTTCCAAGAAGAGCTTTAGTGATACAAAATCAGGAGAATGGGTAGAAAGACACCAGGATTGGAGATAAAATACTCAGAAATAAGTTGGGGTAACAAGTGAATAATAGTTTCAAGGATGAGTGGCTTCAGAGTAGCTAGACATGTAAGAAAACCACAGAGGAGTCCAGGTGTGGTGGTTCAAGCTTGTAATCCTAGCACTTTGGGAGGCCAAGGTGGAAGGATCACTTGAGACCAGGAGTTCAAAACTAGCCTGGGCAACATAGTGAGGCCACGTCTCTATTAAAAAAAAAAAAAAAAAAAAAAAAAAAGACAAAGAAAAAGAGAAGAAGAAAGAGGAAGAAGAAGAAGAAAAAAGAGGAAGAGGAAAAAGGAGGAGGAGGAGGAAGAAGGAAGGAGGGAAGGAAGGAAGGATGGAAGGAAGGAAGTAAAGAAGGAAAGAAGGAAAGGAAAGGAAGGAGGGAGGGAGGGAGGGAAGAGAAGAAAGAACATTCTAAGAACCATGGCTAGGAGTTATGAATTGAATGGATTATAATATTCTTGGCTGGGCGCAGTGGCTCACTACTGTAATCCCAGCACTTTGGGAGGCTGAGGTGGGCGGATCATGAAGTCAGGAGTTAGAGACCAGCGTGACCAATATGGTGAAACCACATCTGTACTAAAAATATAAAAATTAGCTGGGCGTGGTGGTGGGCGCCTGTAGTCCCAGCTACTTGGGAGGCTGCAGCAGGAGAATCGCTTGAAACCAGGAGGTGGAAGTTGCAGTGAGCTGAGATCATGCCACTGCACTCCAGCCTGGGCAACAGAGCGAGATTTCGTCTCAAAAAAAAAAAAAAAAAAAAATATATATATATATATATATACACACATATATATATATAAATATATATACACACATATATATATAAATATATATACACACATATATATATTCTTTAAATGATCTAAGTAAACGTTAGAAAGACTTTTTAATTATTATTGTTTCTTTGCCAGTGCTAAGGGCCTCAAGATTTATTTGAGTTACATGTTCATAACTGAACATTTATGAAGTAACTGAAATTTTTTTCCTGCTGCCGTATTAGAAGAAACCTTAAAACCTTAGGAGGGACGAGGTCAGAATATTACATTTTGCTGAATTGCTTGTGGGGCGGGGAGGAATTATTTCATTTAAATACAGTGACAATAGAAGGGATTGGCTTTAAAATCTTCAGATTTTTTAACTGAATTCTGAAGATATAATTTCTTAAACATCTGAGCACTTTGACCTGTCTTTCAAACTGTGACATCTTCTCCAACTTTACTAAAATATATTACATATATATACAATATATATTATATATAAATATAATTCAGAAACCTTACCATGTCTCTATTAACTACTGTTACAGGCATTTAAACATTTTAAATAGACTTCCCCATCTGCCATTCTCACAAAGTAATCACTTTCACCATATTTTAGCTTTGCAGGTACAAGTATTTACCTTCGCATTATAGAATTTTCTATTTAAACTACTATTTCTTGATTTTTCAGTTTTAGGTAGTAACTATTGACTTCCTAATATGGAAGATGAAGATTCAACTTTCTTATATCCCTTCCCTCATCTTCCCAATATAGTTATAATTTTTGGTTAAATCCATATTCAGTGCCTATGTAAATATTCCTGGCTGAGTGGCACACTAGGAAAACAATTTCTCTCTTATATGGCATTTTATTTTCCTTGGAGTTCATAATTGTCTCATTTTTTTCCTTTGCTTGTTTTCTATAACTGTAAAAAGAAATTGTAGGCCGGGTGCAGTGGCTCACACCTGTAATCCCGGCACTTTGGGGAGCCAAAGGAGGCAGATTGCTTGAGGTCAGGAGTTCGAGACCAGCCTGGCCAACATGGCAAAACCCCGTCTCTACTAAAAATATAAAAATTAGCCAGACATGGTGGCTATAATCCCAGTTATTCAGGAGGCTGAGGCAGGAGAATCGCTTGAATCTGGGAAGCGGTGGTTGTAGTGAGCTGAGATCGTGCCACTGCACTCCAGCCTGGGCGACAGAGTGAGACAGCATCTCAAAAAAAGAAAAAAAAAATGTATATAATTGTAAACCTCTGGCTATGAGTTGTTCTGCGTGTCAAATGGGGGCAGGGGCTGGGACGCTAGCACTATTCAGGATGATCATTTTTACTTAACTCCCCTATTTCCATTGCAGTGCCCTGACCCTCACCTTCATCCAATGTTCCTAAGCCAAACTCCATGTAGATTAAGCCCTTCAGAGAGGACTCCTTCAATGCTGTGCCATCAGGGGCAGTCACTGAGGTGGTGGTGCTCTCGGGGGTATTTGGGGGTCCAGTTGCTTCTCATAGGATTTCCACCAATCCCATTTGGCACTCAAGCTATCTTGCACTTTCAGAAATACCTGCAGCCTTCCGGGGTTCGGACATGCAGCTCAGCTTGCCTTTCACTTTTCCCTTCTGCAAGCTTGAGTTTCTCTTTTCTCCAATTTGCTATTCATCCCATGTCTATTTTCTTCTTATTTCCAGCTTCCCAAATTTTGGTTTCTAGCCTAACTTTTCCTGAAAACCGAGGAAGCCAGTACCAGTAACCTTCTCTGAGTCTGTTTTCCTAATCTATTAGACGAAACAGCCATGATCTCCTCTCCAGCACCTGGACTCAAATCCCAAAGCATCCTTGGTTTATATACATCCTTGCAGCCTCTGTTTGCTACCGAGATCTCTGAGGGCACTCTGGCCAGAGAGGAGGATCGCAGGAAATGCTAATGCTTACCCTACACCGTCAGTCAAGGCGAGAATGCCTTGGTTTTTTAATGGCTCCCAGGGAATTTCACAGAAACGTAGTTTATTCATCTTTTGTATGACTGCCCCTATTTTCAAGAGCTGTAGCAACAAATCACCCCATAGAGGAGTGTGGGTGGGAGGAAGGGAGAGAGAGGAAAATAACGAAGAGAAAAGGGAACAAGACAAACTGCTCTATCCCGACTTTCATGCACATGCCCCTGTCCCGAAGTTGGGAGACTCACATCACAGTGACCACAGTGGAGGCTCAGGCTGAGAATCCCACCGCATAAAGGTTAAGATGACAAAGGCAAACGGATTGCTGTGCCCGGCTTCATAGGCAATAAATCCCATGTGTCTTTCATCCTTCCCACCCTCTCCCCGGTGAGTCTATTTCCATGATGAAATACCATTCCACAAGCCCAGCTGGCTGATGGATTATGAAACATACAAGACTAGCTCCGGTGAGCCCTTTGAAGTGGATTGAAACACGGGCTTTGTAAAAATGGATGTCATCCAGGCTCCCTGTTTCAAGGTTGGCAGCATAATTTTCTTTCTTAAGTGTAGGTCTCTACTTGGTACTGCAGATGGCTTTACCTCGGCCTGAACATGAATTACAGGCTCCCTCCAGGGTAACTCACAGCTCTCTCATTTCCTCTACCTCTTCCCACACACACAGGGGTGAGGGGAGAGGCTGGCCCCATAGCCCTGAAGTCATGGAAAGAGAGGGAGCGGCTAGGCCACTCACCCTAGGCCATCCCAACCTGGAAATACAGGGAAAAAGGCTCACAAAGCATTTGAAAAAGGAAAAGAATAATAAAGAGGTAGTAGTTGGGAGCTGAGAATGGGGATGAAGGCCAATGCCTTCCACATCTGTGGTCTTCTGGGGCATTAGAAGTCAGTATTCTGGGCTGGGTGCGGTGGTTCATGCCTGTAATCCCGGCACTTTGGGAGGCCAAGACGGGTGGATCACCTGACGTCAGGAGTTTGAGACCAGCCTGACCAACATGGCAAAACTCTGTCTCTACTAAAAATACAAAATTAGCCGGGCGTGGTGGTGCGTGCCTGTAATCCCAGCTACCGGGAAGGCTGAGGCAGGAGAATCGCTTGAACCTGGGAGGTTGCAGTGAGTTGAGATTGCTCCATTGCACTCCAGCCTGGGCAATAAGAGCAAAACTCCATCTCAAAAAAACAAAAAAGTCAGTATTCTGGCTGGGTGCGGTGGCTCACGCCTATAATTCTAGCACTTTGGGAGGCTGAGGTAGAAGGACTATTTGAGGTCAGGAGTTCAAGGCCAGCCTGGATAACATACCAAGACCCCGTCTCTATTTTTAAAAAAATTTTTAATTAGCTGGGTGTGGTGGCTTGCACCTGTAGTCCCAGCTGCTCGGAAGGCTGAACCAGGAGGATGGCTTGAGCCTGACAGCTGCAGGCTGCAGTGAGCTATGATCATGCTACTGCACTTCAACCTGGGCAACAGAGTGAGACCCTGTCTCACCAGTTACCAGTCTCTGCTGATGGCTGTGTAAGGATCCTAGAGGCATGGGGGTGGGCCTCCCCTCAATCAGCCACTCTGGGGCTCCCTCCCTTCCCAGGCTGCCTTCTAGAGGTCTCCCTGGGAGCCAGAGGTACCACAAGGCAAACCTGGAGAAACAGAAAGAGGCTGGCATGAAGTTAACCTCAGTTTTGTCAAGCTCCCAAAGAATGTGTTCAACCTGTACCAAGCTAACTGTGTACCAAGAGCCTCTGAGATACACCCCTTCCTTCTTCCCAAAACCACATCCAGGATTCTTAGCAAAAGACAGTGTCTCAATACCACATTCCAAAAGATTCCGCCTTTCCCATGTGTCCACCAGGAAATGATTTAAAATTGCATTAAACTGGATGGACTTGGTGGCTTACATCTGTAATACCAGCAATTTGAGAGGCTGAGGCAGGAAGATTGCTTGAGCCTAGGAGTTCCAGACAGCATTGGAAGCACAGCAAGACCCTGTCTCTACCAAAAATAAAAATAAAAGGATAAAACAAAAAAATTGCATTAAACCATTGCTCAGAATCATGATTTTTGTTGTTGTTGTTGTTTAAAAATCAGCTTACAACTAATTGATAGGAGTGCAAAAGGAAAGAGAAGACAAGCTTCGTACTGCTAATCTAAGAAAAACTGCAAATATAGCAGGGTGTGGTGGCTCACCCCTGTAATCCCAGCAATTTGGGATGCTGGGGCAGAAGGACTATTTGAGGTCAGAAGTTCAAGACCAGCCTAGCCAACGTGGCAAAACCCCGTCTCTACTAAAAATGCAAAACAATTAGCCAGGCATGGTGGTGCACACCTGTAATCCCAGCTACTTGGGAGGCTGAGGCAGGAGAATCACTTGAACCCGGGAGGCAGAGGTTGCAGTGAGCCAAGATCACACCACTGCATTCCAGCCTGGGAGACAGAGTCTCGAGGCAGAGGCTGCAGTGAGCCAAGTTTACACCACTGCATTCCAGCCTGGGAGACAGTGTGAGACTCCATCTCAAAAAAAAAAAAAAAAAAAAAAGCAACTATAGCGGATAGCCAGCTGCATGAACAATGTATCCAGGTGCAGTTCTCCAAAACACAGCATGTGCCAATGGCAATCTCTCACTGATGGAGCTAAAGACTAAACCTCAAAGTCATCAGGATTGAGGTGTGCCCTGGACACGTCTCACCTGTTTAATGGCATTGAATAAGTGGACAAAAAAATAAGTACAGAATAGAAGAAATGAGCAGCATAATAATTTAAAGGACACAGGCCTCATGAATATGCATTGAACTTTATGCCTAATGACAGCAAACTGGTCTTCTCAAGCACACATGGGAAATTCACAGGAATTGATCATATTTTAGGTCACAAGGAAAATATCCGTAAATGACAGTAAATTTCATGTGGA